>NC_000011.10:63615983-63919013 GCF_000001405.40 Homo sapiens | reverse complement strand
CTCTAGATAGAAATGAAGAGAATGAGGTTCTTAGGAGGCGGGGAAGAGGGATGCTGGGCCGGAGGGAATCCAGTGGCTGGGGATCCCTGCTAGAGAGACTGGGGGTACCTGGGGCAGCCCTGGAGTAGGGAGGCAAGAAATAAGCAGGATGCTGAGCCTGGGGGTGCAGGTTTGAGTCTGGGAAGGAGGCAAGGGGGATGGGGGACTCAACTGAGGCCCTGCCTAATAGGGGGCGGGGGCAAGATGGAAGACAGCACCGTAGGAGAGGCTGGTGTGCAGCAATGGTTGCCTGCCAGGCAGGAGGGGACAGAAATGAGAGTCTCTCCAAAGGGTGGAGGTGCTGGGGACAGGGATGGCGCCCTGCCACTTAGGAGGGGTCGGCCTGGGAAGACTCTCAGTCTTGAATCAGACCTCCTTAGCTCAGACCAGCCCCTGGTCCATTCATTCTCCTTTGTCCAGACCTCCCCACCCTGGGGCTTGGTGCCCAATCCATGATTTAAGAGGAGGATAAAGGCCCCGTAGCCCTGGCCCGAGGTGTGGCGGGCAACGTGGCCGCTGGCTGGGTGGCCCCATGTGGCTCGACGGCGCAGCAGCCGGGTGGGGTCGAGCCTGGCTTTCCCTGGCTGTCCGCAGGAGTCCCCGGGAACAAGCGGCCCCAGCCGGGTCGTGGCCCGACCGCAACACCCCGGCCACTCGGCCGCAGGCAGCGGGTGGGGGCAGGGATCCCTGGCTGGGCCCTAGGCTGCTTCTAAATTTAGGAATCTGATTACAGAGTGGACCAGGAAGGGAAGGGAGAGGAGGGCGCGAGTGCGGGCTCGGCTCAGTCTGGGCACAGCGGGGTGTGCCTGGGTGGAGGTGTGTCCAGGAGACTGGGGCTCCGGGTGGGAGGGGCGGCGGGCGGGGGCTTCAGCTTGTGTGCGCTGCAGCACGTGCCCCGGGCGGCGGGGACGGGCACGGGCGCAGCTCGCAGGCTCGGAGCCGCCGCCGGTGTGTGCGCTGGCTCTTTGTGTGCCTGGCAGGGTGGCTGGGTCTGGCTTTGAAAGTCTCTGCCCACCCCCTCCCCCATCTCCGTCTGTGCCGCTCTACCCGCTTCCCTGTCTGTCACTCTGCCCGTGCTTGTCCGGGGGGAGGGGGATGCTGCTTCCAGCTGGGGTGACAGTGAACCCAGTGGGGAGGAGACCCAGCTCCTCTCTCCCCTGCAGCCCAGACCTTCCCCTACACCTCCCACTCCCCATCCCTCAGCCCTTGCTACCACTGTTTAGGGGTGCATACTGCAGCAGTTAAAGGGAATTGGGGCGACCCTTGGGGACCCACAGATCCACCAGAAGCCAGCCTCTGGCTGGGTAGCTCTTGGAGGAATTCATTCCTTGCCTGTCCAGCCTCCCATCCGTTCTGGCCCCCAAGGGCGCATAAGGGGGGTCCCCCCTGCGGAAGGGGGGGCGGGGAGTTCCTTGGCAGGAAGGGAAATGGAAGGAAAAGCTGGGCTCCACCCGGGCGGGCGGGCAGGCGGCCCCAGGGCCCCCGGGGCAGGCGGCAGTAACCCGAGCCCACTGGTGTGTGGTGTTGGTGTGCGCGTGGGTGGGGCTGACCCCTGGCTACTCCTGGGGGGCAGTGGGGTCTCCCCCAGGGGCAAGTCTGGGAGCCCAGGGACGCGAGGGGAGCCCCCGCAGCGGGACGCGCGCCCCACCAGGGTCCTGATCCCACCCCCTGGAGGTCTGGCCCCGGCCCCCTGGCCCCGCCCCCCGGGCCCTCCCTCCCACCCCAGGGCCAGATGTTCAGCTGGCGGAGGCATCGGCTGGGGGAGGGGTGCTGAGGCCGCAGCCGGCACTACTTCCCTGCCAGCAGCTTCATTGTGTGCGCGAGGAGCGAGCGGCGGCGGAGAGCGGGCGAGCAAGCGGCATCCCGAGCGCGGCGGGGAGAGCGAGCGCGCCGGGGAGGGTGCGAGGCGGCACCCGCGGCTGCGCTCCGCCCGCCTCCCGGCAACTCTGCCCAGCGCCGCGCGCCGTGCGCGCCGTCCCGCCGCCGTCGCCGCCGCCGCCGCCGCCGGTGCCCCGGCCGGCTGCCGTCGCGGGCAGGGGTCTGCTTAGGACACGGGTCCCCGCCCGGGGACTGGGGCATCCCCGGCGCAGCTGAGAGGCGCAGAGCCCGGGGGGCGCAGATTGCGCTCCAGCGCCCAGCCGCTGAACGGCGTGGGCAGGTGGGCGGTGGGGTTCCAGGGCGCCCCGAGGACAGGGGGCCCCGACTTCAGGGGAACCCCAACCCTGAGGGGCGTACATAGTAATCACGCCCCAGCCGCACCGGACCTTGCGCTCATCCCTTGCGTCCCCCACTTCTGCACAAACTTTTCTGACGCCCTGGCTCGTGGGGGTCGTGGAGAGCGCTGGGGCTACCAGGTGGGCTCCCACCCCGCCGGACCCTAGCCACGCTGACCTCCTGCCTCTCCTAACCTCAGTGGCGACCTCTCCAGGCCGGGCCGGGCTCGGCACTCGGAGCGAGTGCGGCAACCACTGTCGCTCTCCGAAGGCTCCTGCGCCCCCCGGGGCAGCTGGGCGGGGTAATGCCCTCAGTGATGGAGAAGCCGAGCGCGGGCTCTGGGATCCTGTCCCGTAGCCGGGCCAAGACGGTGCCCAACGGCGGACAGCCCCACTCGGAGGATGACAGCAGCGAGGAGGAGCACTCGCACGGTGAGCCCGGTGGCCTAGGGTTAAAGGCGCGCCGGCCTGGGGGGAGCGGAGTGGGGCGGGAGGGGGAAGAGTTGCAGACCACGAGCCTGTTACACTGATGGCTCCTGCCTCTCCTGGATTGGAGCCTCTGCGTTGCTTCTCCCACAAACCCAGGCTGCCGGCACAGCCAATCTGGAACCTGGGCCCCTAGCTGCTGTGGAGGCGTCCTGCCGGCCCCTGCCCTGCCCTCACCCCCTCAGGGACCGAGGCATCCCTCCCTTGCATAGAGTGGGTCCCTCATACCTTGCCACCTTGCAGGGGACTGAGGTCTGGCTGGAGCAGGGACTGGAGAGACACCTCCACACAGAGCTGTGAGGCTCCTGTGGTGGGAAGGAGCCTTGGGTTCCTTGCAGGGCTGTGGTCCAGGTCTAGGGGCTGCCCTCCAACCCCGCTCCCCTCCCCCGGAACAAAGCACCCTGCTTGGCCTGGGCTCTAAAACTGTCCCCTTGTCCACCCTCCAGCCCCAATGGCCATGGCTGGACAGGGTCTTTTCCTCTTCCAGTCCCTTCTGTGGCTGCAGGTAACTGGGGTACAATGAGGGAAAAGTGAGCCTCCTGGAAGGTGGGGGCCCTGGGTGGTCAGGAAGGAGAACTCCAGGCCGGCCACCTCCCCCGCCCGCCACATCCTCCCTCCCGCCCGCCCTCCCTGGAGTCCTGACTGCCTCCCCCTGGCTCCACAGACAGCATGATCCGCGTTGGAACCAATTACCAGGCCGTAATTCCGGAGTGCAAGCCTGGTGAGCCGCAGGACAGGCTGTGAAGTGGGGTGGGGGTGGAGGCCCGGGGCTTGGCCTGCAGCCCCACCTGGGGCGCCCTTGATTGGCTCCCCTGGAAGGGCAGGCTGGCAGGGGTGGGTGGCCCCCCAGCATGGTTTGCTTTCCTGCCCTGCCTTCCTGTCTGGGTCTCTGCCCCTCCTTCCCTTCTGGGCCTCAACCTCCCTGGCTCCACTCCTCTGCTGCCCTCTGGCCATGGGTCTAGGCTTGTGCCACCAGGCTGATCTGAGTGTCTTCCCTCCTGCTCCTCGGCCTTTCAGAGAGCCCCGCACGCTACAGCAACAAGGAGCTGAAGGGGATGCTGGTGTGGTCACCCAACCACTGTGTGTCAGATGCCAAGCGTGAGTGGGGCACAGCCCTGGGAGGTGGGGGCTTGGGTTCATCCCAGCTCCAAGCTAGCTCTTCTCAGAAGGGGGCTGGAAGCTGAGGTGTTCGTGGGTCCAACCCTTGCCCTGGGGCTCGTGTTCAGGGACCTGGCCGTTGTGGGGTGGTCCCTTTCTGGACAGGCCTGGGTTAGGAGCTATAACCCCCTTCACCAAGACCCTGCCCCTGCTGCCCCTGCAGTTGACAAGTACATTGCGATGGCCAAGGAGAAGCATGGCTACAACATTGAGCAGGTGAGCCTTGGCCCCCAGGGACTTGGGAATGGGGTGGAACGGTGCCGGGGCAGCTCAGGCTCAGCTGCCCCTTGCCCCGGGCCAGGCGCTGGGCATGCTTCTGTGGCATAAGCACGATGTGGAGAAGTCGCTGGCCGACCTGGCCAACTTCACCCCATTCCCTGACGAGTGGACAGTAGAGGACAAGGTGCTGTTTGAACAGGCCTTTGGCTTCCATGGCAAATGCTTCCAGCGGATCCAGCAGATGGTAAAGCCCTTCCACCCCCACTCCCCGGCGCTCCTCTGCCCCTCCTTTCTGAAGAGCTTACCTGGGGCCCAGAGTCTTGAGTGGTCCCCAGCTTCTGGCGTTGCCTCCTCCAGCTGCCTGACAAGTTGATTCCCAGCCTGGTGAAATACTACTACTCTTGGAAGAAGACCCGCAGCCGAACTAGTGTGATGGACAGACAGGCCCGGCGGCTGGGGGGCCGCAAGGACAAAGAAGACAGGTGGGGGCAGGAGCAAGCACTGGGCATGGGGGTAGGTAGAGCTCCTGGCAGCTGCCTCATTCCCTCCCTGGCCCCTGTGTCAGCAGTGATGAGCTCGAAGAGGGTCGAGGAGGCGTGAGTGAGGGAGAGCCCGATCCTGCAGATCCCAAGAGAGAGGTGAGCTCCCAGAGCCTCTGGGCCCTGCCTGCCTGTCCTCTTGCCTCTCTCTGGCTCTGCACCACCTACCTGCCTCTCCTTTCACTGGCAGCCTCTACCCTCTCGGCCCCTGAATGCACGCCCAGGCCCTGGGAAAAAGGAGGTCCAGGTGTCTCAGTACCGCCACCATCCCTTGCGAACCCGGCGTCGCCCACCCAAGGGCATGTACCTGAGCCCTGAAGGCCTCACGGCAGTGTCAGGAAGCCCGGACCTTGCCAACCTCACGCTCCGAGGTCTTGACTCTCAGCTCATCTCCCTCAAGCGCCAGGTGGGGCCCTGGGAAATGAACGGGCTATGCAAAGGTGGCATTCGGCACCTGGGAACTGAAGTCTAGGGGGAGCTGAGGTGTAAGCGAGATGGTTCAGGGGCCGAGCCCCATCCTCTGGGACTCTGAGTAATGTGGTGTTCTTTTTGGGCCTTCTCTTAAAAACTGGTCTGCAGGCTGGGTGCGCTGGCTCACGCCTGTAATCCAGGCATTCCGGGGGACTGAGGCCGGCGGATCACCTGAGGTACACAGTTCAAGACCATCCTGGCCAACATAGTGAAACCTGTCTCTACTAAAAATACAAAAATTAGCTGGGCGTGGTGGCACACACCTGTAATCCCAGCTACTCGGGAGGCTGAGACAGGAGAGTCTCTTGAACTTGGGAGGCGGAGGTTGCAGTGAGCTGAGATTGCACCACTGCACTCCAGCCTGGGCGACAGAGTGAGATTCCGTCTCAAAAAAAAATAGGCCGAGCACGGTGGCTCATACCTGTAATCCCAGCACTTTGGGAGGCTGAGGTGGGTGGATCACCTGAGGTCGGGAGTTCGAGACCAGCCTGACCAACATGGAGAAACCCTGTCTCTACTAAAAAAAAATACAAAATTAGCCAGGTGTGGTAGCAGGCGCTTGTAATCCCAGCTACTCAGGAGGCTGAGGCAGGAGAATCGCTTGAACCCGGGAGGCAGAGGTTTTGGTGAGCTGAGATTGCGCCATTGCACTCCAACCTGGGTAACAAGAATAAAACTCCTTCTCAAAAAAAAAAAAAAAAAAATATATATATATATATATATATAAAAAATAAAAATATAAACTGGTCTGCAGAAAGGGGAGAACCCCAGCGGCTCCCCTACTGAGTAGTTGTTTAGGAGGAACAAGCCAGATGGTGGATGGCAGAAAGCTTTGCCGGGGCAGTGGTGCTGGTGTCTGTGCAGAAGTAGGGTCCTGTGAGGGGCATAGTGGCCTGCCTGAGATGGGAGTCTGATATTCCTCCACTTCCTGGCCTTCCCAGGTACAGAGCATGAAGCAGACGAACAGCAGCCTGCGCCAAGCCCTGGAGGGCGGTATTGATCCACTACGCCCCCCGGAGGTATGGCTGCTCTTTAAGTTAGGGTGCAAAGGGGGGTTTCTCTCTGGAGGCAGAGCAGAAAGAGTACTGCTTGGGGAGCAGGGCTTCCATTTGCATGGTTTTGAGTCTAAAGGATATGTTGTTCCTTGCTTTCCAGGCCAACACCAAGTTCAACTCCCGCTGGACCACAGATGAGCAGCTTTTGGCTGTTCAAGGTGGGTTAAACTGTGGTGAGAAGAGAGGACCCCAGGAATCTATCTCCCCACCCTCCAAGGAGTGGGGGGGCAGAGGGGAAGGGTCAGGGAAGTAACTAGTTCGAAGGGGTATTGACGCTGCTGCCCTTTTGACCCTTGCAGCCATCCGTAGGTATGGCAAAGACTTTGGGGCTATTGCAGAGGTGATTGGGAACAAGACTCTGACCCAGGTGAAGACTTTCTTTGTGAGCTACCGGCGCCGCTTCAATCTGGAGGAGGTGCTGCAGGAATGGGAGGCTGAGCAGGATGGGGCCCCTGGAGCCCCAGTCCCCATGGAGGAGGCTAGGAGAGGGGCTCCATTGCCAGCCCCAGCCCTAGAGGAAGATGATGAGGTGAGAAGGGGGTGAGAGAAACCCCTCAGAGAGGAGAGGCGAGGCGAGGTGAGGCGCCGCCTTGGTCCTTAGACTGGGCTGAGGGCGGGAAGAGCCTGGCTTCTCACTCTTTCCTCTCCCCTCAGGTCCAGATTACATCGGTCTCCACGTCCGTGCCCCGATCAGTGCCCCCTGCGCCACCACCCCCTCCACCTCCCACCTCGCTGTCCCAGCCACCCCCGCTGCTGAGGCCACCTTTGCCCACGGCTCCCACTCTGCTCCGACAGCCACCCCCACTGCAGCAGGGCCGCTTCCTCCAGCCCCGGCTGGCCCCCAACCAGCCCCCACCGCCTCTCATCCGCCCCGCTCTGGCTGCCCCCCGCCACAGCGCCCGCCCTGGCCCTCAGCCCCCACCCACCCTGATTGGAACCCCTCTGGAGCCCCCAGCACCCTCACTCTGAGCCCTGACGTCCTCCACCAACCACGGGCTCCAGGACCCCTTTGCTGGCCATCCCCAGGCATCTCTGGTGTCACTGAGGACAGAAGGGACTAGGGCTCTGGCGGGGTCTTTGTAAGACCAGAGTTTCGGACAGCCCAGCCCCGCCCTTTGGGTTCTGCATGTGTTCCTGGCAGCTGGGCCTGTCTCCTGGGGCCATGGCCGGGCTCAGGGGCCTTTGAGCTGGCCTGAGGGCACTTTCGCTTCCTGGCCGGTACTGGAATGGCTGTGTCCTAGTCTGCTGGGGCTTGGCCTCTGGGTCCTGCCCTTTGTGTGTCCGGGGTAGTGACCTTAGCGTGGAGTGGGGAGAGGGCAGTTGGGTGTGCTGGCTGTTCTCATTCCTCTTTCCCTTCTTTTAGCAATAAGTCTGGGGTGAGGTGGGGAGGGAGGCTGCAGGGGGGGAGGTGGGCAGAGGGGCCTTACAGCAGCAGAGGCTGGAAGAGAAGCTCTGTCTTCAGGGGCCAGCTGGGAAATGCTAAGGAGCTGAGGGTGCCCACCAAGCCCACCTTCCAGAAACTTGGAGAAATGGGGGTTGGGAACTTATGCAGACATGGATTTATTTTTCAACATTTTTTAAAAATTAAAAAAAATAAAATCTAAGCTTACTGAGTTTTCTTTCCCTTTTGGTGCAAGGGCCCTGGGCTTTGCTTCCTGTCTGTGCCCTGTGGGTAAGTGGGGAGCTGGGCCCACCCAGCACTGGCCCCAGACAGGAATCAAGTCTCTCCTGCAAGGCAGGTGGGCTAGGCCACATCTTGCCCACAGGAGACTGGGTCCCTGCCTGGCTGGGAGAAGAAACAGGAGGAGGCAGCTCAGATTCCAAACATTCTCTTTATTACGTGTTTGATCCAGAGGAGAAACTAAGTGCAGGGTTGGGGAGGAGGGGGCTAGACGGGGAGGGGCCACCTTGCCTGGGTGCCCCGGGCCCCTACCCCCTTTGGGAGCCAAGCCATGCCCTCCCAGCCCCCTCAGAGCACCCGGGCTGTTCCATAGGGCAGGAGGGGGGAAGGGAGGGAGGGGGAGCCCTTGGTCTGAGCCGCAGTAGGAGTGTGGGGCAGGAGGGCTGAGGTTGGCAAGGCCCCTTCCTAGGACGCAAGGGCTCGGCTTAATCGCTGAGCCTGGCCTGGGAGCGGGGGTGATGAAGAGGGGTGGAGTCATCATAAATCAAAAAAAAAAAAAATAAAATAAAATAATAAAAAATAAAACCCATCACAAAAAAATGTACAACTCAGGTGAGGGTAGGGGCAGCCTCTGTGTAGGACTCCCACCCCCAATTTCTCAAGAACAGAAACAGCAGAGAAATAAATTAAGGGATGCAGTGGCCACCACCAGCCAAGCGCCCCAAACCGCCCACGCCCACACTGGCCACTGAGGGTAGCAAGCTGGGAGTCGCTTAGCCTATCTGTCCCCCACCCTGTGGAGGGCAGACGCTCCCGGCCCTGCTGCCTAACTCAGCCTTCTGCCAGGTGGCCCTCGGCAGTGTCTCCTGAGAGGAGGGGGCGACAGTGTCAGGAAGAAAAGGCAAGGCTGAGAGATGAGAGTGGTGAGGGAAGTCACTGCTATGGAGAGAGCTGGTGCCCAGATTAATGCCAATGAAGGGGAAGCCATGGGGAGAGGAAGGGCGAGGGGGCTGTGCTTTCAGACAAAGGCTCCCCCATCACAGAGTGCCCAGTGGCCCTGCTCTGGAGACCAACAGCCCAAGCGGCCCCCTGGGGACCGAGAAGCCAGTCTGCCCTCCAGTCCCCTCCCCTCTCCCAGCCCTGGGGTCAGCCCCTCCTTCTACCCGGGAGGGGTGGGAGAAGATGGCACAGACTTTGAGGGAACACACGTCCCCACAGCAGCTTGTGGAAGGAAATGCCCAGCTCTGGGGAGGAGGGGCAGAGGGTACAGTGTGGAGGGAGGCGGAGCCTTGTGCCGGCCCTCCAGCCTCAGCAGCCCCGGAGCAGCCCCCAGCCCCACCCACTGCAGGGCTGCGCAGCACCCCCGCCCCCTGCCCCACCGCCCAGGCCTCCAGCCCAGGGGCCTGAGGTCAGGGGAAGGCCACCTCTGGTGGTTTGCTTGGAGGGGAAGGAGGGAGGAGAGGGGAGAAGCCCACAGTGGGCCTGGCGGAGGGCCTGACGGGAGCTCCACCACTCTTGCCTGAGAGTGTTCCAGCCCTGAGCCACCCTCCCGGGAAACCCCACAGATCCAGTCTCGACTGTCCCAATGGGGCAGGGAGGAAAGGTGGCCGCTGGGATTTTTTTTTTCTTTTTTCTTTTTGGTAATAAAAAATTTCTTGGTTTAGGCGAAATACTCTGTGCAACCGCAGTACCGAGGGGGAGCCCTGCCCCCCCATCCACCCTCCCCTTCCTTTGCCTCCAGTAGGGGAGAGGAGAAGGGGGAATCTCTGGGCAGGGGTGAATGTGGGGTGCTGGAGAACAATCTCCCACCCCCCACAAACATGTAAGAGAAAACTGAGAAGGGCCAGGGAGGGGAGAAGTGCCAGCAGGGGAGACACACCAATCCATCGCTGCAGTCTCGCCCAGGTGGGGCGGCGCAGCGGCCGGCAGCCCGTCCAGCTGGCCCGCCCCCGCCGCCCCCGCTCCTGGCAGCCTGTTAAAGCTTCAGCTCGTTGGCTATTTTGGAGGCAATGTTTTTGAAGGCCATGGAGGTGCCCGATATCCGCTTAAATCGAACCCCGTTGAGAGAGAGCCGCGGCAGTTTGCACACCTCCATCTCCCACTGCACGAAGTCCTCGTGGCCCGGCGTGCCGTGCATGCACAGCAGCATGTACTTCTCATGCAGCTCGCTCTGGCAGCTGTTCGCGTCCAGCACCTTGCGGATCTCCCGCATCATCTCGTTGGGCTCCATGGAGCTCGTGGTCTTCATACTCCACGTGAAGCGGAGGGAGCGGGGCTTGGCCTCCCGAAATTCTTCCTTTTCTTTGTCGTTGCCGCCACTGCCCACCACGTGAGGTCTGTGGAGAGGGCAGAGGCGGGCGTCACGGGGGGGCTGAGGCACCCCACCCCAGGAGAGCCACCCTGGCAGACAGCCCCTGAGCCCAGAGAGGAGAGCGGGAGGGAGCAGGAGCAGCCAGGCGTGGCCCCTGGCCTGCGGGGGCGGAGGGTGGCAGTCCTCCAACCCCCATCTCTCAGGACAGCGAAGGGGAGGAGAAGCCAGCCTTGGGGTAGGCGGGGTGGGGTCAGGGAAGACACCAGTGCCCTCAACAGCACGAGCACAGACTCTCTCTCCAGAAAGAAGCCTCCGAGCACAGGGAGGTGGGATAGTCCAGGGGTAGGAATCTGTAGCCCCAACCACCCGACCCAGAACTCCGACTTCCAGAATATACCAGACCTGAGGAGAAGGGCCCGTAACTCCTGCAATTGGGTTTGGGAAGGGGAAACTCTCTGAGGAAAGGGAGGCCCCAGAGGGTAGGGACAGGGCAGAACCACGGGAGGAAGAGCCAAGTGGCAGAAGGAAGAGAGGAGCAGGAGGCTGTGGCAAGCCCGGTGGCCCGGGCAGGGCCAGTGCTGGCTCCAGCCCTCTCACCTGAGCGTCTCCACTCGGTCTTTGCTTTCAGGTTCATTCAGGTTCCTCAAAAAACAGAGCGAGGGAGAGTTTAGTGCTGGGATCTCTCGCTCCTTCCGCCGCCACAGACCCAGATGAGAGTGGGTCTGGGGAGGTGCCACCAGTGGGTGGGCAGGACCCAAGCCCAGGGCCCTCTGCCCATCACCTGGCAAGCCAACAGGGCTCTGCAGCACCTCACACTGGCGGCTCAACCATTCCTTTCCAGCAGGGAGCCCAGCACATGGGGCTTGTCCCTCCCCACATTCCCAGATCTGTGCCGGGGAGAAGGAGCCTCTGCTCTGGGGGAGGAGGGGGAGTGGCTGTGCACGCACTTCACTGAGCACACTGAGCACACGGCCCGGCACGAGGCTGCTCCCCCACAGCCAGGGCTCACGCGCTGTTCTGGGGGTTGCAGGTGTGAGTGCGTTTTTGGAGCCACACGCTAGGGTCTCAGGACTGCAGTCCTTTTGGAGGAAAGGGGCTGCAATGCTTTGAATCTCTGTAGGAGGAGGGGCCGTGGCTACGCAAGGGCCTGTCAGGAGACTCAAAGTGCCAAGGCCTGGGTCTGCATGGTAGGCACCTGGGGATGGCTTCCTGCTGCTGAGTGGAAAAGGCGGCCTCCTCCGACCTTTCCCAACTCCCCTACCTGCTGGCCTGCCAGGCCATCTGCTCATACGCAGGGAGGATGAGGGTGGGGTGGGGCAGGGCAGGGCAGACACCTTGGTTGGGTGGGTGGGGAAGAGGTCTGGCCCCGCTGAGCGGCTTCTCCAGCTCCTGGCTGGAAGATGGGTGTCTGGAGCTAGGAAACTGGGGATTGCAGAGGAGGAAGGATATGAGAGGAAGGAGGAAGAGCAGCAGCACATAGAAATAAACAGGAAGACACAACCAACACAGGGGTGCACACAAGCGCACTGCGAGCAGGGAGCCCGGCTGTGCGAGGAAGGCACCCTCCCTGCTCTCTCCAGACCCCCTGTGGGGCAGCCCCCTGCTGGGGCCCCTTGAGGCAGCAGCCAGTCATGCAGTCAACAGCTGGGTGGGAGGAGGAGGGGATAGGGAAAGCCTGAAGACCCTGTCTGGACGTTCCTCCATCAGCTGTGGCACCAATGTGCCTGCCAGGCATCCCAGTCCCAATGCAGGGCCTGAGCAGACAGCCTTGGGGAACAAGCACTCTTAACCTGGCCCTTGGTCTTCAGCTTGGTATTTGGTCCCCGAGGCCTGCAGAGAGGATGAGCATAAGGCCAGGGGTGAAAGAGCCAGGAAGGGGACTGTGAAGGGAGACCCCTGAGTAAGGGTGCAGAGATCTCCTGTTGTTTTGCTACGGCTTGGGGTAGAATGGCCGTTGCCCTAGAATGTCCCAGCTCCCCGCACTTTGGAAGAGACAGGCCATATCTGGAGAAAACAGCCTAGAGGAGAAGAGGCTTGATTTATCCAGATGCTGCTGGTGGCAGGGGTGCTGGGGCAGGGGTGCGGGTGGGTGGGGCTAGTTCTGCAGGAGCTGCCAGGAGGGGGTGCTGTGCTCCATTTGTGAGACAAAAGCTCCTAAGGTCTGGGGGAGCCAGACTGAAACCTTGGGGCCCCAGGGTCCCCGTAGTGTCTCCAAAGTCCTGCGATCCCATAGGCCACGGGGAAGAGGTCACATAGCTCTGAAGTTCAGGAAACCCAGGAGACAACAAACAAGATACCATCCCAGATGCACTTGTAACCCTGGAGCTTCCTCATAGCGCATGCACATGACAAGGGAAAGGGCAGGAAAGGATCCCAACACTTGTGACCAAAACCTGGGGTGAGAGGGAGTGGGGGTGGGGTGGGGTGGGTGAGAGGAGACAATCTTAAAGGGAGGCTTCCCTGAGACAGTCTCCCCTTACTTGAGGACAGGCGTTAACTGTGGGCCCAAGGAAGGCCCTCATTTTTAAAGCCATTTGCCCTGAGTGGGCCAATGTGGCCTCTTAGCCCTGCCTGTTTGTACTGGGGGCACGGAGGGCAGGCCTTGTGCTGATGCCCAATCAGAGGCAGTCTTCATCCCTTTAAGATGGCAGAGAGAGGAGGGCCACACAGACTTGGTTAAGCAGATGGAGGAGAGTAAGAGCCAGAAAAGGGGAGTTAGTGATGGAGGCAGGACACAGGACACAGACACACACACACACACACACACACAGCGGGCTCAACGCCTACCTTCTGGCAAACCTGAAAGACAGATTTCTAAAAAAACAAACAAAAAAAAGACAAAATAAAAAAAGAAATAAAAAAAAAACCAACAAGACGGTATGTGGATAAGCAGGTGGGGGAGGTGGCTTTACAGGTTCAAGGGTCATCCCATTTTCGGAAGAGCCGCTCAGCGAGACTAGAGTCCCAGGCTTTCAGACCTGCCCACACTCTCTGCAGGCCTCACACTTGCATTCTGGGGCTCGGATGGGGCAGTGGCTTTGGCTCCTCCAGCAGAGTGGAGTGAAACGTAGAGGAAGGGCAGGCGAGCCTGTTCTCTCAAAGCCCCTGCTGCTTCCTGAGCTGCTACTCCAAGGCAGGGAGAGGAATGGCAGGATGGGGATGCGGAGCATCCCAGGAGGCCAGCCAGTTGGCTGGATGCACTTCAAGCTGCACCTCTGTGGTGGCTGGGGGCTCAGGTGTGAGAAACCCCGTGAAGAGATCCCCACCCTGGGTCCAACACAGGAAACCTTTGGCACATCGGAGTTAGGTTAGGGAAGAGGCCACTGTAGGCCCTCGCCAGTGATTTCATTTATAGGTTTCACCCTAAAACCCCCGGGCAGAAGGGCATGGCTGCGCCTGCAGCCAGAAACAGAACCAACTAGTGGGAGAGGCAGTCAAAGGGGCAAGAGACCAGGACAAAATTTTCCTTGCTGGCCCCAGCCTGGCTCATGCCTCATGACTTTGCAGCTGCGTCACCAAATATAAGTTTCCATGGGAACCCAGGAGAGAAGGGGGGGCTTTTATTTTAGCATCTGAGTTCACACTCTCCTAGAGAGGAGGCGGCATCGGCCATCTGCTTGGGGCCAGAGAATGAGGGGTGCCTGTGAGGAGTTGGGGAGAGGCCTAAGAGGGGTGGGCCTGGGCACATAAGGTGTTGACAAAGACCTAATTTCTTGTGCTTCCTGAAGCCTCTTCTAACCCCAGGACCCAATACCGGTACAGAGTGTCCCAAACCCCAACCCCCAACCCCCAACCCACCCCGAGTAAAGCAGGAAGGCCTGGCCTGAGCCTCTCTGCCACCCAAAGCTCCTTGCTTACCTGCGTACAAACTTGGAGGTGAACTTGCTGAAGATGCTCCCAGAGGCCCCCCGCCGGCCCTGGCTGTGGCCAGAGGGAGAGGCTGGGGTCACACCGTAGGGCAAATTCTGCTGGTCCCGCACCTGTCGGAGCTGCCCAGCATGGAAGGTGCTTCGGCTGGACACACCCCGGGGGAAGTTAGTTCGGTCTGGGGCTCCACCACTGCTGCTGATGTTGTGGGCGGATGGGGAGGCAACAGGGACACGCTGGGGGGCTGTGCTGTGGGAAGAGAAGTGGGGTTGAGGGGGACGAATTAGGGTACAGGACAGCCATCACTGGGCACCTGGACACCCTGTGGTGGGGACAGGGAGGGGGATGCTAGGGCAGAGGCAGCCATCACGAGGACACAGAAGGAAGGGTGTGACTACTGAGGACAGTGGTGAGAAGGAAGTCTCGTGGAAGTGGAAGGAGATGGTTTGGGAAGGGAGGGAGGGAGGCAAGGAAGGACCCCTGTGTGGAGTGTGGTTTAGGCTGGAGACAGCGGGCTCCCTGGGAGCCGGGCAGACTGGACCCTCAAGGCGGCAATGGGGACCAACCCTTGAGGATTGAGTCCCTGTGATGCCGACTATCCCCGGGGTCCCTAAGGAAACCCTGGAAGGTTCAGAACAAAAAGGTTTCCCTTTGGAGCCTTAGGACAGCTTCCTGCATACCTGTTCTGAGAGGGAGAACTGGAAAAGAGGGGCATTAATGCTCTTTTTTGTTCCCTCCACTTCCTGGCCGCAGGGGACAGACCCATTTCTTGTGGCTAAGATGACAAGAACACAGCAGGACCCCCAAGTGGGAAGAAGAAATTGTTGGGGCAAGGGGGTAGGGTGGGCTGAGGGCAGCAGGTGCACCAGCTGCCCCAGCACACTTGCCTGGGCCGCGGCACCTCACAGTTACTCTCCGTGGGGGGCAGCCCAGAGGCCTTGTTGGGGTGCACGGAGGCCGACATGGATTTCTGGTGCTGGCGGGGCCGGGCCGCAGAGACTGCGGCAGAAGCAGAAGCCGTGGAGGCCCGGGACCCTGGCATGGTTAGGCTAGGAAACAAAAGCAGCGGAGAGGCCCGTGTTAGGGGTGAGTGAGGGCGGGAGGCCTGGATTAGGAAGCAAGGGCAGGGGAAGGGCCAGAGCTGGGGAGCTCTGGCAGGGTAGAAGTCAGGCCTGGGCAGCAGCGGGATGCAAGTCAGAACTGAGGAATGCGGGGCTGAGAAGTGGAGGTGAGTGAGGTCGGGAAGCAGCGAGGTGGGTCAGTGCCTGGGAAGAGGAATCAGAAATGAAGGAGAGCAGACAAGGGGCCGCTGCCTCCAGGCTGCACTGGCCTCCTAAGAATTTTAAGAACAGGAGAGTTTCTTCTACAGAAAGAGTGGGGTGTTGCTGAGGGGAAACTTTCATAAACTCAGAAGAGATAGAGCCAGGAATGCAACACCAAGAAATGCGGCCGGTGAAGGCTGGGGAGCTCTGGTCTCATGGGGATGGCTGGAGTCGCCCTCTATGTGTACACCCCTCAAGGTGGGCATCTCTTGGTTCTGCCCTGAGCTGGGACCCCCAACACAAGGCCTTAGCTGCTCATGTCTAGAGGAGGGCAGCTGCCATGCCCTGGCCGTGGTCAAGAAGCGAGCATGTAGCTGAGATGGCCACGGTCAGCCCCACACTTGGCAAACTGCAAGTAGCAGTCAGAGGAAGATGGGGAGGAGGCAATGGCGTGGAATAGGGGAGGGGAAAGCTGGACTGGACACAGCCAGGATGGAACTCCAGGGAGCAGGGAGCAATGCGCTGGCAGGGACAGGAGACGGTGCTGCTGACAGACATCACCCTGTGAGACATGGCTCCTAGGGAGTGAGGCAGGCAGGGCCCGGGTCTCTCACCTGTCTTTGCCATTCTGGATGGAGGCCTGGCCGAGGCTGGCCCGCTCCAAAAGTGGGGAATTCCTGCTTCGATTTGTGCTGGTGGAGAGGACGCTGTTCTGTGGGGAATAAAGGGCAAGCGTTCTATCAGAAAGCCAAAGTGGTCTACAGCCAGGTTCTCCCCCCAGGTTCATGGAACAGGCTTCCTGTCCCTTCCACCTGAAGCAGACAGTGGTAGGTTAAGGAAAGGATTCTGCATTTACTGCTGGGAGCGAGGCTTCCTGCTATAAGCAGAAGTAGTAGCCAAAGGGAACAGAGTCTGAATTAAGAGAAGAGCTGCCTGGAGAGGGCAGGCCCCACCGCAGGAAGGAAGGAGAGAGCGGGGGGTGCGGCTCACCGTGGAGGGGGTTGGGGTGGTCTTCTTCCTCTCCAGACCGGGCAGGGGGCTGGCAGGCACCTTGGCTGTGCTGCTGGCTTTCCGCCCTGACTCCCGGTCCTCCTCAGGCCGCTTATTTTCTGCGTTGTTACTCTGAGTCTTCTTAGAGTAAGAATTAGAGGTGGGAATGGCAGGACCAGCTGCTGGGCCAGAGGGAGGATGGGAATGGGTAAGGCCAAGGGGTCCACTGAGTGCCAGCCCCACGCATGCTCATTTCCTACAGGGCTGGCCAACAACCCAGCAAGCCCCCATTCCACAGAGGCGAGGGAAGGGAAGTGGCTTGCCCATAGCCACACTACTAATAAGTGGCTGAACCAGGACTGAAACTTAGTTGTGTTACCCAAGTCCCCACAGAACCTGTAACCTCTCTGGAGAGGGGTGAGTCCCCACCTACAACTCCCAAAAGCATTTACCCTGGTCGCTGAAGCGCCGCTGCTTGGGATTGGCCGACACGCTGCGCTGTACCTTGTGGGATGGGGATGGGGCGCTGCTATTGGTCAGATCAGCTGAAGGCCGGGGTTTCAGGGTGATGGTGTCGCCTTCCAGCTGAAAGAAACAGAAAACAGCTTCAAGGGAGGGCAGAAGTCATGTGGAGATCCCTATGGATGGACACATTTACACATACCGCCCTCTCCCAACACTCAAACACCCCAGGATCATACCGGACATCCACTTGTAAGACCAATACATCCCCCCTGGAGGAGACCCTGGAGACACACATGCTCTGACACAGACACTGACAAACACAGTCTCAGAAAGGAATACATAAGCCCACACACCCAGAGACACAAACATCCGCAAGAACACATGTCCAGACTCAAGTCCACTCCCCTCAACACAGAGCAATATGGGCCTATACCAAGTGTCACCAGGTGCCTCTTAAGGATCCCACCACCAGAGGGAGAGCAGGGCAGGGAGGCTGGGAGTTCATGTGGGGATACTCAGATGATGAACAAAACCCAAATGGGCAGAAGAACAATCACAAAGTCTCCAGATCCACAGACGGGAAGACGGACACATACACACACACACACACACACACACACACACAGATACACACACCCAAACATAAAGCACTAGACAGAAGCAACAGACTCAATAGCCGGGTATGGTGGCACATGCCTGTAATCCCAGCTACTTGGGAGGCTGAGGCAGGAGAATCGCTTGAACCCGGGAGGCGGAGGTTGCAGTGAGCCAAGATCCTGCCATTGCACTCCAGCCTGGGCAACAAGAGCGAAATTCCGTCTCAAAAAAAAAAAAAAAAAAAAAAGCAACAGACTCAAACTTCCGATCAGACACACACAGAGACACACACACACACCCAGAAATGTACACTTCCAGATACAAAAAGAGACACAAAGATATCTAGATCAATGTAGTAGTGCTAGCCGATGACCTAGACACATCTAATCAATGCAGACTAACCTAGATCAACTCACCCGTATTGAAACTCTGACCCAGTCCCACACCGACCCTACCAGCTTTCTATTAATTCACTCATGGAGATCAGTGAATGGGCCAGAGGACCTTAGACACCAAAGCTGAGGCTTAAAATTGGTGAGCAGAGAGCACACCTACTCAGAGATGAGCTTCTGCCCTCAACAGGTGTTAGAAGCATAGGTGCTACAGACAGTGAGGCTGGCCAGGTCAGAGAATGGGGCGGGGAGCACACACCTCGGA
Organism: Homo sapiens; assembly: GCF_000001405.40. Classification (NCBI taxonomy): domain Eukaryota; kingdom Metazoa; phylum Chordata; class Mammalia; order Primates; family Hominidae; genus Homo; species Homo sapiens. Next base: position 63,901,063 of record NC_000011.10, on the reverse strand, counting down.
GCTCTTGTAGCCCAGGAGCAGATAGGTGGCCATCACCTCGTTGTATCTCTGGCCCACCAGCGAGTCCTGGATCTCTTCCCGTGTATAACCCATGGACACCATCAGCTCTGCACAGGGGGACATACAGTTAAGACTGGCCTCAACTCCTAGGCAAGCTTAACCTCACAGCCCGGCACAGCCTCACCTGTCCGCCGGGGGTCCTTGTAGTCAGGGAGTGGCTCCACGTAAGGCTTTAGTTCATCATCTTCGTGACCCACATTCATCCATCGATCTTTCATGATTTGCTGGGGAGCACAGAGAAGGAAAAGGGCAGGGGGAAGAAACTCAGCTGGAAAGTTTCTGTGGGGACCCCAGGCCCTTCCGCCAGTTGGGCTCCACTGCTCACCTCTAAAGTGCCTCTCTTGCTGGGATTAAGAATGAGAAATTTCTTAAGCAGGTTTTCACAGTCCGTGGACATGTAGAATGGAATACGGTATTTTCCCCTCAGTACCCGTTCCCGCAGCTCCTGCAGGAGGATCCAGGGTTAGAAAATTGAAATCACCCCAAGGCCAAAGGAAGAAACCTAATATCCAAGATCCTGAGAGCTTAAGCCTGGCAAAGCAGACATAAATGAAATATGGAAGAAGGCAGACAGCCTGGGGACAAGACACCTCACCAGAGAGGCAAGTGAAGTCAAATACCCTCGTACCCTCTAACTTGACCAGTCCGAGGCCTGCAATCCGGAGTGCCTTGGGGGATGAACACACACACAGTTTATCCCATCTTTCGAGAAAGGAACTGAGGTTATTCATTCCCAGGTGCAGAAGGCCTTTGACTGCTGCTACCTCAGCAAGCCCTTCTCTGAAGCTTTGGCTTGGGACAAATGTAGACAGGTGGCAAAGGCAGGAGGTCAGGGCTAAGACCAGAGGCCGAGAGGAAATGAGAAGCAATAAAAAGCTTGCACTTCACTCCACCTTGAGGTTCTGTCCATCAAAAGGCAGGGATCCGCTGACCAGTGTATAGAGGATAACTCCTAGGCTCCACACATCCACCTCGGGTCCATCATATTTTTTGCCCTGGAAGAGTTCTGGGGCAGCATAAGGGGGACTGCCACAGAAGGTGTCCAGCTTGTTCCCAAAGGTGAATTCATTGCTGAAGCCAAAGTCTGCAATCTTGATGTTCATATCAGCATCCAAGAGCAGGTTTTCTGCCTGGGAGGTAAGATGGAAAACATCAGGGAACCAAGTGGACCAGACTAAGGCCCTGGGCAGGAAGGAGCTGAGGGGAATGGGAGAACAAACGGAAAGTCATCTTCAGTCTCAGAACTTTCTCCACCAATTTCAGGGCAGGGCTTCAATCAGCGTGAATAGGCTGGGCAGGAGGAAGGCAATGCAGGCCACTCCTCACGTGGGCAGCCATGGGAGAGATGGGATCTGAAGGCCCAGAGACCCTGTGAGCTGTGCAAAGCTTCAGCATCAGGCCCAGGTTAATCAAATCATGTCTGTGAGGACTCAGCAGCCAAGAGACCCACAGGTGTCCTCAAACTTGAGTATCTTGGTGATGGAGATGGTATGTGTGTGCCTGCCTGCAAAGCAGCTGGGATACAGCTGTGGAACTTTCAGCACTCTTCCCTGGGTCAGCTACCAGGTTGCCTGAAAGACTGAGAAAGCCTGGAGTGTGCCTGCCTTGCTTGGCAGCACTAAAAGGTGATGTGCCAAGAGGTGAAATGGCAGAGGGCCCCTGCTCAAGGGCTAGAATGGAACCCGAGGTCCAGCCACAAGGCCTCTATCAGAGGCAGCCCTAGGGGCTTTCTGGTCATCTCAAAAAAAAAAAAAGAAAGAAAGAAAGAAAAAAAGAAAGGCTGGAGTTTCCTGGAACACTCAGGGCCTGATGGTTATTGATGGTTTTATCATGGAGAACCAAGAGGCAACAACCTGGCTCCCACTCAAAGGCACAAGGAGAAGTGCATGCCTTACCTTTAAGTCTCTATGGACAATAAACTTCTGGTGACAGTACTGCACAGCAGACACTATCTGAAAGGAAGGAAGAAGGGTTAACCCAGGGGTGCCTGAGGGTGGGCCACAGGGGCTGACAGAGCAGTGACCCTGTGACTTAGTGCTAACCTGCCACACGGATAAGCAGAGCCCAAAGTACCCTCCAAGGGCCACTTACAGACAGGCAGCTTATCCTTACATGTCAAACCCCAAAAGCAGAGGTCAGGCCTAGCTCCTATGGAGGGAGTCACACCTACCTGGCGGAATTTGGCTCGAGCCTCTTTTTCTTTCATCCTGCCATGAGCCACTAGGTAATCAAATACCTCTCCTGTAAGAGACCAGGCAGGGATCTCAGTCAGAGCTGGCTGGAGGTGGAAGAAGTGGGGGCACAACAGGAAGAGGCAGTTCCACACCTACCGCCACTAGCGTACTCCATGACAAGGTAGAGCGTTTTCTCAGTCTCAATCACTTCAAATAATTTAACTACAAGAGAAAAGGCCAAGCCTTAAGTCAAGAAGCAACAGGGGCCACATACTGCTCTCCAACATGTCCAGGAGCATCCTAGGAACGAAAGTCTCCCCTCCTTTCATGATCCCCCACTCCCAAGAACAAGTTCCTCTCATGCCAGCCAAACTGCTAAAGACAGCCCAGTGTGCCAGAAGGGGAGATGGATTTTGAGCTGAGCTTCCCCAGGGGTATCCTTGAAGACTGCAGACTCCAGAAGGCAGTGCACCTCGGGGAGAAGATGACATGCTGGAAAGCAGTGCCTTGCTGTTGGGGAAGAAGAAAGAAATAACAACTTGTGCTCACCTATGTTGGGATGATTCAAAACCTTCATTATTCTTACTTCGCGGAATAGCTGGAAGATAAAATACCAGGGGTCATGCCTGCCCAACTTGCTCCCATCAGGTCTCTCCAAACAGTCCCTGCCAGGATTTGTTTTTCCCAAAAAACCAAAACCGGGCAGGGAAAAGAAAATAGGGTGGTTGTCTAGCTCATGCACGGCCTTCCCTGTGGCTGGGAAGTTGGGGAAGCTGGAGGAGGGCTGGCTGTGGGGACGTGCTACCCGGGATGGCATCAGGATGAGCCAGCCATGCCCTCTGCTGCGTCTACCAAATCCAGCCCCAAAACAGCAGGCAGGTTTTGGCTGGGTGCCTCTACTGGAGGGAGTGTGAGCCCGTGTGCGTGAATATTCAGAATCCGAGCTGCTGCCTTGGTTCAGTGACAGTACACACCCCAGCTTGGTCTGTGTAAAGGGGTGGTAGAGCACCAGAGGGGGACCCCATCATTTTCTGATTTACAGTAGTCAGAGGGCTCTGTTCTAGGGGATAGGCCTTTCCTTCCTGGGCCTCTAGGGTGGTGACAGAAGAAGCCACTCCTATATATAGCTGATGCCAATTTTAATCAAATCCACCTCCACACACTCACGCTCTCTTTGTGAAACAAAACCAGGGGCTCCAAACCATGTATTTCCATAAAGAAAGATGACAGAAATGAACTCCTTCCCCTCTGCGGGGGCCAGAGAACTGGAGGTGGGGCTTTTTGTAATTTCAGGCCTCATCACTTGCACAAAGAACAGAACTAGTTTTTGTTGTTGTTTTTGTTGGGGGTAGGGGAAGCCCTAATTCAAGATATGGTTTATGGAATAAAGTGAATACATTTGTTTCCCCTTTAATGATGCCCCAGAGCTTTCCTAAGCTAGAAAGGAAAAGAAGAAAAAGGCTTTCCAATCCTCAGGAACCCAATGCTGACCTTACCCTTTATTAGGGCCTAGGTTTTTCTTACTTTTTTCCCTGGTCCAACAGATATTTTGGATGGAGAGGCAAAAAGCCTGGATACCACCCTCTGGGGCAGTAATGGGGAGCAGCTCTGAAATAGGGCCAGAGGCAGCTGCCAGGGCTTCTTCCCCTGAGGCTGCTCACCTGGCATGGAAGTGACATTCTTCTGGGAGAACTTGGGGTTTTCTGGGCTTGTCTAGACCCCTGAGGGGGCTAGCTTCTTCAATGTTCATTTTTCAGGGATCATTGCTGAGATCACATTTTTGGCCAGAATCAGACTGGCTTTAGTAACAAAGAGTCTCAAAAGGTTTTGAAAATGGCTCTATTTGTCTGGTGTTGGTGCCTTCCAGAGAGTCAGGAAGAATTAGGGAGAAAACCAAGAAGAATTAGGGAGAAAAACAAGGTCAGGAATAAGATGGCTTGGTGGACTGGCGATTATTACGATGGCAGGCTAGACTGCTCCCAAGGCCAAATGGCCTACCCCACGCTGACTTCTTCTGTGGGGCTGGAGCCAGGATGTCATAAGCAGCCCTTTTTCCCTTCCTCCTGGAAAGCTTCAAGCAGAGACACCCTGATGATGACAACAATGTTTCTACTGAACTGAAGAACCCTTGAAGGGATCCCAGGGGTAACAATAAATAGGAAACACCTTGGTTCTGGCTATTTGCATGTCCGGAGAACAACTCATCCACTCTAATTCCATGAGCATCGCCCTCAACAACAATCCTCAGCCCTTACTCCTAAGGTTCCCAGTATCACTATCTGACTCTGTTAGCACGAATCATGCCTTCTCCTAACTCAACTGCCACAATATGCTTATGGAGAAAATATCTGATTTGCCACAAGATGAACAGAACTAGGTTTTGTTCAGAAAATTTGAGCTGGAGCTCATTCTCTAAAAGGTAGCTGGCACAGAACCCACCGGCAGGTTCCCTGCTTCCTCTTATTCTTGTATTTCTAAAGCCACTCCCCTGTATCATTCCAGATCTTGAAGTAGCTGCACGTGTTTCTAGTAGTGGCTACAAACATGTGTTTTTGCATAGGGCTGGCCACAAGCCAGAAGATAACAAGATGCAGGAAGTAGGTCAGACAGGTAGGCCAAGTGGCTGGGAATGAACAGAAAGACTTCACAAGAGCCAGTGCCTATGGCCAGGAAGCCCACTCAGGAGGAGTCACCACAGATGATCCAACCAAAGCCCCGAAGGTAGCAGAGCCATGGGAGGGAATGGTTGGGGGACGGTGAGCGAAATGGCCAGAAAATTTAAACTAGGAATTCAAGAGAAGGTCTAAATGGGGTCAGTAGATCATTGACCCCAGAAGAGAGATTTAGAAAGGGACAGGTGGGCTGGGGGCAGTGGTTCACGCCTATAATCCTAGCACTTTGGGAGGCCGAGGCGAGCGGATCACTTGAGGTCAGGAGTTCGAGACCAGCCTGGCTACCATGGTGAAACCCCATCTCTACTAAAAATACAAAACTTAGCCAGGTGTGGTGGCGGGTGCCTATAATCCCAGCTACTCGGGAGGCTGAGGCGGGAGAATCGCTTGAAACCAAAAGGCGGAGGTTGCAGTGAGCCGAGATCACACCATTGCACTCCAGCCTGGGCGACAAGAGTGAGGCTCTGACTCAAAAAAAAAAAAAAAAAAAAAAAAAAAAGGGACAGGAGGTGCCATGTGCTTACTTTCTGGAGGCTGGAGGAGTTCAGTTGAGTCTTGTCAATGATCTTCACAGCTACCTGAGGATGAGACAAAAAGGCCCCAAATCACTTCTCTGACCAGCGAAACCCAGGATTCCAATCTACTTCCTCCTTTATATTTCTTACTCCTTTTCATCCCACAGCTTTTTGCACCCCTATATCTCAGATCTCATTTCTGCCGGATAAACAAGAGGTTGGCTGCAGTAGTAGTCCCATCACCACCTGCTGGAGTGTCAACAGGGCTGGGAGGTGCTGCCATGTCCCCAGTCCCAGTGCTCACCTCTTTCCCAGTCAGGATGTGTCGGGCCAACTTCACCTTGGCAAAATTACCCTTGCCAATGGTCTTGAGGAGCCGGTAGTTTCCAATGTGGGGCTGCTCATCAGCAGAGGTGGCTGAGTTGCGGCCCCGAATCATGTTGGACTTACTGCTGGGCTTGGAGTCAAGGTGTCCCAAGGTGGGCTGCGGGGTGGAAACAGAGATACCATTACATGCCACACTTCCAGTCCTCTAAACGCTCTCTGCAAAATATATAAGGGATGAGGGTGCAGGGGCAGATTCCAGGGGGCTGGTAGGCATGTGAAGAATGATATGGCAGCAGAAGAAAGGAGAGGGGGCTGAGGTGACAGCCAGTCTTCACTCCAGAGAAGCACATCATAAGGTCCAGTGCCCAGGTCCTGTGGGTGGCAAAGCTCAGGAGCAGAGCTGTCCCATCACTGGCTCCCTGAACCTCCATTGGCAACACAACAGCTCGTCTGGTTCAGGAGGGAGAGCCGGTACCCTGCCTCCCTCCATGCTGCCTGTGCACACTGCGAGAAGACTGCATCTCAAAGTCATGGTAGCTACATGGTCATAACTGCTTCAACGCCCTCATCGCCACCCAAAACTTACATGAACCTTTATTTTTTATTTATTTATTTTTTTGAGACAGAGCTTTACTCTTGTTGCCCAGGCTGGAGTGCAATGGTGCGATCTCAGCTCACCGCAACCTCCACCTCCCGGGTTCAAGCAATTCTCCCACCTCAGCCTCCCGAGTAGCTGGGATTACAGTCATGCGCCACCACGCCTGGCTAATTTTGTATTTTCAATAGAGATAGGGTTTCTCCATGTTGGTCAGGCTGGTCTCAAACTCCTGATCTCAGGTGATCCGCCCGCCTTGGCCTCCCAAAGTGCTGGAATTACAGGCGTGAGCCACTGCGCCCAGCCATAATAACTTTGTTGGGTAGAAACGTAGTAGCCCTTCCTGCATGGAAGGACTGCATGGCCGAAGTCGAACCCGAGTCTCCCGCGTAGGAGACGAAATTTCTGCCGCTGAACTACGAATGCCCCACTGAACCTTTGTTATTTATCACTTTACATTTATTTGCCATCTCCCCCAGTAAAAATGGAAGCACATGAAAGCAGGCATATATTCTTTATTCACTGATACATCCCAGCACTTAGAGAGACTGGCTTATGTTTGCTGCTCAATGAATACTTGTACAATGAAAGAACTGAACGATTAGGTCTGAGCAAGGCAGCAGTCTGCCCTGCTCTGCCACCCGGCTCAAATGAGGGGATGAGGAAGCAGAAGCTACAACTACCAGCACTGAAGAGGCATATAAACATAATACGGGTTGAATATCCTTTATCCAAAATGCTTAGGACCAGAAACGTGGCAGATTTTAAATTGTTTTGGATTTTGGAATATTTGCATATACATAATCAGATATCTCAGGGATGGGACCCAAGTCTAAACATTTATTTTTCATGTGTACATTATATACATGGCCTGAAGGTAATTTCATGACATTTTAAAATAATTTTGTGCATGAAATAAAGTGATTGAATTTTGCTTATAACCTGTCATATGGGGTTACGTGTAGAATTTTCCACTTGTGGCATCATGCTGGCACTCAAAAAGTTTAGATTTTGGAGCATTTTGGCTTTTGGATTACGGATGTTCAACCTGTACAAAAAGGGTATGGTCTAGACAAAAAACATACATCTATGTGAAGACGTGTACATTCCTCAAAGTGCTAAACACAGACTATATGAGCCAGCAATTCCGCTCCTCAGTATATACAAAAGAGAAATGAAAACAGAAATCCACAAAAAACCTGTAACCAAGGTTCACAGCACCATAATCCATAATAGTCAAAAAGTGGAAACAATTCAAATGCCCATCAGCTGGATGAACGGATAGACAAACGTAGCATATCCTTACCGGGGAATATTGGTTGGCAGTAAAAAAGAATATATGCTACAACACAGAAGAAACTTGGATAAACTTATGGTATCTCACTAAAACTGTTCAGAGTCTAGGCCAGGCAAGGTAGCTCATGCCTAAATCCCAGCACTTTAGGAGGCTGAGGCAGGAGGATCACTTGAGGCCAGGAGCTTGAGACGAGCCTGGGCAACATAGGGAGACTCTGTCTCTACAAAAAATTAAGAAATTAAGAAATCTTGGGAGGTTGAGGCAGGTGGATTGCTTGAGGTCAGGAGTTCGAGACCAGCCTGGCCAACATAGTAAAACCTTGTCTCTACTAAAAATACAAAAAATTAGCTGGGCATGGTGGATTACAGGTGCCTGTAATCCCAGCTACTAGGGAGGCTGAGGCAGGAGAATTGCTTGAACCCAGGAGGAGGAGGTTACAGTGAGCTGAGATCGCACCACTGCACTCCAGCCTGGGCAACAAGAGTGAAACTCCGTCTCAAAAAAAAAAAAAAAAAAAAATTAAGAAATCAACTGGGTGTGGTGGCATGCACCTATAGTCCCAGCTGCTCTGGAGGATGAGGCGGGAGGATCGCTTGAACCCAGGAGGAGTTCGAGGCTGCAGTGAGCCATGATCATGCCATTGTACTCCAGCCTGGGTGATAGAGCGAGACCCTGTCTCAAAAAAAAAAAAAAAAAATGCAGAGTCTGGTCTAACTCCTGATTAGCGCCCTGGTTTACATCTCACAAAGAACATCTGGAGCGATCGCTCCAGCATACTGCAACAAAGCATATGAGGCCAGAGCCTCATCCCAGAACCATCCAGAGCTGCCTTGGAAACTTCAAGGAAACAGTCTGGAGGGCAGCAGGGTGACCAGAGGAGTGTGAGTGAAAGTTCTTCCTTTCATGGCCCCTGCTGGCTGTACGTGAAGCACTCAAAAACCACAGAGAAAAAAAGAATGACTTGCTACTACCCAAGGAACTGTCCAGCATTCCTAGACAAGAAGCTTGCTAGCTCAACCAGATGCTTTTCAGGCAGAAACGACAGCAGCAAGTTAAGTACAGTATCCTGATTCTGACATTTCCCCTTCTTCACTGTGCCCACGTAGGGCCTTTGCATGGTAGCTGCAGGCTGTCTTTTGGTGAGCTGTTTGACCAGATCCCAGAAACACATGGGGTTGGACCTTGGAGGAGGAAGATCCCATGCATTTGGTAGATGTTTGAAGGGGGAGGCTCCTCACATCCCAGAAGAGGCCCTTTTAACTTCCTTCTCTCTTCCTCATCAACCTTTGCATCTCCATGAAGCCCCCCAGCTCTTATTGTCTGCTCATTCCAGCCCACAGAGCTCTCTGGTGCTCTGTTCTCCACGCACCCTGTAGCTCACCTAAGCCTGGTTGGTCCTCAAACAGTGTCTGCAAGACAAGTGGATTTTTAAATACCTGCTTTTTTCCCTTCCAAAGGAACTCTAGGGTTCACACCCCTTGGAGAGAAGGGCATTTCTAGGCCCTGCTGGCACCTGATTGGGCCAGCCTCCTGAAGGGTACCCTAGCCCTGTCCAGCAGGGTACTGAAAGCCTGGTCTCCTCAGGCTACCTTTTTCTCAGCCCCATCCTCCCTTTCAGTGCTGCTAGACTGCCTCCAACCCTACCCATCTGCCTAACGGGCAATGAACAGGAAAAAACCTTCCTTCTGCCCCAACTCCTACGAGAGGAAGATGGGTGGGAAAGTTTCCTTGGCAACCTCTAGTTCACCTTCTAAGTTTGTTGTCACTCCCTGTTTCTCCGAGGATATAAGCCCAAGGCAGCAGGAAGTGTGACGGTCTCTAAGTTCTCAAAATCCAGACCAGGGATTTAGCATCTACCTGCAGACTTGGGCCTTTTGCCAACTGAGACCAAATCTGGGCATCCCATGCCCATCCTGAGCTCTGCTCTGCCCATCCCTCTTGGTGAACCGAGGGGCTGGTCTGTGTGGCACAGCAGGTCAGCATTCCCTGCCTGGCCCTGCTGCACAAGTGGGCCTCAAGGAGCTTAACAACCACAAGCAAGATTGTACCATTCATTCTCTTCCTTTCTGGTTAAGACTGTAGATGTCGGAGATAAGCTGCCAGGTTTCAAATCCTAAATCTGTCACCTACTCAGCACATATTAACTTTATTATTATCATCAACATCATCAAGCCAGGCACAGTGGCTCATGCCTTTACAGGCAGCACTTAGGGAGGCAGAGGCAGGAGGATAGCTTGAGCCCAAGAGTTCAAGACCTGCTGTTCACAAAAAGGAAAAAAAAAAAAGAATATATTTAAAAAGGCAATACAGTGAGACCCCCATTCACAAAAAGGAAAACACACACACACACACAAACAAACACAAAAAGCCCCAAAATAAAACAAGTGTAACATCAACATTGTCAAGAAGGAGGTGAGACTATTACAAATGGGGAAGAGAACTACCCAAAAAACGACCAGTGGCCAATACTGCCAGACATCTGTGCCAGGGAGGATCCCGAGGAACTCTGCAGTCCAACAGAATCAGGTTCAAGCCCTGGCTCCCCCACGTACAAGCTTTAATTTCCTTATCTGTAAAGTGGCAATAAACATTCCCTACTTTACACAGGTAGATGAAAGAGCACATGTAAAATGCCTTATCCGATGTTCAATAAGAGCAATCATTATGTCCCCAAATACTACTGTCTGCCAATCCAGAAGTCTCACTGTCAAAACAACCTTCCAAATCGAAGTTGAGCCCGCTAAGCCAGCTACAGCTCAGCTGAAGGCTGACAAGAGATGCTACGGGCCTTTCCGCAGAAGGGGCCAGGTTGAGTGCCCGCTCTCCTCCAGACCTGGTGAAATGCCACACTCCCTCAACCTGTTGCTAGCCGACACCAGCACCTCTAGCCTTCAAAAGAGGGAAGGAGGAGAGTCAGGAACTCAAGACAGGGTGGCTGTGAAGGGCTGGTCCCACGCTGGGTATCCAGGACAGGGAAAGAGAGGAGGTTCTGCTTGTTCAGGAGCCAGAGAAGCAACAAGCACTGGTGCTTGCTCTTTGATCCCCTGCTCCAAAGTCACCAACCCCCTTTTCGGGACTGAACCATCCAACTCAGAGGACTCCAAGTGCTCAATCCTTCCCTTACTTACCCCTGCACCCCTTCTTCTATGCTGTAAGATGTTTCCCACAGCAGGGATGTGAGCCAGGGTAAGGAGGCAAGCCACTGGAAGGAAGCAGAGAAAAGAAAAAGGGAAAAGAGAGGAGAGAGTCTCCAACAGAAATGCTTCTTGGGCCAAGGCCCCAAGTGAGGCAACTTCCTCACCTAGCTTCTTCCCTGAAGGATAAAGAGGTAAGAGTATGCAGTGGCTAATATGGAGAGAGAGTTTCTCTTTTTTGGTTCTGGCTGCACCATTCAGCTTGGCCCTGGGTCTCACCAACAGGATGGCAGGCTGAGGATTAGCTGCCCTGCTGGGCCAACTCAATAGGACCTGGCAAAAGCCACGCTCTCCCCTCTACCACCATCCTCCCTGCTTATAGTAAGACGTGGCACACCAGGCACTCCCAAAGCTCTGGCCTATATCATACTCTAGACAGGCCCTAAAGGATGGAGGAGGTCTGTCAAGAGTAGACCCTATGGCTCTCAAGTAGCCTTTAGAAAGAATAAGGGGTCACCCTGCAAGGCAGTTATTTGGAACCAAAAGGCAAACCAAGTAGTTACTAAGCAGGCCTGATTCAGAAGTAGGGCTGAAACAGCTTTGGGGTCTGCTACTGAGAGGAAGAGAGAAGGCAGGACATGGAGGAGAAAATAAAAAGATAGTTTTGCATCCACTGGGCCTGTCAGGCCCCTTCCGCCTGGGATCTCAGACTCGGCCTAGGTGTGTTGTCAGGCTTGCCCGGAAGACAGCCTCCACCCCGAGAGGCCTGGCGCTGACTCAGGTAGGCAGGGCCCCTGCCCTAATGCTGGAGGCTCCTACCAACAGTTGTCCCATGGAGAAGCTCATGCTTTGGGGCTCTGCATTCAGGGCTGGCTTCAAGTGTCCTTTGGCTTCCCGAGGGCTGAGAAGGAGCCAAACCAGGAGGGGTGATATTCCCTGGCCAGAAGCAGAGTAAGCCAGGCACTATAGAGTTGGGGGAGAAAAGTGTCCCTTGGGCACCAGTCCTGGGCAATGGCCCCAGATCCTAGGCTCCCCCTCACTGTAGCACGGGAGCATCCTCTCTGAGGCCTCAGGCCTCTGCCTCCCACCAGCCCCTCCTCGCCCACTTGTCAAGCTGCTTGTTCTCAGGGGAGACCCTTCTGGTATGTGCCCCCTCTTCCTTTCCTAGTCAATGCCTCTTCCACATCTGGACACCCTTCCCATGAATATTACTATGCTGGACTCAGGCAGGGCGCCCCTTAGCAACTCTCTAAAGATCCTATGTTTGAGATGAGAGGAAAGAAAGAGGAGGAGGCAATCCTAGAGTAAAAAGGGGGACAACATACCCGACTGGAGAAAGGGAAAAGGACTACCAGCGACTTCCATTCAGCAGAGCCCACAGCAGAACCTGTCAGGCAGCGAGGGCAAAGTACAGAGGCCGGGAAGAGCCAGGCCTAGGGCGGGGGCTGCCGGCTCAGCCAGCCACCCTTACTCAGCCAGAGCAGGCGACACCTTCCACCACCTCCTCAGTGAAAAGTAGCTAAGCAGCCAGGCCGAGCGGTTCCTGCCTGGGAACCTGGACGGTGTCGCAACCGAAACCACCACTAGCAGAGAGACTGGGTTTGGCAAGGAGAGCAACAGGGACAAAGCCCCGCTGGCTTCTCAAGGGCCAGAGCCTGGTGGTCAGGAAGCGCGTGCAATTCCAGGACAGCACACCAGAAGCAAGGTGGGAGGGAAGGGGCAGGAGGGGAATAGGGCAGGAAGGGAGACAGAGAAAGAGGCGGGTTTAGATCAACTTCCTTCTCCCCTCCCCCTCCCCCCCTCCCCGGAAGTGGGCAGCCCCACCCTCCCCAAGGTGCTTTGCTGGGTAACAGCTGGCGAGAGGTCGAGGAGACTCACTGCAGCCACGGCTGTCATAAAACCCTAGCTCACCTGTGGCAGGTGGGACCTGGGTAGGGGCAGATGACTTTAACAAAGCCTCCAATAGGGCTGGGGAGGAACATGTGTGACTCAGATGTGCTGACCCAGAGTGGCGGCCCTGCCAAAGACCAGCAAACCACCCCCTCAAGAACGAAGTGGGGAGGAGGGTAAGCAGAAACCAGCAAGCTGACAGTGGCGGACGGACCTCCTACTTCCTAAAAAAGCAGTGCTTAACCTTGGAAACATGCACATTCCACTTAGACACAAAATATTTTGAGCATAATTTCAGGGAGTTTGGGGACTCTGTAAAGCCCCCTATGAGGTGTATGTTTTCTAGATTAAGAGCCTTTATCACTGATAGAGCATTCTATCAATGAAAAAATCATATTTAATCCTAGATTTTGCCCAAAAGCTAGAAACAATCCAAATGTCCCTTTTAAGTTCCTTCCAGCCCTGCTTCTGAACGTTCATCCCTAGGTTCTCACTCACCTCCAAGTTTCCAGTCACCAATCCCCTGCCTTACCTTCAAAACAACACTGCTTTCTCAAGGAATTCCAAAGGCCTGGGATTCCTCACACCTTCCTCCTGCTAAGCCCCCACTATCTGGGCACATGGTGAGCACAGGGCAAGCTGGCTGTCTCTCATCTGGAGAAGACTCCCCTTCTAGACCAACGACCCCTGTCTATGTGCTGGTTGCAGCCTTGCCTCTGGTTCTCAGAACAATTTCTCATTCATCCCCTATTCTAGGCTAGGCTCCCTCTCATTAAGGAACTCCGTGACCTTCTCACGTTGGTAGCCATTAACCCTCTAGGGAAGGGCAAAGCTTCCTCTGTGCTCTCACAGCACTTAAGCATATATTCCTGCAAGACCATGCTACTCAGGAGTGGCCAAGAAATGTTTGCCTTACACATGAGCCCTGGCCAACGGATTCAGCATTTCTGATGCTACTGTATGTCCAGCGCTTACACTTTGTTTTCTCCAAACACAGACCTATAGGGTAGGTAGTCTCCCTGTTTTCCATTGAGAAATTGGCATTCAGAGGTTATGAGACTTGCCCAAAATCTCACAGCTTCTCAGTACAGAGCTGGGGCCGGAGCCCAGAGCTTTTGTCACCATTTCAGCACTCTGCTGTTCTTGACAGTCCCCCTTACCAGTTTCTCATCAACCCTTCTTGATGCCTAATCGTGCTCTCATTTCCCCCAAAAGATAAGCCCCTGGCTCCTCCTCCATAAGCTAGGAGGCAGAAGGTATGAAGACTCAGGGAAGGTGCTCGGGACACTGGGAATGACAATGTTTGATTCAGGCCAATGGTGAAGTGCTGTTTAAAGGCCTATCCCAGTGGTCCCACAGCAACCCTTCCTTTTCCCAGCCCCCCAAAAGTGGGCCCTGACTTCAGTGGGCCCACTGGATCCTGGGCTCAAGCTTGCCCGGGCCCTCCGGCCCTTCACTCACTGGTAGACTGAGAACCAGAGCAGGATCAAACAGCTTCATTTTTCTAGTCCCTTCATTTTTCTAGGGCTTTGCAATGTGACAGAAGGACTGTTTCCTCAATCCTATTTGTGGGAGACAGTAAGGGATTTTGTAAACTGAGGAAATACAAAGCACTGACTACAAACAGAAAAGCTGGGAAGAGATAGGGTAGGATTTAGATTAAAAGCCACATGGGGGCCAAGCATGGTGGCCCCCACCATGTAATCCCAGCACTTTGAGAGGCCGAGGCTGGTGGATCACTTGAGGTCAGGAGTTCGAGACCAGCCTAAGCAACATGGCGAAACCCCATCTCCACTAAAAATACAAAAATTTGCTGAGCGTGGTGGCGTACACCTGTAATCCCAGCTACTCGGAGGCTGAGGCATGAGAACTGCTTGAGCCTGGGAGGTGGAGGTTGCAGTGAGCAGAGATTGCACCACTGCACTCCAGCCTGGGCAACAGAGTGAGACTCTGTCTCAAAAAAAAAAAGCCACACGGGGCTGAGCACTGTTGCTCATGCCTTAATCCCAGCACTTTGGGAGGCCAAGGTGGGAAGACGACTTGCGCCTGGGAATTCGAGACAAGCCTGGGCAACAGAGTGAGACCCTCTCTCTCCAAATTCAAAAATTAGCCAGGCATGGTGCCATGGGTCTGTAGTCTCAGCTACTCGGGAGGCTAAGGCAGGATAATCGTTTCAGTCCAGGAGGTGGAGGTAACAGTGAGCTATGATCGTGCCACTGCACTCCAGCTTGGGTGACAGAATTAGACTCTCGTCTCTTTTTTTTTTTTTTTGAGATAGAGTCTCACTCTGTTGCCCAGGTTGGAGTGCAGTGGCGCAATCTCGGCTCACCGCAACCTCTGCTTCCCGGGTTCAAGTAACTCTCCTGCCTCAGCCTCCCGAGTAGCTGGGATTACAGGCGCCCGCCACCACACTCAGCTAATTTTTTTATATTTTTAGTAGAGACGAGGTTTCACCATGTTGGCCAGGATGGTCTCGATCTCCTGGCCTTGTGATCTGCTCACCTTGGCCTCCCAAAGTGCTGGGATTACAGGTCTGAGCCACTGCACCCGGCCTCTTTTTTTTTTTGAGATGGAGTCTTGCTCTGTCACCCAGGCTGGAGTGCAGTGGTGCGATCTCGGCTCACTGCAACCTCCGCTTCCTGTGTTCCAGTGATTCTCCTGCCTGAGCCTCCCAAATAGCTGGGATTACAGGTGCGTGCCACCACGTCCAGATCATTTTTGTATTTTTAGTAAGATGGGGTTTCACCACCTTGGCCAGGCTAGTCTTGAACACCTGGCCTCAAGTAATCCACCCGCCCCAGCCTCCCAAAGTGCTGGGATTACAGACATGGGCCACTACGCCCAGCCTCTCTTTTTTTTTCAAGACAAGGTATGACTCTATCACCCAGGCTAGAGTGCAGCAGCACGATCTTGGCTCACTACAACCTCTGCCTCCTGGGCTCAATCCATCCTCCCACCTCAGCCTCCCGAATAGCTGCAACTATAGGCCCACAGCAATACGCCCGGCTAATTTTTGTATTTTTTGTAGAGATAGGGTTTTGCAAGCTTGTCCAGGCTGGTACTGAACTCAACAATTCAAGTGAACTGCCCACCTTGGCCTCCCAAAGTGCTGGGATTATAGACATGAGCTACCATTCCCAGCACAAGACTTTGTCTCTTAAGAAAGGTCATGTGCCTGTGGCAAGTCCCTATTTATTTATTTATTTTTAAACAGGGTCTTGCTCTGTTGCCCGGGCTGGAGTGCAGTGGTACGATCTTGGCTCACTGCAATCTTCGCCTCCTGGGCTCAAGTGATCTTCCTCTTGAATACCTGGGGCTACAGGCATGGGCCACCAAGCCCGGCTAATTTTTGTATTTTTTGTACAGACAGGATTTCTCCATGTTGCCCAGGCTGGTCTCGAACTCCCTGGGCTCAAGCAATCCTCTCACCTCGGCCTCCTAAAGTGCTGGGATCACAGGAGTGAGCCACTGCGCATGGCCATATGGGACATCTTGTAACTGGGAGTTGGAGTCCTTTGTTTTTTAACCCTTCCTCCCTCACTGTATCCAGAAACTGTCTTTTCATCCTTTGATTCTGAGCAACTATCGCTATCAACTGCCATGAGCAACTATCGCTATCAACTGCCAAGAGTCAATAAACCAGAGGAGCATTCAGTGTAGGAGAGCTTGTAAAACTGGCAGGCACTCACCAGTGGAAAGCCTGGATGCTCCCACCCCCAAAATTAACTGTGACTGTTCCACTTGAGAAACAGCCATATTCCTTTACTGTCCCATTGTAGATGGGAGGCAGGGGCTGCTCCCTCTTTCCAGCCAGGGTAAGAGCCTCCTTCACAAAGGATAACCAGAAGAGCCTGCAACTTAAGCACAAAGCCAAAACCAAGGTGGTTTACTGCCCTTTAGCTCTCTGAGCTGCAATCCTCACCACAAGGCAGGGAGATCAGCACTGCAGCCTGGGCCATGAGGCGGGGCTCCCCCAGGACTCAAGCCTGCCTGGGAAAAACCTGACATGGCATAAGAGGTGAGAACAGAGAGCAACCTCCAGCTCACTCTCCTTCAGGCCTGGAAGCCACAATGCAAAGAGCACTCTCCAAATCTCCTCTGTCTTCAGAGCCACTTGAAATGCTGGGCTCCTCTTGAAACTAGATTCTACTGAGCAACCAGGGCTTTAGAGGCTTCCAGGACTACTTTCATCCCTGAGAATCTGCTTGCTGGGGTCTGGTCGCTAAATCCCCAGCTACTGTTGCCCTAGCAAACCTTTGTTGAGCAGTACTCTGGAGCCCTGGCTCCAGTTGCAAAGCTCAGTGCGATCTGGCTCCTGCCTTCCAGAAACTTAAAAGAGGTAAACTATACAGAAAACTTACTATAGTCGCTCTGCCCACCTCTGTTGCTTACCAGCTGACTGAACATGAGCAAAGTGACATAACTTCTCCAAATCTGTTTCCTCATTTGGGACATAAAGATACTAGCTGTACCCATTTCACAGAATTAGAGTGAAGATTAAATGAGAAAATCTGGCCGGGCGTGGTGGCTTACACCTCTGATTCCAGCACTTTGGGAGGCCAAGACAGGCAGATCCCTTGAGCCTAGGAACTCGAGGCCAGCCTGGGCAACATGGCAAAACACAGGCTCTACAAAAAAACACAAAAATTAGCCGGGGTGTGGTGACAAGTGCCTGCAATCCCAGCTACTTGGGAGGCTGAGGTGGAAGGATCACCTGAGCCCAGGGAGGTAGGCTGAGGCTGCAGTGAGCCGTGATCACACTGCTGCACTCCAGCCTGGGTGACAGAGTAAGACCCTGTCTCAAAGGAAAAAAAAAAGGAAAATCCATGTCAGTGTTTACCATAGAACGTGGTGTTCAGTAATGTCTTGATGATGTATTCTATTATTATCTAGCTTCATTTTTGGGTAGGAACCATTGTTTCCCCTCTCCAAGGGTTCTCTGGGCTCTGGGAAGAGCTACAATACCTAGAAATTTGACTGTAAGTACCAGTATAGCTAAGTTGATTCCTGTCATCCTGGTATTCCCTCTATAACAAGGAAAAGTCAAATTCTGCCATGGCTGGGCAATCAGGCAAAGAGGACCCTCTTTCCTAACATAAAACCATCCTGCAGGAGGAGTAGCTGAATGACATGGTGCCCATGCCTTCGCCCTCTGTGTGGCCCAGAGGATGACGACAGTGGTCCTGCCAGGGTTCTTCCCTTCTTCATCAGTTCCTTAACTCCCTCCTCCCAGAAAAGGTCCATGAAACAGCCGACATACCAGTACCACATGGTGCCAAGGGCTGAGGGAAGCTCACACTGCCAGCCTCGCACTTTATGCGGTTCCTCCCATACCAGTGGGTTACCGTAACCATGGAGACCAACAAGTTCCTCCATATCACAGGAGAGCCAGCCTGCCAGTAGCCCAGGGCTCTGGGGGATGGGGGTGGTGGGGGTAGGCAGAAGGAAGCCTGCAGCATAGAGGTCTGGCTCACTTTACAGAGGACTGTGGGGAGGCAGCAGATCCTAACCAGTGCAGCTGAGGTGGCTGGGCTTCCTCCTAACCTCGTTTTCTTTGCCTAGTATATATGTTCTTGGCATATTTTCTGGGCTCTCTAGACACTGGGCTTTTCTTCCTAGCTCCACTGCTGTATACTGGGGCACCATATATGGTATAGTAGTGAAGGGTGTCATTCTGGAGTTAGACTGTAGTGATAACCCAGCTCCACTACTCTGTACATGCACATATACAAAAAAATGGAACAATAAAGAGAAGATTAGCATGGCCCCTGTGCAAGGATGACACACAAATTTGTGAAGCATTCCTTTTTTTTTTGAGACAGAGTTTCGCTCCTGTTGCCCAGGCTGGAATGCAATGGCGTGATCTCGGCTCACTGCAACCTCCGCCTCCCGGGTTTCAAGTGATTCTCCTGCCTCAGCCTCCCAAGTAACTGGGATTACAGGTATGCGCCACCATGCCCGGCTAATTTTGTATTTTTAGTAGAGACAGGGTTTCTCCACGTTGGTCAGGCTAGTCTCGAACTCCTGATCTCAGGTGATCCGCCCAGCTCGGCCTCCCAAAGTGCTGGGATTACAGGTGTGAGCCACTAAGCCTGGCCCATATTTTTTAAAAGATTAAAACTTTTATTATTTCAGGCTGGGCATGGTGGCTCAGAGCAAGACTGTCTCAAAAAAAAAATTATTATTTTGAATAAATAAATAAAAATAATAAGAAAAAAGAATGGGTCAGAATTGTGGTACAAAGAGCTACCCAGATCTACACATACTAAAAGGAAAGTGGTCATCTATCCTATGCGCCTTCCTGTGATCCAGGTAAGTCCTCTTATCCGTTGTTTATCTCAAATCCAGACACCGTCTTAGCGGGGAGTGGTCACTCACTTCTCTAGACTCACTTCTCTAGACTCTCAGCGCTCTATCTGTACTCTTCATTTCTTCTTCTTTTGTGAGATGAAGTCTTGCTCTCTTGCCCAGGCTGGACTGCAATGGCACAATCACAGCTCACTGCATCCTCAAACTCCTGGGTTCAAGGGATTCTCCTGCTTCAGCCTCTCGAATAGTTGGGACTACAGGTGTGTGCCACTATGCCTGGCTAGTTTTTTATTTATTTCATTTTTTTTGTAGAGATGGCATCTTGCCATCTTGCCCAGGCTGGCCTCAAACTCCTAGGCTCAAGCAATCTTCCTGCCTCAGCCTCCCAAAGTGCTGGGATTACAGGCGTGAGCCACCACACCCAGCCCCATTGATTTCTTGTTTGTGTCCCCATACCTTAACCCCCTCATGCTCTGACAGATGAGAGCCAGTATCTCCCTCACCTTCATATACCCTCAGTGCCCAACAGTGCCCACACCTAGCTGACCCATGTTACAATACTTAGGGAACAAGAGAGGCACAACTTTTTGATCTTTAAAGTTGCCCACTCTCGACCCCACTCTCGACCCCAAGAGATAAGGGTAGAGGAAGGAAGATCACAATTTCTTGCTACCAGCCCCATTTCCCCTCTTTCGAGGCATTCGTTGCCCTTGAAGTTGGTTGGTTACTATCTGTCCTTCCTGCTAGACTACACTACAAAAGGAGGGACCTTGGTATTTTTTTTTGAGACAGAGTTTCTCTCTGGCCATCCAGGCTGGAGTGCAGTGGCGTGATCTCGGCTGACTGCAACCTCTGCCTCCCGAGTTCAAGCGATTCTCCTGCCTCAGCCTCCCAAGTAGCTGGGATTACAGGTGCCCACCACCATGCCTGGCTAATTTGTTTTTTTTTTTTAGTAGACGGGATTTCACCATGTTGGCCAGGCTGGTCTCGAACTCCTGACCTCAGGTGATCTGCCTGCCTTGGCCTCCCAAAGTGCTGGGATTACAGGCGTGAGCCACTGCACCAGGCCAGGTCTGTCTTATTCATGGCCCAGAACAATGCCCAGCACAGTATTCAGTAAAGTACTGAATTAATAAATGTGCACAAATGAATACATAAGAAAACATTTTGCGATGTCTTCATGACGGTCTCTGGGACCAACTGATAACTGATAGCCCACTTCAGTGTACTCTGCAAAAAATACCCATGAGGGTAATGAGCCACGAGATCCCCTATCCCAGTGATGGATGAAAAGTGAGTGATCACCAAGGTGAGCTGGAGACAGACTCAGAATATAGGCACAGCCAGGGACCAGCAGGGCCCATCCCACTTGCTCCCCTGAATCAAGCCCTAGCCTTCCTTTCATCGGAGGGAAAACCCTCTCCTTCACACTTCCTGCTGCCCATGACAACCACCAGGTCCTCAGACTTAATACAGTTCTCTCTGCCTCTCTACATTTAGTTTCTCTACTGCTTTGCTATCAAAACCATTGTGTCTTGCTGTGACAATGAATGCAACTCGAGCCATTCTAAGAGCTACCAATTGGGGACGGACAGTGACTTGTATAAGAATCTAGGAGACAATTATTTATTGTTTGCCACACTAAGAGTTCTGCTTTGATATTTGTTACTTGAACCAATGTACTGACTCTAAGGCCCGGTTAACTCTAGGGTGTCAAAATAATTTCACCCATACACACCTGCCTCCTGTCCTGCTGCAAAAATCAGCATTCCCACCCTGCCCCCAACCCCTCCCCAAACTGCCTCCTGTTACAGAAAAGCAAAAGAACTAAAAACGGCAGCTGGGGAGCTCAGTTGACTCACCCAGCATAATCATCTCCTCCCAGAATCTCCCATCTTCTCCTGGGGTTTTTGCCAACACAAAGTAAAAAAGAAGCATGAGATCTTAAAAAAAAAAACAAAAAAAAAACTCAGCATTTATGCAACAGTCTTTCTACCTGGGTACAGATTTAACCCTTTGTTTCTGCCCTTTCCAATGTTGTTTCCTTAAAACTTGCTTGTATGCTGAGGATAAGATCCAGCCTGGAGCTGGGAAACAGGCCTTCTAGACCCCCTAGTCCCAGCATTGCTGCTGGAAAGTGCAGAACAAGACATATGCCTCTTCCTGCTGCATCTTTCTCTGGAAGTGAACAAATACTGCCTCCCTACTCCTCCAGTTTCAAAGAGGGAGTTGAATAAGGAGGAGGAAATGTCAGAAAAAAATACTGGGACAAAGTTTGTTGCTCCAGAAGTCACCATGGCCAGAGGTCAGAGCACATCAGAAACCACCCCAAGGCTGTCACTGCCACCCTCACCTCAGAACTGTCTCCCTGTTGGGCCAGGCTGCAAAGTGGCTACTCCACTTAAGTGACCACTAAAAATCCAACTGGCCAATCTTTCTAGAAGCAAGCCCTTACTGGGCTGCTCCTGCTGAAGGGAGAGGTGCTATCTTTCTCCTGTAGCAGATCATTAAAAAACCAAGCAGGAGAGGGCACCTAAGTTGTGGAATGAGGGCATCCTGTTTCAGGTGCTACTGGACTATGGATCAAATCAGCTGACATGGAGAACCCAGACAAACCTGCCCCTCAAGGCAATCACAGAAGACAAGGGTAGCTCTCTAGCAACCTTTCTGGGTGGGAAGAGGAGGGTGCTTCTTTTCTGTCATTTGGCATATAGGAGGACAACTTACTTGTGTGATAGATAGTGCCATGACCACAAAATGTGATTTTTTAAATGTTTTTTTTTTGAGACAGAGTCTCACTCTATCGCCCAGGCTGGAGTGCAGTGGTGTCATCTCAGCTCACTGCAACCTCTACCTCCTGGGTTCAAGTGATTCTCCTGCCTCAGCCTCCAGAGTAGCTGGGAGTACAGGCGCTCACCACCAGGCCCAGATTATTTTTTTGTATTTTTAGTAGAGATGGGGTTTTACCATGTTGGCCAGGCTGGTCTCAAACTCCTGTCCTCAAGTGATCTGCCTGCCTCGGCCTCCCAAAGTGCTGGGATTACAGGCGTGAGTCACCGTGCCCAGCTGAATACAAAATAAAGAGACACTTCCACAGGCAAATGCAAATCTGTTGCAGCATATTAGTCAAGAAATCCCCAAGTTACCAAAAGTTCTGTTCTAAGAAGGAACTCTTTTTCCATAGAAACATGTTACAAATGGTAGCTGTGTTCTCAGGCCAGCCCATGAGGTCCCAGCATAGTATTTCAAGGGGTACGTGAATTGTACTTAAGACTTAAACCATAGCCCAGAACAGGAAATGAATTCAGAGTTCCAACTCAGGACCCGGGAACAGATCTTTGCTCTCCAAGCACCATGGGCAGCAGACACGGGGGCTCCCTAGTCTTCAAGCTCTGGGTGAGGGCTTGAATCAAGAAGACTTGAGCCAGGTGCGGTGGCTCACTCCTGTAATCCCAGCACTTTGGGAGACCGAGGCAGGTGGATCACGAGGTCAGGAGATCGAGACCATCCTGGCTAACACGGTGAAATCCTGTCTCTACTAAAAAAACAAAAAATTAGCCGGGCGTGGTGGTGGGCACCTGTAGTCTCAGCTACTCGGGAGGCTGAGGCAGGAGAATGGCGTGAACCCAGGAGGCGGAGCTTGCAGTGAGCCGAGATCGTGCCACTGACTCCAGCCTAGGCGACAGAGCGAGAGAGACTCTGTCTCAAAAAAAAAAAAAAAAAAAAAAAAAGACTTGAACAAGAGAGCTTCAAAGCATTTGGGGTAGAGCTTAAGGCTGGGTAGGAGAGAGGTTCTGAGGAGATATAAACCCAAATGGAGATGAGGAATGAGGCTGGAGGAAAAGAATTTTAAATGGGTGCTGCCTTACACAAAAGAAGAGCTAATTAAGGAAGACTGGGTAGAACAACTTCCAGCTAGAGGAGAAAAGACAACCTGCAACAGTACCCTGACATAACAGGGGCAAATGCTCTTTACAACTGTCTTCCCTACTAGGCAACCGATGCGGGGGCTGTGCTTCATACCTGCCTTACTGGGCTTGCCACTGCTGCTGCAGTCTCAACCCTGCACTGAGAACCGGATCCTGTTACTAAGTGGCCATGGCCTGGGCAGGTATCCTGGCCAGCTTGCCAGATCAATGGAGGATTCATTTGTCAGCAGTTAGGTGAACAGTGGAAAGCCCGAGCTTCTCAGTGAGACTGAGTATATGTCAGCTTATGGCTTTAGGCTGAAGGTGCCCCTCAAAGCCAACCACTGCTGTTTATTCACTGGCGGCAATGACAATTTTGCTCCAAGGGGCCCTTGCTGTTTGTACTTTCTACCTAGGAGCAGAGTATGGCAAACCAGATGACAGCCATTTTCCATTACGTGTACCTTATTAAAAAGCACTTTTTTTTTGAGACAGGGTCTCTGTCACCATGCTGGAGTGCAGTGGCGCGATCTTGGCTCACTACAGCCTCGACCTCCCCAGGCTCAGGTGATCCTCCCACCTCAGCCTTCTGAGTAGCTGGGACTACAGGTGCCCACCACCATGCCCAACTAATTTTTGTATTTTTTGTAGAGATGGGGTTTCACCATGTTGCCCAAGCTCCTCTCAAGTGATAGGCATGAGCCACTGCATCTGGCCAAAAGGCACTTTTTATACTTAATTCATCCTTTCAGCATCCTATGAAAAGAGTCTGGGCTGGGTGCAGTGGCTCACGCCTGTAATCCCAGCACTCTGGGAGGCTGAGGCGGGCGGATCACTTGAAGTCAGGCGTTCGAGACCAGACTGGCCAACATGATGAAACCCCATCTCTACTAAAAATACAAAAATCAGCCAGGCGTGGTGGTGGGCACCTGTAGTCCCAGGTACTCAGGAGGCCCAGGTGGGAGGATCACCTGTGCCTGGGGAGGTCGAGGCTGCAGTGAGCCGAAATCATGCCACTGCACTCCAGCCTCGTTGACAGAGCAAGACTCCGTCTCAAAAAAAAAAAAAAAAAAAAAAAAAAAGAGTCTGATTGAACTGGTTTCTAAGAGAAGGGAATGGCCCAAGGCAGCAGAAGACCTGGGCTTTGAGCTTTCTAACCTCTGTGGTATGAACCTGGGAATGGCACTCTTCGGTGCAGAAGACCTGGGCTTTGAGCTTTCTAACTTCTGTGGTATGAACCTGGGAATGGCACTCTTCAGTGAGATTAGCTCGTGCACTGGTCGAAGCCCTCAGGAACCAGAACCACCCATTAACAAGTGGCTGGGAGGAAGGGGGCCGCTTTTGGGCATTGTTAGATGTGCTGCTACACAGACTGTGGACAAGGGAATGCTGGGTGTTTTGAAGGAGGCAAGCAGCCAAGTCTGTAGCTCTCCACCTCTGAATTCACTCAGAGATGGCAGGGAAGAAAAGATGGCTCCAAGAGGAATACAGCTCCTACCCAACAAATCCTAAAAGGCAGCTCTAACTGGCAATAGGAATGGCGGCATAAACGAAGACCCAAAGAAGAAACCCACCCAGGATACCTCTCATCAGTAGAATTTAGCTGGGTGGCCAGAGGCCACGGCTACCCATTCTGTTGCTCTACATAGTTCATGCTAACTACCAAGGACAAAGAACCCCACAGCCATAACGGGGTCCCTACCAAGTCTTGAAAACAGTAGGTAAAGAATCAGAAATTACAAAATATCCACACCATCTAAAGCACGGACAACAATGCCTGGCGACATGCTGGTTATTTCTATAATTACATATCCTTTCCCAACTTATTCTGTAGGTTGCCAGAAAATATAACTTGAACTTCTGTACTCAAAGCTCATCACGAATTCTCTGTATCTCCAAAAGGAGATGGATGTTTTCTCCAGGAGAGTCCTGAAGTTGAAGGCTAAGTTTGAAGGCTAAGTTCTGGTCATCTACACACATGGCTTGAACTTGGACTTGGGTTCAAGTCTGCACCCAGGCAGAAAGGCTGCTGTATAAATGGAGCTAGAAAAGTCTCCAGCAGCTCAACCATTTTATCCCTTCCACAAAAGGCCACTCTACTCTCCCCTGATGAAAACACACACATCCCGCCCTAGATGTATGGGCCTGGAAACTCTGCAAATCAACAGTCTTTATGGGAAATGTGATCAGTGTTTTACACACACATGCGTGTGCACAGTGTGGCCAGAGTAAGTCCATTCTCATACACAGTGCTTACTGAAGCTGGGCGCTGCCTCTTCAGCTGTGAGACAAAGGAAACCTGTGTGCATGTGTATGGGGAGGGAAGTGATGGTGCTGCTGAAAGCTTAGCCACACTTCCAGCTCCTGAGTGTGTCTGCCATAGAATCCAGCAGCCTCTCTGGCGGCCAGGCCCCCATCGCCACTGTCCTTCACACAACATAACAGGTCACTGTTTAGGACGATGGGATTTTTGGTGTTGAGTTTTATAGCCCATGAACTAGCATACATCTGCCCCATCTCAAGGGCGGTTTCCTGAAACAGCTGCATGTCCTGGGCCCCTGCAGACAGGATTTGAGAAAGATAAACAAGACGCCAGAACTAGAAATTTTAGGGTGATAAAGAAGGAATGAAAGTTGGCCACAGTGTCTCACACCTGTAATCCCAGCACTTTGGGAGGCTGAGGTAGGCGGATCATTTGAGGCAAGGAGTTCGAGACCAGCCTAGGCCACATAATGAGATTCCCCATCTCAACAAAGAAAAATTAGCTGGGCGTGGTGGCTCACGCCTGTAATCCCAACAACTTTGGGAGGCTGAGGTGGGCGGATCACGAGGTCAGGAGTTTCAGACCAGCCTGAACAACATGGTGTAACCCCATCTCTACTAAAAATATAAAAATTAGCTGGGCATGGTGGCACACACTTGTAATCCCAGGTACTCAAGAGGCTGAGGCAGGAGAATCGCTTGAACCTGGGAGGCTGAGGCTGTAGTGAGCCGAGATCGCACCACTGCACTTAAGCCTGGGTGACAGAGTGAGACTCTACCTCAAAAAAAAAAAAAAAAAAAAATTAGCTGGGCATGGTGGCATGCACCTGTGGTCCCAGCTACTCAGGAGGCTGAGGCAGGAGGATTGCTTGAGCTAAGGAAGTTGAGGCTGCAGTGAGCCTTGATTAGACCACTGCACTCCAGCCTGGGCGACAGAGTGAGACAGTCTCTTAAAAAAGGAGAAGGAATGAAATTATCCTCTTCTCACAGCTGAAAGCCCTACCCCATGGGAACAGACTTTTCCCACCCAGTCCTAAGGCCTCACACACACTCCCATTTACCTTTCTTCGTGGACCAGGATTCCTGCTGGTATCTCCACTCTACCCTGACAGCTCTACCATGTCAAGTGACCGTGGTATCTAACGCTGATGCTGGTTAAAGAGATAACCAAGGTCATGTGAGCTGGGCCGACAAGTTCTGCTGCACTTGTTTATAGACAAGGGGATTAGAACAACCTGTCAAGGGAGGGGAGGGGGCAAACCCTGCGCACAGGGCAAGCATTGGCAACACAGCATAGAGGCCTCCCGCCAAGAAATTTTTTGCTCAAATATAAAGCAGAAATCTCTCACCAAACACCAAACCAGTTAACTATGCCAAATACCACTTATGATCAAGTGACCTTGAGGCACTGCTCAATTTTTCCAATGTTCTTTGGGTTTTTTGGGGGTGGAGTGGAGGGGAAACTAGGAAGGTAGGCAACATAAGGTCCCTAAAAAGCCCCAAGTTCAATTAATACCCAAGCAAAGCATGTAGGGCTGAAAAAAGAGGAGATGTCTTAAGGGTATATTTGTATAAAGCAAGCATTCAATTCTCAGATGCCTAAACTCCCAATCAGAAATCAAAATGCCAAAACAGAACTTTCTGTGACCACTTATGTTGGAATCAGGAGGAAAGTAATTGTTTTTAGGTGCAGTTCCAGGGCAGAGGGGATAAGGCAGCAGGGAGTCTGGACACCAGGCCAAAGTCATCCTCTCTAACCAGAGGGTCAACCTGACAATAACAGTCGCTGGCCGCAAGACACAGGAAGGAAGAGGGAAAGGTGGTCAGCACCTGATCCCCTGGCCTCAGGCACTACAGGCCACAGAAGCTATAAGGCTATGGCACAAAAGCTGACCCCTGGCTCTGTGAAGTTACAGGCTTTCCAGTGCTCCTCTGCAAAACCATTTGTCACAGCCCCTAAATAACCAATCTTCAGGCTGGGCACAGTAGCTCATGCCTGTAATCCCAGTCCCTCGGGAGGCCGAGGCAGGCGGATCACCTGAGTTCGGGAGTTCAAGACCAGCCTGGCCAACATGGTGAAGCTCTGTCTCTTATTAAAAATACAAAAATTAGCTGGGCGTGGTGGCGCATGCCTGCAGTCTCAGCTACTCGGGAGGCTGAGGCAGAAGAATCGCTTTAATCTGGGGTGTGGAGGTTGCAGCGAGCCGAGATCGCGCCACTGCACTCCAGCATGAGCAACAGAGCAAGACTCCGTCTCAGAAAAAAATAAAATAAAATAAACAATCCTCCCCATTCAGCAGGGTCGGGCTGCTACTGGCTGGTCTCTGCCTCAGGCTCTCAAGTCTTAGCAGCGAGAGGATGTTTCCTTTTGGGTTTTCCCACAGCTGGCTGTGGAGGTTGGCAGAAGACTAAAGTGGTGCCCCTTTCCTAGCCAGCCAAAGGGGGAAGGTGAAACAACTGCTGGCAGCCTGTGCTCCCACTCCAACATCCCCTTTCTCTCAAAGGAGCAGCTACCACTCTCTTGACCTTTCAGCCACTGTCTTGTTGAGGCCAGGGAAGATGCACCCAACCTAAGAAAACTGAAGGTAGTAAGTTAGCAACAAGAGAATGGAGCTTAGGAACTAAAGAACCTGGCTTTCGGGAAAAAAGGGATATTGTACTCTAAGAGATTCAAAGAAGAAACTCCCCAAACCACCCAGCCAGCTCTTCTGAAGAGCAGGGGTATTTAGAAGTGCTTTCCATTTCCCAAGCTATTAGAGAACAGGGTGGCCTTGGACAGACCTGGCAGACATCTAGCTGGGTCACCATCACCCCTAAGGAGACTGGTCTCCAGTAACAGCAGAATGAGTGCACACACCTGCCACAGAGTGCCAGCCCGGGACAGTAACGTGCTCCAGAGTTCACATACTCATGCGCCCCGGAATCTCCTCCAGATCACTGCTGACATGCAGAGCAGGGAGGTGGACTGAGTCCCGCTCTGAGCTGGTCACTCCAGTTTGCCTGGCAGGGTGGGGGTGGGGGTGGGGGTGGGGGCAGGGAGAAGTGGGGGAGAGGAGGAGGAGGAGGAAGGGAGATTATGATTCTTTATTTTCAAGCCCTGCCCCTAAAACCAGGGAGGGAAGCGGCGGGGTTCCCGTTG
Source organism: Homo sapiens (assembly GCF_000001405.40). Taxonomy (NCBI): domain Eukaryota; kingdom Metazoa; phylum Chordata; class Mammalia; order Primates; family Hominidae; genus Homo; species Homo sapiens. The sequence continues at coordinate 63,872,781 of NC_000011.10, read as the reverse complement.
CAGGAGCTCCAATCTCTGGGCACTACAGAGCCAACCAGCTGCATAAGAATTTTGGAGAACGTGCACATCAAACAAGCTGGGAAAAGGAGGGGAAACCAACCACGGTAGAAGCGGGTTGGTCCCCTGCCAAGAACTCTGAATGGTACTCCTATCAGAACTAGAACATAGCAGGAGGTGGGCAGGTTTATGGCCTCTGGGAAAAGGCAGGTTTATGGCCTCTGGGAAAGCAGTAAAGACTGGACAAGCATGGAAACAAAACTCACTCCCTGGCAGGAGACGACAGCCTATGGAGTCAGAAGTGAAATGCTGTCCCAGTAAACCTTTCCCAGTAGGATAATCACATTCTAACCTTAGGTCAATTTTCATGTGCTTTGCCGGCTGTGACCTGGACCCTGCAGTGTGGAACACGGTCACTTCTACAACCCTGTAAGTTAAGGTCTGCACTCCAAGCACTTGTGAGGGAAGAGGGACTCTCATTGGCTGTGTTGTGCAATCTAGTCTGTGGCCAAGGGCAAAGCAGAAGCCACAGATGACAGGCCCTCCCACAGGGAGAGGAAAGCTCCTCCCTTTCCAGAACACAGCCCAAGGCTGCCACAGAGAGGTGCTGTTTAGTGACAGAAATATTTGTCAGGAGTGGCCGGAGGAATGGCCACTACATACTTCCTCTTTCTCACCAACTGCTACCATCAGCCTCCACTGGCTGCCTCTCAAAAGCCTGCAGAACCTCCGGTGGCAGGAGTGTTCTCTGAGTCATTCCCTCAAGAGAAAAGGGAAAGTGGGCCTGACTCCTGGGCCTGAAGAAGCCTCACAGTGCCCTCAGCCAGCCCTTGCTGCAGAGCAAAAGCCAAGGATTGAAATCCTGGACAGCCTACTCTTCACCCACACCTGCACACAGTGAATACTCTTCACCCACACCTGCACACAGTGAATACTCTTCACCCACACCTGCACACAGTGAATACTCTTCACCCACACCTGCACACTGTGAATACTCTTCACCCACACCTGCACACAGTGAATACTCTTCACCCACACCTGCACACAGTGAATACTCTTCACCCACACCTGCACACTGTGAATACTCTTCACCCACACCTGCACACAGTGAATACTCTTCACCCACACCTGCACACAGTGAATACTCTTCACCCACACCTGCACACAGTGAATACTCTTCAGCCACACGTGCACACAGTGAATACTCTTCACCCACACCTGCACACAGTGAATACTCTTCACCCACACCTGCACACAGTGAATACTCTTCAGCCACACCTGCACACAGTGAATACTCTTCAGCCACACCTGCACACGGTGAATACTCTTCACCCACACCTGCACACGGTGAATACTCTTCAGCCACACCTGCACACGGTGAATACTCTTCAGCCACACCTGCACACGGTGAATACTCTTCAGCCACACCTGCACACGGTGAATACTCTTCACCCACACCTGCACACAGTGAATACTCTTTAGCCACACCTGCACACAGTGAAAGCACTCCCTCTTACTCCAGAAGATGGCACATGGCGGTGGGGGGAGCACCAACACTCATCTCAAAAGGCACCCAGGACTGGGAAAAGGAAGTGATGGCTTCGTATTTAAAGCATGCCTTAAAAAAACAACTTTCTGTATGCACGCACGTACACACACACACAAATATGCATATACACACACACAAACATAACTGATTTTATGTATGTGTGTGTAGGTATATACACATATACATGTAAAATTGATATCAAATTAGATCCACATGGTTTCTGGATTTTTGCCCACACTGTATTATGAGCTGGCTGTCTCCCCTTCCCTGCCTGCAGCTCCAGACTAACTCTCTTCCCTTCCTAGAGTCTCACTCTGGGTTCCAGCCACCTGTCTTCAAATGTACAATGGCCTCTCAGACCCCCCCAGGTCTTGGCCACAGCTTTCCACTGCCTGGAACACTTTCCCTCTAGCAGTCACTCCCATTCCTCTTTGTGGTGAGCCTCAGCTCAGACATTGCTTCCACCAGGAAGCTTTCCTGATCCCTGCATCACTTCACAGGGTCTCTCCGGACATTTCCCAGCTCGGGCCTTCCTGCACTAGCACTTCATTGCTTGCTGAACGGCCTCCTTCACAACTCTTGTTGGCTGTCTTGTTCACTATTACACAGACTGAGAGCAGCATAAGGGAATTTCCAAGACTAAATCACTTCGTGTCTTCAGTGCCCAGCCACAGTGCCTGGCACCTAACAGGCTCTCCAGAAATGCTTTCCTAACTCACCACGGGAAGTCTCGGGGTCAGAGTCTTCTCGCTTTTCTCGGAGTGACTCCTCACCCAAAAGCTCTTTGCACAGCTCTGCTCCATGTGACCCCTTTTAGCCTGGGTCAGGGCTAGAATGCTGGTGCCGACTTTTAAATCATTCCCAGCCGGGCGCCACGGCTCATGTCTGCAATCCCAACACTCTGGGAACCCAGGTGGGAGGATCACTTGAGCCTAGGATTTGAGACCAGCCTGGGCAATATTGTAAGACCCTGTCTCCACAAAAATACAAAATACAAAATAAATCATCATTCCCTAGGGCCTCTGGCACCTCTATGGGCATAGTCTCCGGCAGGATTTCAGAGGTGCTCTCCAGTGTGCAGAATTGGGGCCTGCTACCCTTCCACTTGTCCTTTCCCAGCTTGCCTTCTGCCGTTGAGGGCTGCAGCCAGCCCCTCTGAAGTGATGGCAATGGGGGCACGCTGCCAAGGGCATAAGATCCATTCTAGACCCAGCTCTGCGCAAACAATTTATGTCACCTTGGGCAAGTCATTCACCCTCCTGGGACTTTTGTTTCCATGCTTATAAAATGAGGCACCGGAGACGAGCCCTGAGTGTCTTCCTGTATGGATGCGACAGCCCTCAGTGCCTCTGTGCTCACAAGCCTTCCAGCCCTCTTCAAGACCACAGCAGGAAGTGGGCATCGTCTGCATGTCCTGAAGATCGCTTCCTGACCTTGACTTATGTCAAGACAACCTGCCTAAAAGTCTGGCTCCGGAAGTAAACCTCACCTAACATGCCTAAACACCAAGATGGAAAATCTCTTCCACCTAAGGCTGAAAAAATTAAAAGCAACCTAGGTAGACAACTCCAGAAATCAGGGTACTAAGCAGTAGCACACCTCAGAAACATGACAACCCTGAACTCAGGGTGCCCTCAAGAAGGATCATCTCCCTCCCTAGACTTCATTTACTCACAATTTACAAGCTCCCGGCCCCTCCCAGACTCTCCACATACCATAAAAATGTGGCCACAAGGCGCAGGGAAAGGCACAGTCTATTTCCAACAGGCCCCAGGGCTCTGCAGCCTTAGTTTGAGCAGCCCGGACTAGGCACAGCTCCTGTTAAGGTAAGTGGCACACCTAGTTCCTAGCACTTGCCCCCACCTGCAGCATGATTCTCTCAGCTCGGCGAGTCTGCAGGCTTCCAGGTGGGGAGCTGCCTGCCTGCCTGCCGCGAGCAGGTAATCCATGAAGAGAAACTGAGTTGGCAAAGCCTAGCAAGCAGCAGTTTCAGCCTCCCTGCCCAGGGTGGGGGTGGGTGGGGTGAGGGGGGAGCAGGGAGGCAGATACAGGCAGACCAGTTTAACAGGTCCTTATTTCCACCACCCCACACAGCTGGTGCCTTCTTCACCAGTTCAATAAAAGGAGATTCAAAAGTCAGATGACACTTTCATACCACACATCACAAAGACCAGAATCAAGGAAGAAGAAAATGGTCATCCTTCTCACTCTTCCCTCACTCACAGTGGCCTCGGAAAACATGGTCCCTAGTCTCACAGTTCATGGGTCAATCAGGAAAAGCGACTGATCTGCTCTGAGATGCTCAAAGGAAAATCTGGGTCCTCACCATCATCAGGCGCTGAGCTGGTGTGAAATCAGTTCTTCCCGTGCCATGCTCCTGGGCTTTTCTCCCACTATAAATAACTCCAGCCTTCTGACAGACCACATGATCTCTCCAACGCTGGACAATATTCCCAACACTAGTGTTCCTCTGCCCACCCATCAAAAAAGAGGCAAGACTGAGCCCACTGTAACCAGGAGCAACAACGCAGGCAGACACGTTGGTGTCAGGGGCAAGGACAGAACTCAGCAAAGCCAGGAGGGCTTGGCTCTCTGGCTCTGGTCCCCACTCCAGGAAGCCAGACGATTTCCTCAGCAGTGCATCCTCCCTGTGGTTTCCTCTCCGAGTTCTTAACACAATCCAGCAATGGTGTAAATTTTCTCCCTCATCTTCTCATCCTGAAAAAGCACTTCTCTGTAGTCATTACCACACCTACTTAAGATACTGGTTAAGACTTGTGACTTACACAGCCAAAGAATCAGATAGACTGATATCAGACTTACAAATCAATATGGACACACTTCCCTAAGGGTAACTGTAATGGAGAATACCCATGTTACGATTTTTTTAAGTAATTTTTTTTTATTTTTTTGAGACAAGGTCTCAAGCAATCCTCCCACCTCTGCCTCCCAAGGAGCTGGGACTACAGGCCCGCACCACCACACCCAGCTAACTTTTCTATTTTTTATAGAGACAGGGTTTCGCTATGTTGCCCAGGCTGTTCTCAAACTCCTGGACTCAAGCAATCTGCCCACTTCTACCTCCCAAAGTGCGGGGATTACAGGCCTAAGCAACCACACCCAGCCTCATGTTACAATTTAAAAAAATTTTTGTTTCACAAATAATTCATTAAGAGGTGACCATGTGCAAAGTACTCCAACAGTTTCTGGGTGTCCGAAGTGATACAGAGAAGGATAAGATACAGTCCAGCCTTCAAAGAAGGTAACAATCTAGTAGGAGATAAGCACAAATCACACAATCCAGTGTGGGACCCAAATCCACGAACTGAAGTTATGGTCAGCCTATTCCCCCAATTTACTGTCTATGGCTTTTGTTTTTTTTTCAGAGGAACAGTGGGCTAAGAGAGATCTGAAGATCCCTGTGTCACTTCCAGCTAGGACCTGGCTTTCCATGAATGCGGATGCCTGCCCACGGCGTCAGCCATGGTGAGAGTTAGGCAGTGCTGGAATGAGAAGAAGCCACTCTGGGAAACTCACTGAAGAACCAGTCATTTAGCTTTTCTTGTCTTTCATCTCCCTCTGGAAACTTGAGACAGGCCCAGTACACAAACAAAGGTGACATGAGAAGCGCTTAAAAAACCCAAGTTGAAAATAAAGCCACTCAAGACTCTTGGTAATGGAAATGAAGTTGGAAAAAGCCCCTTACAACACCAACAGAAGAAATTCTCTTGGGAAGGAGGTGGAAGGGATTCCTGAAGTTCTATATCCAAAACCCCAATGTCACAAGGCTAGCTGTGACCAAGGAGGCACACTTATATATTTTTCCTTTACTTCCCAATTATTGGTTGTCTGTTTTCCCTAATTCCCATTCAACCAGTTCTATAGCTCAGCTCATAAAACTATACCTTGGCCAACTGTGGTAGCTCACACCTGGTATCCCAGCACTTCAGGAGGCTGAGGCAGGCGGATCACTTGAGCCCAGGAGTTCAAGACCAGCAAAGGCAACATGGGGAAACCCTGTCTCTACAAAAAACGCAAAACATTTGCTGGGTGTTGTGGCACATGACTGTGGTCCCAGCTACTCAGGAGGCTAAGGTTGGGGGATAGCTTGAGCCTGAGAGGCGGAGGTTGCAGTGAGCCAAGATCATGCCACTGCACTCCAGCCTGGGTGAGAGAATGAGACCCTGTCTCAATAAATAAACAAACAACTGTACCCTTATCCATCAGGCTACCAGCAGGTTCACAGCTCTTCAGGAAGATAGCAGGGAGGAATGAATACTAATTCCTGACAGTGCCTGGCAAGAAACAAAATTCTCTAGACAGACAGAAGATTCTATGCCATCTAAAAAAAGAAAAGTCAGTTAATCAGAGCCTGGGGGGTAAAGATTAAGGCCCCAGTCTTCTGTTAGGAAAAAGACACAATTCTGAATCTAGTTCTCCTATCTTAAATGGGAAAAGCTAGTGAGACGGTTGGTCCAAATCACCTCAAAAGAAAATTACTTCTTGAAATTAAAACAAAAAACAAAAAAACACAGATGAGGATGAATGGGAATAGGTTTATTTAAAATCTTTCCTGTACAGTAGATAGTGGATTAGCTACACAAGCCTCTCGGAAATGATGTACCAAGAGGAATTTGATAATAGAAGCATTCTGAATGTGAAACTGGGAGTTCAGCACCTAAACATTTCTTATTGAGAAAAATCCTCACACCACAGTCATAATGAAGGTTTAACATCAGTGTTTGACATTTTGTCATTAAGAGATTGGTTTTAACAGTCTGTATTTGGCAGCCTGCCCTATCGGCTGTTTCACAAGCAGTTTCTGTGGTTTCAAGAAAGGCAGGGTGTTTGCTTTTAAACACTACTTTTTTTTTTTTTTTTTTTGAGACTGAGTCTTGCTTTATTGCCCAGGCTGGAGTAAAGTGGCACAATCTCTGCTCACTGCAACCTCTGCCTTCTGGGTTCAAGCAATTCTCGTGCCTCAGTCTCCCGAGTAGCTGGGATTACAGATGCACACCACCACGCCTGGCTAATTTTGGTATTTTTAGTAGAGACAGGGTTTCATCATGTTGACCAGGCTGGTGTCGAACTCCTGGCCTCAGGTGATCTGCCCGCCTCGACCACCCAAAGTAACACTATCTTAAAATATATATTTCAGAATAGGGTCCAACCATTACAAGAGAGAAAGAGGGAATGAAAACCAAACGAAATAGAGGAATGTGGTGCTACCAAACAGAACAGGAACGCACCAGAGAGCAGGGTAGAAGAGACATTATTCACCACCCACACCAAAATAGCAAGACAAGCCAACTTAGTACTTCTTACTATCAAGTTAGAAAATCAGGACACAAAAGTGGCACTAAAGACATGAGCTTAATAAAGGGAAATCCCTACACAGAACTTCATCTCTCCAAAATCAACTTACCTGGCCCAAATCTATCTGTTTACTTGAAAAAGCACAACAAAACCACCCCAACAGTGCCACATCAATGAAAAGGACTGTCATCTAATCAATTAGCAACCACACCTCTCTGCCAGCATGAGATGTCGGTAATTAAGGTAGAGATTTTTCTCCCTGGGAATACAAGTACAGAAGGGCAGAGCCCCTATGGACCTAACCCATTATGACAGCCTTTTCATTAGCAAGGAAAGCACTGCCACACTCTCCAAGGAAGCCGTGGCCACAGCATTAAAGAACACCTGAGTGAATAGCAGCTACCTCTGTTGAGAGATAAAAATGTGTTGGAGATGGGGTACGGGAAGGGGCAGAACCACTCTGAAGAAAGCCAACAGGCTGTCTTTCTCAAAAAAAGTACATGGACCTTGGCTTTTCCACTCTTAACAAAAAGAGCACCTGTGGTCCCAGCTACTTGGGAGGCTGAGGTGGGAGGGTCGCTTGAACCTTGGGGGCCGAGGCTGCAGTGAGCTGAGATCACACCACTGCACTCCAGCTGAGGTGACAGAGTGAGACTCTGTCTCAAACAAACAAACACCAAAGAGATGGGTTCTAAAGTAGTTTAGAAATGGCACATAACTACATAACTGGGCTGGATACAATGGCGACTGCCTGTAATCCCAGCACTCTGGGAGGCGAAGGCAGGTAGGTTGCTTGACGCCAGGAGTTCCAGGCCAGCCTGGGCAACATGACGAAACCCCATCTCTACAAAAAGTGCAAAAAATTAGCCAGGCATAGTGGCACATGCCTGTAGTCCCAGCTACTTGGGAGGCTGAGGTGGGAGGATTGCTTGAGCCTGGGAGGTCAAGGCCGAGACTGCGTCACTGTACTACAGCAGCCTGGGCAACAGAGTCAGACTCTCGTCTCAAAAGAAAAGAAAAAAGGCACATAATTGTGCTTTTGGATAAGTAAATCTTATTTATTTATTTAATATTAGAGATGGAGTCTTGCTTTGTTGCCCAGGCTGGTCTCAAAATCCTGGGCTCAAGTGATCCTCTCACCTTGGCCTCCCAAAGTGCTGAGAATACAGCTGTGAGCCACCGACTACATCCAGCCCTAAGTGATACCTTAATCAAGGGCAACAGAGCAGGCACAGTGGCTCACGCCTGTAATCTCAACACTTTGGGAGGCCAAGGCGGGTGACAGTCACTTGAGCCCAGGAGTTTGAGACCAGCCTAGCCAACAAAGCAAGACCCCATTCTCTACAAAAAATAAAAATAAAGCCAGGCACGGTGGCTCACGCCTGTAATCCCAGCACTCTGGGAGGCTGAGGCAGGCAGATCACCTGAGGTCGGGAGTTCAAGACCACCACTAGCCTGACCAATACAGAGAAACCCCGTATCTACTAAAAATACAAAAAAAAATTAGCCGGTGGTGGTGCATGCCTGTAATCCCAGCTACTCGGGAGGATGAGGCAGGAGAATCGCTTGAACCTGGGAGGCGGAGGTTGCGGTGAGCCGAGATCAAGCCATTGCACTCCAGCCTGGGCAACAAGAGTGAAACTCCATCTCAAAAAATAAATAAATAGGCTGGGCGTGGCGGCTCACGCCTGTAATCCCAGCACTTTGGGAGGCCGAGGCAGGCAGATGACGAGGTCAGGAGATCGAGACCATCCTGGCTAACATGGTGAAACCCTGTCTCTACTAAAAATACAAAAAAATTAGCCGGGAGTGGTGGCGGGCGCCTGTAGTCCCAGCTACTTGGGAGGCTGAGGCAGGAGAATGTCATGAATCCAGGAGGCAGAGCTTGCAGCAAACCGAGATCGCGCCACTGCACTCCAGCCTGGGCGACAAAGCGAGACTCAGTCTCAAAAAAATAAATAAATAAATAAAAATAAAAAAATTAGCTGGGTGTAGTGGGACGTGCCTATTAGTCCCCAGGTGCTCAGGGGGCTCAGGCAGGACTGTGTGAGTCCAGGAGGCTGAGGCTGCAGTGAGCCATGTTTGGGCCACTACACTCCAGCTTGGGTGACAGAACAAGATCCTGTTTCAAAAAAAAAGTGGTGGTGGTGTGGGGCGGGGGGGCACAGTGGTTCACACCTGTAATCCCAGCACTTTGGGAGGCAAAGGCAGGCAGATCACTTGAGGTCAGGAGTTCAAGACCAGCCTGGCCCACATGGTGAAACCCTGTGTCTACTAAATATACAAAATTAACCAGGTATGGTGGCAGGCGCCTGTAGTCCCAGTTAATCAGCAGGCTGAGACACAAGAATCACTTGAACCCAGGAGGCAGAGGTTGCAGTGAGCTGAGATTGCGCCACTGCACTCCAGCCTGGGTGGCAGAGAGAAACCCTGTCTCAAAAAAAAAGTGGGGGGGTGGGGGGTGGGGGGGTGGGGGAGGGCAATAGTTCACCCCTTTACTCTCACCCCATGCTGGCATCTTAAAATAAAAGGCACCCTTGCCGAAGTTAGACAAGCAAGTAAATTAAATCATACACTCAAGTTCAACTAAAATTCTGTAGAGAGACATAAAGCAACCATTCCCACTAAGAAACAACTGCAGATGTCTAGAATATCTAGATGCCTAGTCCCCATAGCTAGCCATGTGCACAGCTATGGGGACCGGCTTCAGCAGAGAGAAGCAAACCAAAGGAGAGACTGAGCAAATGCAAACAGGAAGTAGTGGCATAAATTACACCAGCGATGGGATAAAGAGACACACAGCAGGATGTCCAGAGTTCAGCTCCCAGGACTGAACTGGCAAGTCCTAAACACACACAAGGCCTGGCACCACCAGCTACGGTGTTCAGGGCTGCTGGCAGTCAAGGCTACAAGCAAGTAGCTCTGTGCCTGTGTGTGTGCAAGTGGCACACAGACGGTTGTAAGAGAGAATCTGAGTTTGCTTCCTAGAGACAAAATATACACAGTTAAGATCCACAGACAAAAGCTTCTTATGTTTAGTGGGGTTTTTTTTGGTGGGGAGTGGGGTGCTTACAAAGAAAGAGTTCTAGAATCCCAACATTTCATGGGTGCCACAAAGCAGGATAGTCAAACCTAGAAATCCATCATGCCCTACACTTTAAGGTACTTAATTGCTGGTTATCAATTTTAGGACTCGGGGCTTTGGTTTTTCTAAAGGGGTTCTTGAAATTCCGGAAGATGGGAAAAGATAAAGATGTGAATCAGAAGCTGGGGTTAAAGAGGGTTTCTTAAAAAGGTCTCCCATAGCTCTTGCGTAGAGCCCTCAATAGTAGGGAGGTGAGCCCAGAAAGCTGCTCCCACTCCATCCACACCATTTCGGCCACATTTACCAATGGCCACCAAGGACAAAAGAAACAACTGGAGGCAGAGGAGGCCATTTGTGACTCTAAATTCCGCTGCAAGACATCTGCCTCACACTGACTGGGAGCTAATCCTAAGGAAACTATCTTCTACTGCCTGGACACAACTGAAGCCAGGGACAAAGGATTCTTCACAACCAAGAAAAGCTGGTTCTGACAATGACATACTCTGGACCACCTGGGTTTGTAGCCTTAAACAAGTTATTCAACATTTCTGGGCCTCTATTTCCTCACCTGTAAAACAGTGAGATCTACTAACTTACAAAGAATAAATGAAGCCAGGCATGGTGGCTCATGCCTGTAATCCCAGCACTTTGGGAAGCTGAGATGGGTGGATCACCTGATGTCCGGAGTTTGAGACCAGCCTGGCCAACACGGTAAAACCGCATCTCTACTAGAAATACAAAATATTAGCCGGGCATGGTGGCGGATACCTGCAATCCCAGCTACTCGGGAGGCAGAGGCAGGAGAATTGCTTGAACCCAGGAGGCGGAGACTGCAGTGAGCCAAGACAGTGCCACTGCACTCTAGCCTGAGCAACAAGAGCGAAACACCGTCTCAAAAAAAAAAAAAAAAGAAAGAAAGAAAGAAATTAGCCAGGCATGGTGGCAGATACTTATAATCCCAGCTACTTGGGAGGCTGAGGCAGGAGAATTGCTTGAACCCGGGAGGCGGAGGTTGCAGTGAGCCAAGGTCGTGCCGTTGCACTCTAGCCTGGACAACAAGAGCGAGACTCTGTCTCAAAAAAAAAAAAAAAAAAGAGTAAATGAGTTAATGAATGTAAAACAACTAAACAAGTGCTTGCGACAGAGTAAGGGCTCAATAAATGTTAGCTATTCTGTCTGTAGCTAAAGATACACAGCCTCAGAGGCAAACCATGCAAAAATGAGGAGACCCTGCCTACTCTTCAACCACTCAGTCCATTCCCTTTAAGGCTGAGTTTCCCAATGACTTGGACCAGATTAATGCGCTTACAGGGCCATCCAGGAGGTGCCATTACTAAGCCGTTGCCTTAACTAATACAGTAAACAAATATTTGAAATTAAAATTCTTGTTTTTTTTTTCTGAGACGGAGTCTCGCTCTGTCGCCCAGGCAGGAGTGCAGTGGTGCGATCTCAGCTCACTGCAACCTCCACCTCCCGGGGTCAAGCAATTCTCTGCCTCAGCCTCCAGAGTAGCTGGGATTACAGACGCCCACCACCACGCCTGGCTACGTTTTTTGTATTTTTAGTAGAGATGGGGTTTCACCATCTTGGCCAGGCTGGTCTTGAACTCCTGACCTCGTGATCCGCCCGCCTTAGCCTCCCTAAGTGCTGGGATTACCCGCGTGAGCCACTGCACCCAACCCGAAATTAAAGTTCCTTATCTTCCACACAGACCAGTAGCCGAAGAGAGAAAATAGCACATTAAGTTCAATTCTGGAACTGAAATGCATGCCACATGTAAATCTGAAAAGAAATACGCTTTGTGGAAAAAGCAGATTATGGGACTTGCTGAGTGATGGGAAATGGAGCTATGATCCTCTATGTAGACACGAATTGATATGTTGAGCACTTGATTAAACAGTTTTAAAAAAATGATTCCAATGAGATGTGATTCTGAGCAAATGACATGAGTTTTTGTTTTTGTTTTTTTTTTTCATTGAGATGGAGTCTCACTCGGTCACCGAGGCTGGAGTGCAGTGGCGTGATCTATGCTCACTGCAACCACCGCCTCCTGGGTTCAAGTGATTCTCCTGCCTCAGCCTCCTGAAGAGCTGGAACTATAGGCACGCGCCACCATACCCAGCTAATTTTTTGTATTTTAAGTAGAGACGGGGTTTCACCATATTGGCCAGGCTGGTCTCGAACTCCTGACCTCGTGATCCACCCGCCCTGGCCTCCCAAAGTGCTGGGATTACAGATGTGGGCCACTGTGCCTGGCTTTTTTATTTCTATTTATTTTTTTTTTTTTGAGAGGGAGTCTCTGTCACCCAGGCTACAGTGCAGTGGCATGATCTCGGCTCACTGTAGCCTCCCCCTCCTGGGTTCAAGCAATTCTCCTGCCTTAGCCTCCCAAGTAGCTGGGACTACAGGCGCACGCCACCACGCCCGGCTAATTTTTGTATTTTTAGTAGAGACGGGGTTTCACCATGTTGGCCAGGATGGTCTCGATCTCCTGACCTCGTGATCCACCCGCCTCAGCCTCCCAAAGTGCTGGGATTACAGGAGTGAGCCACTGCACCCAGCCGACATGAGTTTTAAAAGATTTGCTTAAAGTTGGTCAAAGTGACTATTAGAGGAGGCCCAAGGTCTATTATTTGTAGGACTTAGGGAAGCTGTTAAAAGTTAGAGGTGCTATGGAAATTGGAGAATGAGTATATGCAAAAGAACAAAGTTGAGAATTACAGGGTAGTTTACAGATTATATACTACTACAATTTTCCCTGTCACTTAAGGACTTGTCAAGGAAATACAAAGTTCACACACTGCTACAAACACTCCAAATAAACCTACCTCTTACAGGAAAAATAAAGTATACCTACATAACAGTGGGGTTTACAGGTATGTTTCATTAAGAAACAAGGGTTAGAGGCCGGATGTGGTGGCTCATGACTGTCATCCCAGTACTTTAGGAGGCCACGGCAGGTGGATCACCAGGTCAAGAGTTGAAGACCAGCCTGGCCATCATGGCAAAATCCTGTCTCTACTAAAAATACAAAAATAAGCCGGGCATGGTGGCACGCACCCGTAGTTCCAGCTACTCGGGAGGCCGAGGCAGGAGATTTGCTTGAATCTGGGAGGTGGAGGCTGCAGTGAGCTGAGATCCGGCCACCGCACTCCAGCCTGGGCGACAGAGTGGGACTCTGTCTCGAAAAAAAAAAAGAAAGATAGAAATAGGGGTTAGCCCAGGCATGGGCTTGTGCCTGTAATCCTAGTACTTTGGGAGGCCAAGGTGGGTGGATCACGAGGTCAGGAATTCAAGACCAGCCTGGCCAACATGGTGAAACCCTTTCTCTACTAAAAATACAAAAATTAACCGGGTATACTGGCGGGCACCTGCAATCCCAGCTACTCAGGAGGCTGAGGCAGGAGAATTGCTTGAACCTGTGAGGCGGAGGGTTGCCGTGGGCCGAGATCGTGCCACTGCACTCCAGCCTGCGTGACAGAGCAGGACTCCTTCTCGGGGAAAAAAAAAAAAAAGAAATAAACAGGTTAAAAAGAGTCAAGTACAAAAGGAAAAGAAACAAAAAGAAACAAAGTATGTCAGGTCTCAAGCCACCCAGGGAATAGACTATTGAGTGTCTGGCCTTAGTGACTGCAGCCTACCAGCTCTCAGCTATTGTAGGCACCAAGGTTCTTCAAGGATAGAAGCTGTGTAAGCGTTGCAGTTTTCAAATTTGGAACTGACCAATAGCCAACATATAAGTTAAAAAAAAAACAAAAAAACACAAACCTACCTCATAATAAAACACAAACCTCATAATAAAATCCAAGTAAGCCAAATGATCTTTTTAATGGAATAAAAAAACATAAAGTAATGCTATGTATTCAAAGGAGGAAATGAGCCAACTTTGGCCAAGGTCCATCAGGTCACTGAGAACCAGCTTCCTCAGCTAGAACAACTGAAAACCAAGACAGCAAGTGCCTTCCTGAGGCCCAGCCAGGGCCCCAGAAATTGCAAAACAGAGGCTCATTATGAGGTCATAGCAAGTAATCAACCAATCGAGGACAGGGATTATCAGTCCTATCTCTGTTTACAAAAGAGTTCTCACACTGTCTGGAATCCCTTTACTCTTACTGATGACGTCAAATGGCTTTCTTCATGTGGGTGATAGCTACTGATATTTATTGTATTAAAATTAAAACTGGCCAGGCACAGTGGCTCAGGCCTGTAATCCCAGCACTTTAGGAGGCAGAGGCAGGTGGATCACGAGGTCAGGAGTTCGAGACCAGCCTGAACAACATGGTGAAAACCCTATCTCTACTAAAAGTACAAAAATTAGCCGGGTGTGGTGGCGCATGCCTGTAATCCCAGCTACTCAAGAGGCTGAGGCAGGAGAATCACTTGAACCTGGGAGGTTGCAGGGAGTGGAGATCGTGCCATTGCACTCCAGCCTGGGTGATAGAGTGAGACACTGTCTCAAAAAAAAAAATTACAACTGAGAAAATGTTACACTATTAACTCATGTAAAATTATATTACAGGGCCAGGCACAGTGGCTCATGCCCGTAATCCTAGCACTTTGGGAGGCCGAGGCAGGCAGATCAATTGAAGCCAGGAGCCTAGCCAACATGGCAAAACCCTGTCTCTACTAAAAATACAAAAATGAGCCAAGTGTGGTGCTGTGCACCTGTAATCCCAGCTAGTTGGGAGGCTGAGGCACAAGAATCGCTTGATCCCAGGAGGCAGAGGTTGTAGTGAGCTGAGATGGTGCCACTGCACTCCACCCTGGGTGACAAAGCAAAACTCCATCTCAAAAAACAAAACAAAACAATAATAACGATGATAATATAGCCAGGCACAATGGCTCATGTCTATAATCCCAGCACTCTGGGAGGCTGAGATGAGAGGATTGCTTGAGCCTGGGAGGTTGAGACTGCAATGAGCCGAGATCATGCCATTCCACTCTAACCCGGGTGACAGAATGAGAACTTGTCTCAAAAAATAAAAAAATAAAAAAAAAATGTATCAACCAAAGTCATGGAGAACCAAACCAAGTTTTGTCTACAACCATGATTCTTACAGTTTTTGGTTTCAGGACTCTTTGCATTTTGAAAAATAACTGAACACCCAGAAGCTTTTGTTTATATGAATTTTATCTATCAGTATTTACTATATTAGAAATTCAAGTGAGGAAAAATTTAAATATGTATCAATTCATTTAACAGAACATGAGTAAACTCATTACATGTAAACATAAATGACTTATTTTTAATAAAAAACTTATTTTCCAAACCACAACTAAATATATACCAAAGGAAGTCTACCTGATGAACTAATCTTATAATGCAATCAAAACAAAACAGCTGACCAAAAAACAGGCTGGGGCGGTGGCTCATGCCTGTAATCCCAGCACTTTGGGAGGCCAAGGCAGGCAGATCACCTGAGGTAAGGAGTTCGAGACCAGCCTGACCAACATGGAGACCAGCCTGACCAACATGGAGAAACCCCGTCTCTACTAAAATGCAAAAATCACTTGGTGGCAAGTGCCTATAATCCCAGCTACTGGGAAGGCAGAGGCAGGAGAACTGCTTGAACCTGGGAGGTGGAAGTTGCAGTGAGCCAACATCGTGCCACCACACTCCACCCTGGGTGATAAAGTGAGGCTGTCTCAAAAAACAACAAATACTAACAAATTAAAGAAAGAAAACGAACAAAAAGGAAATGAGTATAAAAACTGAAAAATTTAGGCCGGGCGTGGTGGCTCATGCCTGCAATCCCAGCACTTTGGGAGGCCGAGGCGGGCGGATCATGAGGTCAGGAGATCGAGACCATCCTGGCTAACACGGTGAAACCCCATCTCTAATAAAAATACAAAAAATTAGCCGGGCATGGTGGGGGGCGCCTGTAGTCCCTCCCAGCTACTCGGGAGGCTGAGGCAGGAGAATGGCGTGAACCCGGGAGGCAGAGCTTGCAGTGAGCCGAGATGGCGCCACTGCACTCCAGCCTGGGCGAGAGAGTGAGAGAGCGAGAGAGCGAGAGAGACTTTGTCTCAAAAAAAAAAAAAAAAAAAAAAAAAAAAAAAAAAAAACATGAAAAATTTAAAAATGGAAAAAAATGAGAAAAATAAAAAACAAGACAGGTTGCAGTGGCTCATACCTGTAATCCTAGCTCTTTGGGAGGCCGAGGTTGGCGGATCACTTAGGCCAGGAGTTCGAGACCAGCCTGGCCAACATGGCGAAACACTGTCTCTACTAAATATACAAAAATTAGCCGGGTGTGGTAGCGCACACCTGTAATCTCAGCTACTTGGGAGGCGGAGGTGGGAGGATCAACTGAGCCTGGAGAGGTCAAGGCTGCAATGAGCTGAGATCACGCCACTGCACTCCAGCCTGGGCAACAGAGTAAGACTCTGTTTCAAAATAAATAAACCAACAATAAAGAAATTAAAAGGGAAAATGAGAAAAAAATTTAAGAAATAAAGAAAAAAGGGGAGAAAAAGAATAAACAAGCCATATATTTAAAAAAAAAAAAAAAACAAAAAAAAAAAACCCACAGGGCCAGTGGTGTATGTATCAGAAGGAGGAAATCAGTTATCTTTGGTCAAAGTCCCTCACATCACAGAGAACTAGCTTCTGGAACCAGAAGGACTGCAAACCAAAGTACTGAATGCCTCTTTGAGGCCCAGGCAGGGATTATACTGGGGCTGGGAACCAGCAAAACAAGAGCTCCTTATGAAGTCAAAGCAAGTAACCAACCAACCGATCAAGACAAGGGCCCCATGTTTTGTCTGCTACCGTGGTTTTCTCACCTTTGGTCTCAAGAACTCTTTATATGCTTAAAAAATTATTGAGGACTACACAGCTATCTTATTAGAAATTGAAACTAATTTTAAAAAATATTTATTAATCCATTCAAGATCATAAATCCACATGTTTATGCTAATAATCTTTTTAAAATAAAAAACCTGTATTTTCCAAAACAAAATGAAATTTCACCACAAGAGTAGCAGTGCTTTACATTCTTGCACATCTCTTTAATGTCTGGCTTAATGAAAGACAGCTGACTTCTCTCTGCTTCCACATTCAATGTGTTTTCATAAGTTGTTTTGGTTGAAACATATGAAGAAAATCTCACTTCACAGAGACATGTAGTTGAAAAATAGAGTTCAACAGCCTTTCAGATACTGAGGATTTTCTTCTTTGATACTACACCAAAATTCAACAAGTGGTAGTTTTTAAAGGCTAGTTGCAATGTGGAACCTGAAATTTTATCAAGGAACATTTCATATACTTTTACATTAGTCATCCTGCACTGTTTTTTTTTTTTTTTGTTTTTGAAATAAGGTCTCACTCTGTTGCCCAGGCTGGGGTACAGTGGCACAATCACAACTTACTACAGCCTTGACCTTGGGCTCAAGAGATCTTCTCGCCTCAGCCTCCTGAGTGGTTAGGACTGCAGGTGCATATCACCATGCTTAGCTAATTTTTTAAACATTTTAGCAGAGATGATGAGGTCTTGCCATGTTGCAGAGGCTGGTCTTGAACTTCTGACCTCAAGCGATCCTCCCTCCTCAGCTTCCCAAAGTGCTGACATTACAGGCGTGAGCCACCATGCCTGGCCTCGTCCTGCACTTTGAATGGCTCTTTTACCCACTAGCAATCTGGAAAATATTTCTTCACTGAATTGTGCAGAATTTCCAAACACTGACGTTTCACACAATGTCAAAAAATCACATTCATTAATTTTACTACCAATCTCGGAAAAGTTTTAGCAGACACAAGTTTTCCAAAATTCTAATTTTCACTTGAAAACTTGAATTTTATCACTGGCAACAATGACAGGCTCACTTTGTTCATTTTCATAAAATGTCCATATGAACAACTCTAGTTTGTCCATCAGTTGTTCTTTCAAGAAAAAATTATGATCCCTGCAGCTGGTTCAGCTCCAACACATGTGCTTTCCTCAAGTTTGGCATACAGCAGCAATGCCTCATGAATACTTTGTATTTCCTCACTTGGAATACCCTTTTTTTTTTTTTTTTTTTGGGATGGTGTCTCGCTGTTGTTGGTCCAGGCTAGAGTGCAATGGTGCGATCTCGGCTCACTGCAATTCTCCTGCCTCAGCCTCCCGAGTAGCTGACATTACAGGCACCCACCACCATGCCCAGCTAATTTTTGTATTTTTAGTAGAGACAGGGTTTCACCATGTTGGACAGGCTGGTCTCGAACTCCTTACCTCAGGTGATCCACTCGCCTTGGCCTCCGAAAGTGTTGGGATTACAGGCGTGAGTCACTATGCCTGGCCTAAAGAGACCTTTATTAAAGGGTTGATAAAATAAAAGACTGGGCATGGTGGCTTATGCCTGTAATCCCAGCACTGTGGGAGGCTGAGGCAGGTGGATCACTTGAGGTCAGGAGTTTGAGACCAGCCTGGCAAACATAGTAAAACCCTGTCTCTACCAAAAAAAAAAAAAAAAAACAAATAGAAAAACTAGCCAGGCGTGGTGGTGCGGACCTGTAGTACCAGCTACTGGGGAGGCTGAGGTGAGAAAATCACTTGAACCCGGGAGGCAGAGGTTGCAGTGGGCGGAGGTTGCACCAATGCACTCCAGCCTAAGTGACACAGTGAGACCTTGTCACACACACACACACACACACACACACACACACAGAATTAATAGTCTTGGCCAGGCATGGTGGCTCATGCCTGTAATCCCAGCACTTTGGGAGGCCGAGGCAGGTGGATCACCTGAGGTCAGGAATTCCAGACCAGCCCGGCCAACGTGGCGAAACCCTGTCTCTACTAAAAATACAAAAATTAGCCAGGCGTGGTGGCAGGTGCCTGTAATCCCAGCAACTTGGGAGGCTGAGGCAGGAGAATCACTTGAACCCAGGAGGCAGAGGTGGCAGTGAGCACAGATCACGCCATTGCACTTCAGCCTAGGAGACAGAGTGAGACTCTGTTTCAAAAAAATAAATAGATAAAAATTAAAATAAATAAATAAATAAATAAGTAAATAAAAAAAATGATAGTCTTTAATCCTTCATTCAAGACATTCTCAAGTAAAAATGGCTTTTATTTTTCAACCACAAGTTTGTGGTGGGAAAGAAGACCATGACAATGACCACTAGTAGAGCTTAGTGCCACTTCCTTGATCCATGTTACGGCGTCAGCAGTTTTCTCCACCACTGCTTCTGCACCAAGGGTGCAAATGGAAATAAAGTTGTTCCAGGATAAGTCATGAGATTCAGGAAGTTATTCAACCCTTTGAATATTTATCACCATTTGTATCTGCTGCTGAGCATTCACATAAAATAAATTATTCTTTGATGAGCAGTTGGTGCTGATACAGCAAGTCGAGCCACATCTATAGATTTGCTCATTTGTAAGGTGAAAGTAAAATTCTGTAAATAAGATATTAACTTGGTCTTCATGTGTGCAGCTACATCTTTTTTTTTTTTTTTAGTTTCGCTCTTGTCGCCCAGGCTGGAGTGCAATGGCACGATCTCGGCTCACTGCAACCTCCATCTCTTGGGTTCAAACGATTCTCCTGCCTCAGCCTCCCGAGTAGCTGGGATTACAGGCATGCGCCACCACGCCTGGCTAATTTTTGTATTTTTAGTAGAGAAGGAGTTTCACCATGTTGGCCAGGCTGGTCTCAAACTCCTGACCTCAGGTGATCCACCTGCCTCGGTCTCCCAAACTGCTGGGATTACAGGCATGAGCCACCGCGCCTGGCTAAATCTTTAATTTAATGAATCCTGGTAACATTTAAAGCGGCACTGCCTTGAATTTTACTGACTTTTCATCCAGTGGGCATTCAGGAATGTCAGCTGTTCAAGACTTCATTCGTCTCTCAGTTTCTGTGTGGGCTTTTCCAGCCAAAGCAATGTGGCAACTTATCCTGTTAGATAGAGGCTTCAGTGACTTTTTTATTTCTAGTTTAAAAACTGGAAGAAATTTTGGCTTTTAAAGAGCTCATAGTACGTACGCATAAAATATGCAATTCCTTTTTCTTTAAACTCTAAATGATCTTGAAAGAATGCCACAACTTAACTGGTACCATAATACTACATGAAAATGTTCTGTCGCATAAGACGCAGTAAGGTACATTATGAACATTTATGAAACTGAGAAGGTAGCTTTCATTACACTTTCATTTCTTTTCTTTTTTTTTTTTTTTAGTTCTTATTTACAGTTCTGCCCAGATTCTTTAAAGTCCTCCTTTATACTTGTTGGTATGTCCACTTCAGTATTTTTAACATACAAGTTGCAGCTATGGGTTGAAAAAGCAAGTCTTCTAATCTCCCTTTTTTAAGCCAACAATCCACCCTTACATATAAGAGAAATAATATAAATTTTTTTCTATTTTAGAATAAAGTGCTAAAATAAGTTGTCAATAAAATTTTTAAAATTAGGAGTTTTCCCAAAAGTTTTTACAAGCAAGTTTTACAAGTAGTACTTACTTCTTATATTTTCTCAAAGGTTCCAGGAAAATGCTGGGATTTCAAAATAAGGATTTATTAGACAGTAATGAAGTGTACAAAAAGATGATAGCAGTTATAACTGAAGAAACCTAGTAAGAGCACAGAAGTACTAAGAACAAACTGAGTCCATCAATGAAAACTTCCATATTTTTACCTTAAAGTACTACCTTAAAAATTATAGAAAACACAAGAATACAGAATTACACATTTCATTAGCCAGAAGAATGTGATGTTACCACACATCATTTAGCCTCTGGAAAATGCCACTGTATACTGGTGAGGGAATGAGAGTGAAAAAGCAACACTGTGTTAACGTTACTATGAACAGAATTTTGACTTCGTGCATCACCTGAAAGAGTCTGAGGGTCTCTAGATCACAATTAGAACCAAATTCAATATTACAGTGTCCAAAATTCTCAAGTATCTCTCCAGATCTCTCCCAAGACAGGGTCTATACTTATGGCATTCCTGATGGGTTAGAGGCAACAGCCTAGAATCAGCTTAAACCCTGTCACCAGGGAAACCAGAATGCTGTCCCTAATAAGTTGCCAAGCCTGGCTTTACTGAGAGAGGTGGCTCCAGAAACAAGAAAAAAAAAAAAAGTTTTCTAAAGCAGTGAATCCTTAAATGTACAGAAATCAGAGGAATGAGAGAACAAAAGGACCAGGTGGTCTGGGATTCTATACCTGAAGGAGATCTCAGACGGAGATCAAAATTCATATCCTGAGCCATGCCATAAACAGGGCACAGAAACAGGTTAGGGAGAGTGGAACAAGGAAATGAAAAACCTAAGATGGACGGGAATGAGGACATGATAATGAAGAAAGGGAGTTCAAAGAAACCAAACAGAAAAAAAGAAAGTGAAACAAGTCAGCAGAGGGGTTCAAAAGGAAGAGGAAAATACAATGAAAGAAATAGCCCCTGATGAGTTATTTTTAAAAAAATTTTTTAGAGATGAGCTCTCACCATGTTGCCCAGGCTGGCCTCAAGCAATCCTCCAGCCTCAAGTGACCCTCCTGCCTCAGCCTCCACTATGCCTGGCATCTCCATGAGTTCTGAGGGGACACTGTTACCTTCCCCCAGCCACAGCTTCAATGTGAAAAAACTAAGCAACTTACCTGCTGCTCTGAGAAGGCATGCAGGCTCCAGAAATGACAAGAGATGAAGATAAACAAGCAACCAACAGAGACCAAAATCTGAGCTCAAGATTCAAAGTCCGCAAATTCCCAGGAGCAGAAATGCCTGTGTCCCTTTGGGTCTCTGAAACGCAGATAACAAGAACCTGCCCTTGAAGGCCACTCTATGAGGGAAAAAGGAACCTACAATCATGGGCTGCTGAGTTCCCACGTGGTCTTTAAGAAAAACTGGGCACGTTCTCCTGTGGCCAAAGGGTCAATACCGTACTTGAAGAAAGGAACATGGCTGAGTGTGTAATCCCAGCACTTGGGGAGGCCAATGCGGGAGGATCACTTGAGGCCAAATATTCAAGACCAGCCTGGGCAACACAGTGAGAACTCATGAGAACAAAAAGAAAGGAAGAAAGAAAAGACGAGAAAAGAAAAAAGAAAGGAACATGATGGTATGAATCCCTGCTCTTGGTGCTGCAGAGAACCACCCTAGGGCTTCCCCTTTGACACACAGATCTCAACTCTCAAAAAACTCAAGCTCTGGTGACTTTGGATTTGGCCTTCTAGCCACGGATGAGGCTGCACATCCACCGCCATCATTTGCAACCCAGAAATATAGGCAGGCAGTGGGTGGTGTTTTTTTTTCTTTAATCAAGAAAACTATCTAATATTGATGCCTTATAAAAAATGAGCTAAAAGTGTTCTCAGAAGTACATGAATCTCTCCAGTAGCATTCCATTTTTTTTCAGATAGGTGATTGGTAAAAAAGCAAACTAGGGCGGGTGCAGTGGCTCACGCCTGTAATCCCAGCACTTTGGGAGGCCGAGGTGGGCAGATCATGAGGTCAGGAGTTCAAGACCAGCCTGGTCAACATGGTGAAACCCCATCTCTACTAAAAATCCAAAAAAAAAAAAAAAAAAAAAAAAATTAGCCAGGTATGGTGGCAGGTGCCTGTAATCCCAGCTACTTGGGAGGCTGAGGCAGGAGAATCGCTTGAACCTGGGAGGTGGAGGTCACAGTGAGCCAAGATGGTGCTACTGCACTCCAGCCTGGGTAACAAGAGCAAGACTCCATCTCAAAAAAACAAACAAACAAACAAAAAAACAGAAATGTTAGAAAAAGCACCTATAGGACCCCAGTGGCTTGAAGATGCCAGAACAAGATTTTTTCAACTGATTACAGAGAAATCCCAAACATCACCCCTTATACTGACCTAGAGTTGTGTGGTGCTCAGATAAAATTCACTGTGTTGTTCAACTGGAACAATAATGACAATGATCATTCTGCTGTGCCAGGCGCTATTCTAAATGCTTTCTATTCATTAACTCTTTTAATACTCATAACAGCTATACCTATAAGATGGGTACTATTCTTCTCCCATTTTACAGATGAGCAAACAGACACAGAGGGAACCTAAGATCACAGGAGAGGATGATCCAGGATTCCAATACAGGAAATCTAGCCGCAAAACCTGCTCTTATTGTTTGTTTGAGACAAAGTCTTGCTTTGTTGCCCAGGCTGGAGTGCAGTGGCATGATCTCTGTTCACTGCAACCTCCACCTCCCAGATTCAAGTGATTCTTGTGCCTCAGCCTTCCGAGTAGCTGGGACTATAGGTGTACAACACCACACCGGGCTAATTTTTGTATTTCCAGTTGAGATAGGGTTTTACCATGTTGGTCAGGCTGGTCTCGAACTCCTGACCTCAGGTGATCCGCCTGCCTTGGCCTCCCAAAGTGCTGGGATTACAGGCATGAGCCACCGCGCCCGGCCCACCAAACCTGCTCTTAACCATAGTGGAACCACTTATTGGAAGTCAAAAAGTGTTCAAAAAGTTTGGACTCTCCTCTCAGCTGTGCCATAAGCTCAACATAATCAGTACACTACGTGAGATGGAGCTGGCCTAAGGAGCCCCACTTCCTGTGACTGGAGAACCAGTAATTCAAACTTTCATGAGCAAAAAGACAAAGCAACAATCTCCGAGTGGCTTCAATACTACTTGCAAAGATAGCCAATGACAGTCTTCTGTGGCGGAGAAGTAGGGAGTGATGGGGTGAGTGAAAAGTCCAGAAGGTTGAGGGGGCCAGGTGTGACCTGTAGTCCCAGTACTCTGGAAGCTAAGGTGGGAGAATCACTTGAGCCTAGGAGCTATTTGAGGCCGCAGTGGGCTATGATCACACCACTGCATACTAGCCTGGGTGACAGGGTGAGACCCTGTCTCTTAAAAACACCAACAAGGTCAGGCGCGGTGGCTCACGCCTGCAATCTCAGCACTTTGGGAAGCCGAGGCGGGCGGATCACGAGGTCAGGAGATCGAGACCATCCTGGCCAACATGGTGAAATCCCATCTCTACTAAAAATACAAAAATTAGCCAGGTGTTACAGCCGGGCACGGTGGCTCACGCCTGTAATCCCAGCACTTTGGGAGGCCGAGGTGGGTGGATCATGAGGTCAGGAGATTGAGACCATCCTGGCTAACATGGTGAAACCTCATCTCTACTTTAAAAAAAAAAAAAGTACAAAAAATTAGCTGGGCATGGTGGTGGGCGCCTGAAGTCCCAGCTACTCGGGAGGCTGAGGCAGGAGAATGGTGTGAACCCGGGAGGCAGAGCTTGCAGTGAGCTGAGATCGCGCCACTGCACTCCAGCCTGGGCGACAGAGCGAGACCCTGTCTCAAAAAAAAAAAAAAAAAAATTAGCCGGGTGTGCTGGCACATGCCTGTAGTACCAGCTACTTGGGAGGCTAAGGCAGAATTGCTTGAACCTGGGAAGCGGAGGTTGCAGTGAGCTGAGATTGTGCCACTGTACTCCAGCCTGGGCAACAGAGCAAGACTCCGTCTCAAAAAAACAAAAAGACACAACAAAAAGAAGGTGGAGAAAAAAGGCAGCCGCACATGGGATATCAGAAACCAAAGCAAAACTCATACTGAAATGGTAATCAGAAGCAATGAGTAGCTCACTGTAGTATCAACAGGGGCAACCAGCCCCCAAGGACAAGGTCTAGGCTGGAGCTCTGTCAGCAGGTAGTTACACTCACTAATTACTAAACGTTCATATTTTGGCATTTCCTGCTTAGCTGGGAGACTGGGAAATAATCCTACCTGGCTGGCCTTGCTCCCTGAGAAAGACTTCCTAGTGCTATTGCAGGAAGTGTCAGCACACATGGTGACCGGAAGCTCCCACCTTTCCTACAGGTTGTTTCCTATGGCTGAAGTCCCTGTAAGCTGCCAAAGAGCAAAAACTATTTTTTCTCTCTTTTCTTTCCCAGCAGGCCTGGACAGACAGTCCCATTGCGTGGACGAAAAAAGGCCTGGGATGTCACTGAATTTAGCAGCCAGATCATAGCAGTAAGGAGTCCTGATCCCCTCCCAGACCCATAAATGAGGAGCCAAAGGCAGACCCAGTCCCTTCCTCCTGGCTAGGCTGAGGGTCTTTCACCAAGTTGTGAATTGGGAAGGGAGTCCAAAAAAGGAGTTAATGTCTTAGAGCTTTCAGTGAAAGGTGTATAAAGCAAAGCTGCCTTCAGGTTCAGCATAGGGTGGAGAGAAAGCCTCCTCCCTGGAGTGAAGGACCAGCTCAGAGACCCATTCAGTGTTTGGGGAGAAGGGGGTTGTTGACAGATAGTTGTCTTCCAAACTTTCGCCTCAACGAACACAGCCCCAAAGGAGGCAGACCTTTGTATTGCCAACTTCCCAAAGAGCACACAAGAAAATAGGCCAAGGCTGCCCAAAACCAGCTTGACTGGTTCTACAGAGAAGCCCCTGGTCTGCTCCGCCTTCCTCATGTTAAAAAGAAAAAGGCCAAAAAGGTGGCTGGGAGCCAGTCACTGAACACAGCCCTCCTCTCTTTCTGCCAGGCACCAGTTGTCCCTCAGGATCACCTAGCCACCAGTATCAGTGTCCATCTCCCCTCCTCTCCTACCAAATCTTCTGTTCATTTAGTTTTATAAGCCTAAAATTAATGATTTGGTGTAAAAAGGAAATGAATTTACTTTTGCCCTTTTTGCCATTTTCTAATGAGAAATGTAAGGAATAACTGCAAGTAGGGGGAAATAAGTGCCAACCCAAAGACAGACATCTGCGGAAAGAACCACCACAGGGACTGACAAACCTTATTTATCTTGAGATGGGGTCTCACTCTGTTGCCCAGGCTGGAATGCAGTGGCATGATCACAGCTCACTGCAGCCTCAACTTCCCAGGCTCAAGTGATCCTCACATCTCAGCCTTCTGAGTAGGTGGGATACACGCATGTGCTACCACACCCAGGTAACTTTTTAAAAATTTTTTTGGGCTGGGCGCGGTGGCTCCCGCCTGTAATCCCAGCACTTTGGGAGGCCGAGGTGGGTGGATCACGAGGTCAGAAGATCGAGACCATCCTGGCTAACAAGGTGAAACCCCGTCTCTACTGAAAATACAAAAAAATTAGCCGGGTGTGGTGGCGGGCACCTGTAGTCCCAGCTACTCGGGAGGCTGAGGCAGGAGAATGGCGTGAATCCGGGAGGCGGACCTTGCAGTGAGCCGAGATCGTGCCACTGCACTCCAGCCTGGGCGACAGGGCAAGACAACGTCTCAAAAAAAAAAAAAAAATTTTTTTTGGCCAGGCGGGGTGACTCATGCCTATAATCCTAGCACTTTGGGAGGCTGAGGCAGATCACGAGGTCATGAGTTCAAGGCCAGCCTGACCAACATGGTGAAACCCCATCTCTACTAAAAATACAAAAATTAGCGGGGTACAGTGGCGTACACCTGTAATCTCAGCTATTCAAGAGGCTGAGACAGGAGAATCACTTGAATCCGGGAGGCGGAGGTTGCAGTGAGCTGAGATCGCACCACTGCACTCCAGCCTGGGCAACAGAGCAAGACTCCGTCTCAAAAAAAAAATTTTTTTTTTGTAGAAATGAGGTCTCACTATGTTGCTCAGGCTGGTCTTGAACTCCTGGGCTCAAGTGATCCTCCTGCCGTGGCCTCCCGAAGTGCTGGGATTACAGATATGAGCCACCACACCTAGCTTGAGAAACTTGAAACATTCCAGACAAAAACAGATATGAAGATAAAGGGATCTAGCCTATTTATACTTATCAGAGGAGGAGATGTCTAGAGGGCAAGAGGAGGAACTGGGATGCCTCCTCCTCTGAGACACAACTGGAAATCAAGAGGCCAGATTCTCTCTGGGTGCTGTTTAGAATCAGCTGTACTATCTCAGTCTAAAAGATAAGCAATGATGCCGGGCGCGGTGGCTCACTCCTGTAATCCCAGTACTTTGAGAGGCCACGGCAGGCGGATCACTTGAGTCCAGGAGTTCAAGACCAGCCTGGCCAACATGGTGAAACCCTATCTCTACTAAAAATACAAAAAGTGGCCAGGCATGGAGGTGCGCACCTGTAATCCTGGTTATTTGGAAGACTGAGGCATGAGAATCGCTTGAACCCAGTAGGTGGAGGTTGCAGTGAGCTGAGATCCTGCCACTGCACTCCAGCCTGGGTGACCAGAGCAAGACTGTCTCAAAAAAAAAGACGAGCAATGACCTTCAATGGCCTATAACAAAAAGGAAGGGGGCGGGTGGCAGTAACATTCTGCTCAGGAGTTAGCACTTTCAGGGTTAACCTGGGGATAGCCTGGCTCTCCAGCAGTGGGAAGAGGGTGACTTCCTCCCCCACAGGTTTGTAAAGGCTTACTCTTCCCTTTGCAGAGACAGAAGGGAGAAAATGCATAGACAACACTTCAGTGACTCACTCATGTTTGATGAAAGCTGGGAGGAGGCCTGGAGAATCCAAGCTACAAGCACAAAACGTACAAATACTGGAATCTCCCATCAAGAGAAGGAAATTTAGCCACCTATCTGGTTTGTCATTTTGCTGAACTTCCACTGAAGGAGGAAGGGCCAGCTTTAAACTCCACCCACCCTTTCCACATCCTTCTCAATTTTTGCTTTGATGGGAAAGTGGGGAAACTGGCGGCCCCACCATGGCTAAAAGAGAATCAAATCCTTTCTATACTTCCTCTCAAAGCAGAGGCCTAGTAGCTCCAGTCCACAGCTTAACCAAGCAGAGGGAATAGGGGCTTGTCCTGGTTACTGTAGGAAAGCCTCATCAGGCAGTCTCAGGGAAGGAAGATGACCACCCTCCTCACCCTTTCCATCTGCTGAGGTTACTTCATTCCAATCCATTAATGGGCTTCAAAGTGCTGCTGGGGGGAGTCCATTTAGCAGAGAAGCTATCACGGGGCCAAAGGTGGCGCCCACCCCCTACCCCATTTGTCGATAATGGGCCACAAAGTCTGAGGCTTGGCTGCACTCTAGACATAAAATATTCATTCAAGTCGACATAATACATAAGTAGGAACCTCATGGAAGCTCCTGGGAGAAGAGAAATGCCAGCCAGGTGGCTAAGTGCTCAATGGGAAAGAGTTCATGAAGGCCTGGGTTAGTCCTGATCAAATGCCCACTGAGAATTGGGTTGTTCTGTCCAAAGGGGAAACAATCTAGTCTGAGAAGTTCTGACTCCCAAAAGCTCGAACCCTGCAAACCTCTTAGGCAAGCAAAGTCTCAATCTTTTCCTACCTCATAGGCACCAACTCTGCTTAGGACATTTATGCTGAGAAAAATCTCCAGCCCAAACTTTGGTTGGTCTGAAAGATTAAGTTATCCTTGTGCAAACTTTATTTTAATCTGCAGCAGGCCGAGTTTCAACAACTGTCTTATATCCATCTGTTTAGCTACTTTCCGAAGTCCATAAATTGGAGAAAAGTAATTTTTTTTTTCTGAGATAGTGTCTTGCTCTGTCACCCAGGCTGAAGTGCAGTGGCACAAACACAGCTCAATGCAGTCTCGACCTCCCCAGCTCAAGCCATCCTCCTGCCTCAGCCTTCTGTGTAGCTGCAACCACAGGCATGTGCCACCATGCCCAGCTAAATTTAAAAAAATTTTTTTGTAGAGATGGAGTCTCACTTTATTGATCAGGCTGGTCTTGAACTCCTGGCCTCAAGCAATCCTCCTGCCTTGGCTTCCCAAAGTGCTAGGACTACAGGCATGAGCCATGGTGCCTGACCAGAGAGAAATTATTCTAATTTACTAGGTACAGTTACTTTTCAGATTCAAAGGTTACGAACTCCAAGGACTCCCAAAGCCCTTGCTCTAACAACACTTCCTTCCTGATCTCTAGGGCCAAGCCGAAAGTGACACTATTTGGTCTGACATTCACCCACATTCCTGACCAGAAGGCAGCACCACCAAGGACCCCCTGGCCAGAATCAAAGGACAGAGTGAGAATTAGCACCAGGGCACACTGCTGCACAGCTCAGAGTGTGGACTGAGATGCTAGCTAGCCGATCCAATCTACCTAAGTTACACCAAAAGCAAAAAAAAAATATTTATCCAGCAGATCACCTGAGGTCAGGAGATCGAGACCAGCTTGGCCAATATGGCAAAACCCCGTCTCTACTAAAAATACAAAAATTAGCCAGCATGGTGGTGGGCGCCTGTAGTCCCAGCTACTCCCAGGAGGCTGAGGCAGGAGAATCGCTTGACCCGGGAGGCGGAGGTTGCAGTGAGCCGAGATCGCATCGCTACACTCCAGCCTGGGCGACAGAGCAAGACTCTGTGTCAAAAAAAAAAAGAGTTTTATATATATATATATTTTTATCCAGAATCAACAATGGGGGTCCAGTGAGAGTGTTTGGAGTAGTTCAGCTGTTCCTTATAGGATCTTGTAACTTTGTTTTCTTCACCAGTACTTCTAAACTCCCCTTCCTAGAACTGAGAGAATAAACAATGCCGCTCACTGCCTAGAAGCCTGACAGCAGCCCCCTCCCTTCCCACTGCAGCAGAAGTGGGGCAAGTTTTCTCTCAATCCCTCTCTCATAGTTTCTGAGGCCCAGAGGTGGGGCAGGTCCCAGATGGAGTAGCCTCTCCCCCAGGTGTTATGGAAAACTCTAGCAGGTGAACTCTGGAAGCTGGACCTTTCTCCAGGCTTGCCTGTGACTGCTGCTGCTGGCTGGAAGACAAACAGTCATCTTGCTGATTGCTTTCACAACTGCCAAGCTTCAGGCCAGCAGAGTCATTTGGAAAAGAAGTGAACAAAAAGCTCAGCTCACAAACTAAGAATCCCCCAAGCTACGAGCCCCAGATTAGAACCCTCCTTCTGCAAAAGCAGGAAGTCTATGGCTGTGAAAAAGCACATCTGGAATCAGGTGTCACAAAAACCATCTTAAAGACAGGGCTTAACTTTTTTTTTTTTTTAATCTCCTACTTTCACTGTTATAAGCGAAGTGGACAGCACACAGGCAATCTCCCTGTAACGCAAGGTTTATTTTTATGCTTCAACATTTTCAGTGTCTGTGTGTTTCAGAGTGATTAAAGGGCTCCTGGAAACAGGTTCTCATCAGCCACATTTTTAAAGAAGAGGGAGAGGAAGAGCAAGAAAAGAGACTGGAGACAACCAGTGGTGTTTGTTTACCTATTTTCTGGTAAAACCAGTTTTAAATTTAAATAAGGTGACAGAGGACCTTTAGGGGAGGAAATCAGCCCAACTAAATCCCCTTTTTAAAAAAAATAACATTAAGACTATAGTAATGACCAAGCTTCCATGACTACTTTATCTAAAATCACAACAGGACCAAGAAGAGGTTTCTTTCACTTGGTGGCATGATCTATTCTCGGAGGCCAGTGTTTGATATACCTGGCCTTGTGACCTGAGGAGCTGCTGCTTGTCTTTTTTCCCGTTTTAAAGAATACAGGAATCAGGCCCGGCGCAGTGGCTCACACCTGTAATCCCAGCACTTTGGGAGGCCGGATCACGAGGACAGGAGACTGAGACCATCCTGGACAACATGGTGAAACGCTGTCTCTACTAAAATCCAAAAAATTAGCCGGGCGTGGCGGTGTGTGCCTGTAGTCCCAGCTACTCAGGAGGCTGAGGCAGGGGAATCGCTTGAACCCAGGAGGCGGAGATTGCAGTGAGCCAAGATTGTGCCACTGCACTCCAGCCTGGCGACAGAACGAGACTCTATCTCAAAAAAAAAAAAAAAAAAGAATACAGGAATCTGTCTGGAATAGGTGCATCCAAGGTTTTCCAAAGTCCCTGCTTTTACTGGAATGAGACTTAATATTAAATCGATACAGTGACTGGCTACCCTGAGAACAACAGTAGAAGGTATGAAGGGGCTAAGGAGAATCTAAGTCCATAAAGAGTAGAAATAGGATGGGTAATTAATAATCCTAACAGGATGACAATGTATGCAGCTACTGCTCTGGGCAAAGTTATCAAAGAGCAAAGAGCTTACTTACATTCCCAAATGGTCACTGATTGCTGCTATCATGGAATCAGTGGATGCACACTACGGTGGAATTCCTACTATATGCTCAGCAGTATGCTAGGCATGTAAGGAAGAAAGGAAATCAACACACACATCACAGGAAAAATACCATGGCAATAATACATTTACATGTAGTAAGCAGCACAAAGAAACCACACTGAGGCAGTCTGTTACTCTGCTCTGCTGAACACAATGCCCCCCACCAGCCTCACTGAGAGTAGGCACTCCATCGCCACTCCCCAAATGCCTGAGGGTGCCAGTCAGTCACTTGGCCTCCTCCTACCAGCTCACGATCAACAGTCTGGGAAAGTTCTCTGGTTAAGCAGGGTTTACCTGCTAAAACAAAGGTTGTGAGAGGAAAATGGGTGGAATAAGCAACCTCAAGAGGGCCCAGAGAAAGCAATTCCCAGTAAGGAGAGAGAAACAGCCGGTAGGCAAGGGAGAGAAAGACTGCGAGACACAGAACATGCTCCTCTGTCTCCAAAGACCCCTGTCCCATGCAGAACCAGCTGCCAAACCCAGTGATGAAATGGAAATCAACCATCCCTCCCTCTCAACCCCTATTTCACCCCCAGAAGCAAATAATCCACAAGTAATAAAAGGGTCAACCCTGCAGAGAAAAACTCTGCCTAGAACTTCTCTTTAGTTCCTAACTGCCCAGGTGACAGAGGGCCAGGGGGTAACAAAATAGAAAAACACAGTAAAAGAAAGGAGGTAAGATTTTTCAAAGAAGAATGTTCACATGCAAGAGAATACAACAACTGCTCTACCGGGCTACAAAGAAAGAAGGGAGTAAGAGGGAAACATAAAGGATGGAAGGAGGGGAAAGAAGGCAAAAAGCACAGCAGCCCCGGGGCAGAAGCACTTCTTTTTCAAGTCAAGTTTTTTTGGCCTAGTAAAGTTCTCCACCAAGAAAGGTATGACAGGCAGGGGACTCTGCACAGAGCAGTCAGCAAAGGACGCTAGAGATGGTGAAAGAAAGGGGAGGTGTGGAAAGTGGACGTCTCTGGGATCAAAAGTGAGATGACACAGAAAGGCTAAGACTTGGGTGAAAAACATAGCAGTGACTGCCAGGATGAGGGGGACCGTGTAGAGTCGTGAGGCTGAGGTGTAGCTCAAGAAACTAGCATGCAAAACACCTGGACTTCCTGGGCATTACAGAGACTTAGCCAATAGGAACAGAATGGATCCAAGCACGGTGTGGGGATACACAGGACATGAAGAAGGCAGGAGACTAATGCGGAGATGAAAGGCAACGCTGATTAAAAGGCACAGTAAGGAAGATGGGGTGAGGGTGGAGAAACAGGAAGGCAACAAGCAAGAAAGAAAATACTCTAAGTGCCAGGCACGGGAGTGAAGACACAGAAAGTCATCATGGTTTGTGTTCCAGCGTACGAAGACAGAAAGGCAAAAACTGTGATGCAGCGAGGTCTGGGAAAGGACTGAGCAACAGGTTGTGTTAATACGGTGGGGCCAAGTGTCTTTGGGTTGGGAGAAAGAGCCCAGTAGAAGGCTGGTAGAACACTCACAGAGAGAAACAAGAGGCCCAGGGACCTAAAAGCCAAACCCGAGGGGAAGAGAACAAGAGGGATCCAAAGACTCTGAAGGGAGTGATGATTGGAACCCCAAACGCAACCTGTGGGAAAACTATGCGCATGACAGCTGTGGGGAAACACGGAAGCGACAAATGCCAGCGCCAGGATCCAGGGAGCTCCTGGAGCAAAGAAGGGAAAGTGATGAGCAAAGAGTAGGCGAAGGATTTGGAAAGGTGATGAGGGTGGAGCTGGTGGGTTGCAAGCAAGAGGGAGAGCACAATTTGGAAAACGAAGAAGCAGGGTAGAAAAAGCTGGGGGAACTGCAAGGGGCCAGGGATCGAGAGCGCAGTCCAGGGCAAGGACCCTGAGGGTGATAACCCAGAGACTGGCAGAACCGGTGCGGGCGGAGGGGAAGCGAGGCAGGAGAGACGAAGGGAGAGGTGGACAACGATCTGTGGCAAATCGCGGGGTGCTGCTATTCGAGGAGCGGGAGGGTGGCTGCTTTAAGCGTGGGTGGAGGAAGACCAGAAAGGCCCCTGAGAGAAAAAGGGAAGAGAAAGGGAAGCTGGGGAGGTGACACGGAAGAGCGCAGGAGGGCGGTGAGGGGAGACGGGGGTTGGCAGAAAGACAAGTGTGCAGCTTGGAGTCAGGACGAGGTGGGTCCCAGGTCAGGACTCGGAAGCGGGATGTGCGGAGCCGGAGCCAGGAGCCGGATGACAGGGCAGCCGAGGCTTGCAGGATGGCAGCAGGGGCACGAGGAGAGCAGAAGAGGGAGGAGGCTCCGCAAGGTGCAAAGGGCCCAGCCAGAGAATTCGGGGAGCCCTCGGGGCTCCTTACCTGCTCCGTGTCCCTCTCGTTCAGCGTGGGTAGGGGGGTCCGAGCGCTGGACATGGCGCCGGTATCTCGGGGGAGGGAACCGAGAAGCTTGGAGGAAGGGAGGGAAGGGAAGGCGCGGAGCCCGGCCGGGCGGGGCTTCTCACAGCAGGAGCACCCGCCGCATGGGCCCCGGCCGGGGGTGCGGGGAGGCCGGGCAGCCGCTCACGCCAGCCCGGGGATGCGCCGCTCGGGCTAGGCCGCGCCGGCTCCGAGCGGCTCCGGACCGCACCCCCCCGACCCCCGGCTGGGCTGTGCCGCCTTTCGGCCGGGCCGCGCCGCTCCGCCTACTCTCTGCCGCCGCAGCCGGCCGCCTGCCTCGCTCCTCCCCTGCCCTCAGCGGCACTGCTCCGCGCCCGGCACACAGGCAGCCGCCGCCGGACCTGCTGCTCCCAACATGGCCGCCACCACCGCCGGCCCTCGGCTCTTTTCGCCGGCAGCAGCCGGAAACATCCGAAGCGGCTAGAAACGGGAGGTGGGGCGCGCCTTCTCCTCCCGGCCACAGACTACGGGTGAATTCCGGAAACAGCCGAAGAAGGTAAACCCCGGGGACGCGCTCTCCTCCTCGATTCCGAAGACGAAGCTTCGGCTCTGTTTACGGAAATCCACGAAGCGACCCCGGGTGCCTACCCCCCGCCCCCGTCCACGGCCATCCAGCCACGCCCACCGGCCTTTCCCCGCCCACTTCAAGGGGGCTTTCGGCAGTTTCCGGAAATACCCGAAGCTGCTCCGCGTGCTGAGCCGGCCACGCCCCCTCCCACAGCCCTGCCGAGGGCGGTCGTCGGCCATTTCCGGCAACACCCGAGGCCCTCCGAGCACCCGGTCGTTTCCCCGGGTGGCTCTCGGAGTCTGATTCGCTTCGTGTCTTTCCGTCAGTTTTCGGGCATTTTCAAACCTTGAACAGGAAGCGTGGGTCACCTGTCTGTGCTTGTGATTTGACTAAATACAAAACAAGATTGTTAGCCGTCCCTGTGATTGGCATCCTCTGGTTCTATAGCAGCTTCCTGTCTGCATTTCTGTCCATCTGTCGGTCAGCTCATAAAATTCATCTTCTTTTTATCATCTAGCCTATCAATATACCTGTCAAATGCAGCATCAGTCTATTGCCTGTCTGCCACCGTCTATCTTGGCTTCTGTGGATTCATCCGTGCATTCCCGCATCTAGTCCGCAGGGCTCGGCAAGGCCCCAGGCAGGCCCAGGGCAGCGTCCTCTGCACCGGATGCGGGAGCGTCCAGGGCCCTGCATTTCAGCCCCAGCTCTGCCAAGTGCCAATGCTGCGTGATCTTGGAAAAATCACATAACATCACTGAGTTTAGGCTCCTCTTTCCTTTGCCTTTGCTCCTGCGTTGACATTCAAAATGACATTTCTGAATTCCAGTTACCTTTTAAAATGCCTCTGCAAGATAAGGCATTTAAAGTTTCTTTTCTTTCCTCCTCTGGGCCTCATTTTCCCCATCAGTAAAGTGAAGCCATTGGATTCATGAACTCGGAGGTCCTTCTCAGCTTTGGAGAGCCCTTGACTAACAGGAAGTCTGTATGGCAACTGCAGTCCATTCCTCACTTCCCCTTACACTGCGTTACCAAGGACAGGGAGTATCCTGGGCTGATTTCCCCAGCGCCAAGCTGTCCTCACCCATAGTACCTGGAACACGTTGGAACCACACCCTCCCATCAGTGGCTTAAGGTGGGCAGGAGGCAGAGGCCCCGCAGGAGTCAGAAACCAGACTCAGGCAACAGGTTCCCAAAGGTACAGGAGCAGAGAGGCTCCAGGAGTTATTGGGAAAACTGCTGATTGGACCCCTGCTACTTGACCTCCAACTCCCAGCTACAGCATCTTGAGCCAGCCTTCATCCCATCAATCAGAGAAATAGGCATCTGAGCAGATGTAATTACCAGGGTATGAAAGTACTTCCTAAGGCAACAGGTATCACTACACTCTTAGTAAATCCTGGGACTTCAGCACTGCTCCCCATGCCCCATACCAGCTCTATTCAGGCACCCAACCGTTGAGGAAGAAGGTGAAGGCACACCCATGAAGGTGAGGGAAAGAGAGAAGAGGAGGACAGAGAACACCTCACTCCCCAACCCAAATTCGATCCTTGAGAATCATCTGCCCTCTGGTGGCCAAAGGGAGACACGTTGCTGATTCCTGTGCCTGGTATCACCTCTAATGCCAGGGTCTGGAAAGCAGGGAAAAGAGAGAGGAAGCAGTTGGTGGTTGGTGTTCCAGCAGTCTCTCCCTGGTCCACACTCTCGTCTAAATAGACTCCATCTTCTCCAAGCTTCTCACTCTAGCTCTAACCCCTGCCTCACCCCTGCCCTTTGACCTTCATCCCCAACCCCTACCCTACCTATCCTTTCTCTTCCTTGCTAGCTTTGCACAAGGCTGCTGAGCTTGTCTCCCCGCCTAGACTCCCTCCAACCTACTGCACCAGACATGTCAGAATAATCTTCCCAAAGTCCAGCTCCAATAACATCTCTGCTCTGCTAGAAAGCTATCACCAGCTCCCTCACTGGTTATAGGCAGGGCTGGCTTCTTGGGCCCACGACCCCATGCAGTCACACAGAGCCCTGTGCTCAGGTGGACCCTGAGCTTGGATTAATGCTCTGCTGTCACCATCTTGAAATTTTTTTTTTTAAGACTGAATCTCGCTCTATCTCCCAGGCTGGAGTGCAGTGGTGCGATCTCAGCTCACTGCAACCTCCACCTCCCAGGTTCAAGTGATTCTCATGCCTCAGCCTCCTGAATAGCTGGGATTATAGGTGCCCACCACCACACCCGGCTAATTTTTTGTGTTTTTAGTAAAGACAGGGTTTCACCATGTTGGCCAGTTTGGTCTAGAACTCCCAACCTCAAGTGATCCACCTGCCTCGGCCTCCCAAAGTGCTGGGATTACAGGCGTGAGCCACCACGCCCGGCCCATTATCTTGAAATTTTTGACCAAGGGGGCCATGCATTTCCATTTTGCACTGTGCCCCACAAATTATGTAGCTGGTCCTGGCTGTAGGAAAAGCCTTTAGCCTGCATTTAAAACTTTGCTCAATCTGGCCTCACATTGCCTTACAATAACCTCTCCAACTATCACTGATCACACTTCTCCCTAACTCCTACCCCGCTGCCAGTCTCTCTCACTTCCATGCCTTTGGTCAAGCTGATAGATGATTGCCCATCATCCACCTCAGCTTCCAGAACCACTTCAAGATCCAGTTCAAATCTCACCTACTCAAATCCATGAACCCTCCTAGTTCTCCTCAAAGATGAATTATTGCCACACATTTACCCCCTCTCTAAATCTGCAAATTCATTTATTCATTCAGCAAATCCCTACTGAGCACCTACTATGTGCAAGGCATTGTTTTAGGCTTTTAGGTAGATCAGTGAACAAGATAAAGATCTCTGCCTGCCAGGCGCGGTGGCTCATGCCTGTAATCCCAGCACTTTGGGAGACCAAGGTGAGGGGATCATGTGAGGTCAGGAGTTCGAGACCAGCCTGGCCAACATGGTGGAACCCCGTCTCTACTAAAAAAAGCACACAAAAAATTAGCCAGGCACGGTGGTGGGCGTCTGTAATCCCAGCTACTTGGGAGGTGGAGTCGGGAGAATCGCTTGAAACCAGGAGGCAGAGGTTGCAGTGAGCCGAGATCACCACGCCACTGCACTCCAGCTTGGGCAACAAGAGAGAAACTCTGTCTCAAAACAAAACAAAACAAAACAAAAAAAAAACAACTCTGCCCTTGGGGAGCTTACTTTTCATTTTGAGGAAGACATACAACAAACAAAAGAGTCAGTATTAAGTGATATCAGAAAAAAACAGAGCCAGTTAAGCCAGGATTACAGGGGTGAGAGGGTGGAAGACAAGCTACAGTACTGAGGGGGTTCATGAGCCCTCACTGAGAAGGTGACACTTGAGTAAAATCTTGAAGGAGACCGGGCGTGGTGACTCACACCTGTAATCGCAGCACTTTGGGAGGCTAAGAAAAAAAAAAGACTTGAAGGAGGTGAAGGCATGAGCTCTGCAGACATCTAGGGGAAGAGGAACCCAGCCAGAGGAGCATACCTGGCCTGTTTGAAGAGCAAGGGGCCAATGAGCCTGGAGCAGAGTGAGTGAGGAGGTAGGTGTGTGGCGACGGGAACCAGGCCTGGTGGGCTACCGTTGTGGTTTTCCCTGGGAGTGGGATGAGTTGCCGCCGGAGTAACATGATCTAACTGGCTGCTGGGCTGAGAACAGAGTGAAAGGGCATGACAGAAGCAGACCCGGGGCACTAGCAAGGAGGCTTTTACAACAATTCAAGGGAGAGATGCCAGTGGCTTGGGGCCAGGCAGCAGCAGTGGAAGTAGTGAGAAGTGATCAGATTTGGGACATATTTGAAAGGTACAGCCAACAGGCTTTCGGATGGGTTGGGGTTATGAAAGAGGGGAGTTAAAGACGATTGCAGGCTTTCCCGCCTGAACAACTGAAAACAAAACACACACAGAGAGTAAAACTGCCGGGAGGTGTTGGCATTCAGCGGGCCCTTCGGGGCGACAGACTTTCCATCCTAGAACCATGACCTGATTTGTCCACCACCTCGCCAGAGAAGGCCCTGGTACTGGTGAACGCTGCTGTGACTCAGTTGAAGCCTTGATTGGCCACATTTCAGTACTACGCCGAGGTGGAGTTGGTTCCTCCAAACCCTGCTGAGATCCCTAGAGTTATTCAGGGCCTGGAAAAAAAAGTCAATAGCGCTCAAACTGGTAGCTTCAAACAGCTCACAGTCAAGGAAGCTGTGTTGAATGTTTCAGAGGTCACTGGGGTGTGGATGTGGTTTTATGTCACAGAGATCATAGGTGAGTGTGGCATCACTGGCTACAATGTTTGAAGATCCATCTTTAACATTTGATTTATATTTGATTTATGATTTGACTGTTCTTAGACCATATGTGATCAGACTACTATCTGAATAAAATGTGTCAAAAATTTTAAATTTAAAAACATTTCAAATTTTAAATTTATTTATTTACGTATTTATATATTTATTTTTTTGAGATGGAGTCTCCCTCTGTCTCCAGGCTGGAGTGCAGTGGTGCAATCTTAGCTCACTGCAACCTCCACCTCCAGGATTCAAGAGATTCTTCTGCCTCAGCCTCCTGAGTAGCTGGGACCACAGGCGTGCGCCACCACGCCTGGCCAATTTTTGTATTTTTAGTAGAGACGGGGTTTAATCATATTGGCCAGGCTGGTCTCAAACTCCTGACCTCATGATCTGCCCACCTCGGCCTCCCAAAGTGCTGGGATTACAGGCGTGAGCCATGGCACCTAGCCCTTTTCTTAAAAAAATTAAGGCCTGACCCGGCATGGTGACTCATGCCTATAATCTCTGCACTTTGAGAGGCTGAGGTGGGTGAATGAATTGCTTGAGCTAAAGAGTTCGAGAGCAGTCTGGGCAACATGGCAAACCCCCGTCTCTACAAAAAATACAAAAAATTTGCCAGTAGTCCCAGGTACTCAGGAGGCTGAGGTAGGAGGATTATACCTGAGCCTGGGAGGTCGAGGCTGCAGTGAGCTATGATCACACCACTGCACTCCAGCCTGGGCAACAGAGTGAGACCCTGTCTCTAAATATTAATAAATAAATAAAATAAAAGCCAGGTGTGATGGCTCACGCCTGTAATCCCAGCACTTTGGGAGGCCAAATTTGGTGGGGGGCATCCCTTGAGTCCAGGAGTTTGAGACCAGCCTGGGCAACATAGGGAGACCCCTGTTAGCTAGGCATGGTGGCACAACTGTAGTCCCAGCTACTTGGGAGGCTGAGGTGGGAGGATCACTTGAACCCAGGAGGTTGAGGTTGCAGTGAGCTATGATTGCACTACTGCACTCTAGCCTGGGCAACAGAGTAAGACCCCCTTTTCCCTTTTGTTTCTTTTTTCTTATTTTCTTTTTCCTTTTCTTTTCTTTTTAGATGGAGTCTTGCTCTTTCGCCCAGGCTGGAGTGCAGTGGCACCATCTCCACTCACTGCAACCTCTGCCTCTTGGGTTCAGGTGATTCTCCTGCCTCAGCCTCCCAAGCTGGCATTACAGGCGCCTGCCACCATGCCCAGCTAAGTTTTGTATTTTTAGTAGAGATGGGGTTTCACCATGTTGGCCAGGCTGGTCTTGAACTCCTGACCTCAGGTGATCCGCCTCCCCTTGGCCTCCCAAGATGCTGGGATTACAGGCGTGAGCCACCATGCCTGGCCAGAGCTGTTCCTTTACTAGCTCTGGAATGGCAGGCAAGTCACTGCATTCATCTCACTGTACCTCAGTTTCCTCACCTGTATAATGGGCACAATATGAGGTGATCTGTGATGAAGCCAGGGTAGGTGTCCTGTCTGTACCCCATAGTTTCTAACAGTGCCTGCCCATGGGGTCCTTCACTGATGCTTGTGTGATCTAAGCAACACAGGGTGGTTACCCCATCTCCCATCACACACCTGCTTTTCCTGCTTCCTCTGCCCACCCCCACCAGATGTGGGGCTGGAGGAGATCCAAGCCATTGACATTGGTGTTGGGAACCCAAAGGCTGGCTCCTCTTCCTTCCTGGACGCTGGTACATTTGTCCTGAGAATGAGGGTGTTCTCTCTAGGGGAGAAAGGGACTGAGCAAATTTGGTGGCATGATGGCTCTGGGCTGAGGCACCTGGCTCCAGGGAGGTAGGAAGGCAGACACCCCAGGAGGTGTTGCAGTCCCTTCCCTGTCCCTGCACCTGCAAGCAGCCTCAGTAGGGTGCCCCCCTCCCAAGAGACTCCGATGGCAGAGAGGGTCTGCAAGCCCATTAGAGACCCTCTCCCATCCCAGCCCCCATCTTCTACCACACCTTAGGGGTGTGCAGGATTTTACAGTTTACAAAGGGCCCCAAATGCAGAGTCTCATTTGAGCCACACAGCAGCCCAGCTGTGTGTGGGGTGGAGGTGGGGGTGACTGCCGCATTTTCTGCAGAGAAACAGGAAGCTCAGATTGCAGGAGCATCTGCTAGAAAGCCTCAAGGCCTGGACCAGACCAGTGCCACCACTGGGGTGCGGCAGGGGCCCAGCCAGTGTCCCCCATTCCCATTCACACTCCCACATGCTCCAGTTTCTCTTCAAGGAGGGCAGGGGTGACTGTTCCCTTGTCTCAGACTGGCTTTGTCCCCAAGAAAGAGAGGATTACCAGCATTGTGATATAAAAAGACATATATATCGGCCAGGCTTGGTGGCTCACACTTGTAATCCCAGCACTTTGGGAGGCCGAGGCGGGTGGATCACCTGAGGTCAGGAATTCAAGACCAGCCTTGGCAACACAGTGAAACCCCATCTCTACTAAAAATACAAAAAATTAGCTGGGCATGGTGGTGGCAAGCACCTGTAATCCCAGCTACTTGGGAGGCTGAGGCGGGAGAATTGCTTGAACCCTGGAGGTGGAGGTTGCAGTGAGCCGAGATTGTGCCACTGCAATCCAGCCTGGGCCTCAAGAGCGAGACCCTGTCTCAAAAAAAAAAAAAAAAAAAAAAAAAAAAAAAAGACACCTGGGCGCAGGTGGCTCACGCCTGTAATCCCAGAACTATGGGAGGCCGAGGCAGGAGTTATCACGAGGTCAGGAGTTCGAGACCAGTCTGGCCAAGAGAACAGCCTGGCCAATATGGTGAAACCCCCCCACCCCCGTCTCTACTAAAAATACAAAAATTAGCTGGGCGTGGTGGTAGGTGCCTGTAATCCCAGCTACTCAGGAAGCTGAAGCAGGAGAATCACTGGAACCCAGGAGGTGGAGCTTGCAGTGAGCCAAAGATCATGCCATTGCACTCCAGCGTGGGCGACAGAGCAAGATTACGACTCAAAAAGAAAAAAAAGAGACATATATATCTGGTCTTCATCCGGGTTTCTGGTCCAGAACTAAAACTCTTGGAATTTCCTGAGTGATGGGGAGAGAGGAGCATCTTTTGTTATTCATAATGAGTCTCTTTTCACCACACCTGAGTTCACGCTAATGAGATGACTCTTGGAGGATGGGGCTGGTGGCCAGAGAAACCAACCACGTGATTAGGGGATTGCAACTTTCATCCCTACCCAAGACCTTGGGGAGGGAAGAGGGGCTGGAGATTGAGCCAATCACCAGTGGCCAATGATTTAATCAATCGTGCCTAATGAAGCCTCTATAAAAACCCTAAATAATGGGGTTTGGGAGGTTCCAGGTCAGGGACAGCACCCCATCCACATGCCAGGAGGGTGGCTCACTCCAACTCCACTAGGACAGAAGCTCCTGTGCTTGGAACCCTTCTGAACCTCGCCCTCAGTACCTCATCACCTGTTTGTTTATATCCTATGTAACATCCTTTATAAACAAGTAAATGTAAGTAAATGTTTCCCTAATTTTTTTTTTTTTTTGACAGGGTCTCATTCTGTCACCCAGGTTGGAGGGCAATGGCGTGATCTCTGCTCACTGCAACTTCCACCTCCTGACTTGAAGTGATTCTCCTGCCTCAGCTTCTAGAGTAGCTGGGATTACAGGTACCCGCAACCACGCCCAGCTAATTGTTGTATTTTCAGTAGAGACGGGGTTTTGCCATGTTGGCCAGGCTGGTCTCGAACTCCTGATCTCAGTTGATCCACCCGCCTCGGCCTCCCACAGTGCTGGGATTACAGGCGTAAGTCACCGCGCCCGGCCTGTTTCTGTGATTTTTGTGAGCCATTACAGCAAATTATCAAAACTGAGGAGGGGGTTGTGGGAACTTCCAAATTTGGGCTGGTCAGAAGTACAGGTGACAAGCTGGGACCTAGAACTGGTATCTGAAGCAGGGGCAGTCTGCTGGGACTGAGCCCTTCACCTGCAGGGACCGTGCTAACTCTGGGTAGTGAGTGTCAGAACTGAATTTTAGAACAGCTGGCTGGTGTCTGGAGAGTCGGAGAATTGATGTGGGCGCCCCCCTCCCCACTAACATTGGTGTCAGAAGTACTGGGAATGTAGAAAGTTTTTCCTTGTTAGGTATCCAAAAAGATCTCCCACACCTGGATCCCATGGAAGGCAGCTGGGAGGGCAGGAGGTGGCTGGCTTCAGAGAGCCAAGGAGGTCTGGGAAGTCAGGAAATGGGTGTGTGGCTCAGCAGTCAGGGG
This sequence comes from Homo sapiens, assembly GCF_000001405.40. NCBI lineage: Eukaryota > Metazoa > Chordata > Mammalia > Primates > Hominidae > Homo > Homo sapiens. Next base: position 63,830,420 of record NC_000011.10, on the reverse strand, counting down.
CAGCGGCACCCTCTTCCCCAACTTCTTCAACCAAACACATGGTTGGGCCACAGCACCACATGGATGAAGGTGCCACCACCAGCCCTGAGAGTCACCGACATTCGTGCAGAGCTTCCCTGGTGTTGCACCAGGATGCAGGACCAGCGTCACGGACTCCAAGCCGGTGTGGAGTAGGAAAGCCCTGGGCAATCCGTCAGTAAGGTCCTTCCAGCCTGGGCTGGAGTCATATCCTCAGCCCCACTTTCTCCAACTCTTTCCTGGAAGCCCAGAGGTGCCACACACAGCTGCTGGCCACACACACTCACATAGTCCCCAGGGCCCTGGCTGAGGCTGGGGAGACCCCTATTGGCCACAATGTGGGGATGAAGTTCCCACCCTGCACAGTCACTGTAGCAACCACCCTGTGCTGAGAACCACACTCCAGGGACCAACATGCACTAGAAAAATGTCACACAGGAATACACACTCAGAGGGCACTCGAGAAACATTTATTGAGCACCTACTATGTGCCAGGCCCCAGGCAGGACACTTGGAAAACAAAGTCAATACAACCTGGTCCCTGCCCAGGAGCTCACAGTCTAGAAGGCCAAGCCATTAATCATAGAACAGCAAAGGGGCATTTGGCTTCACAATTTTACAACAAACTTTTACATACGTTTTCTCAAGTGTAAACACCCAGCAACACAGCCATGTTGTTTTAAAAGCACATTGGCATAAATGTAAACACAAGTCACAGGATTGAAAGGATGAGAGAAAACCATTTGCAGTATTTGTGCTTGCAGAACCAGATTTTTAGCATTATTTATTCCCTCCTATCAGGTAGGATACAAGTTTTGCCAATCTGTGGATAATGGTGTTTGAGACATGGGAGTTCCGTGGCCGGCCTGCCTGCCTGCCATCATGCAGTGGGGGAGCCACACTAGATACAAGGCATCCTGAAGCCTTGGCCACTGCCTTCTGTCCACCACACCTGTCTTTTAATGTCCCCTAGACAAAGACCCTGTATATTTCTAGGCTCCTCCTGAGCTTATCAGATGGGGAGAAGGGATCATGTCCCAGGAGCCCACCAAGTCGTGAGATCCCTCATACCTGGCTTGGCACATGGTGACACCCCATCAGGTGAGCACACAGCACACGCTGCCCAGGCCCAGACCCTGCCTGCCCGAGATGAACTTCCTGGTTAGTCTCAAAATCTGGCAGTGTTGGCCGGGCACAGTGGCTCACGCCTGTAATCCCAGCACTTTGCGAGGTCGAGGTGGGTGGATCACCTGAGGTCAGGAGTTTGAGACCAGCCTGGCCAACATGACGAAAACCCCATCTCTACCAAAAAATACAAAAATTAGCCAGGCATGGTGGTGCACGCCTGTAATCCCAGCTACTCGGGAGGCTGAGGCAGGAGAATCGCTTGAACCTGGGAAGCAGAGGTTGCAGTGAGCCAAGATCGCAGCCTGGGTGACAGAGCAAGACTCCAACTCAAAAAAAAAAAAAAAAATGTGCCAATGTCAGCGTCCTACAGGAATAGCTGCCCTCCAAGTCCCACCTGTGCCCCCACTTCTCCTATGTGCACATTTGTCAGCATGTGCAGAGGTATACAGTCCTGCTTACCACACCTGCCATGGGCTCTAAACAGGACAGTACAGCTGGGGTTTGAGAAGGGGCTGCCTGTGTGCTCCATCTCACCAAAGGGAAAACCACGCACAGATCTGGCCCCTGTTGGTTTAGTTTAGGAAGGTAAGGAATCCGGTGAAGAGACCAAAAGTGGCCTCCTCATGATCCAGGGAATAGGGGAAACCAGCAAGTGTTTGGGTTTAATTAAGCCAAGGGTTGGGGGGGATGAAGGTGGACAGCTGAGGGTGCAGGCCTGTAGGGCTGGAAAAGGCGGGGCTGAGTTTAGGACCCCTGTGCCCCTCACCATCATACGGAAAGGGAGGAGAGGCATCTTTCTACCTGCAAGCTGGTTACCGCCATTTCACTTTAGAAAGCTCAGGATAAGCCGGGCGTGGTGGCTCACGCCTGTAATCCCAGCACTTTGGGAGGCTGAGGCAGGTGGGTCGCCCGAGGTCAGGAGTTCGAGGCCAGCCTGACCATCATAGTGAAACTCTGTCTCTACTAAAAATACAAAAAATTAGCTGGGCATGGGCATGGTGGTGGGTGCCTGTAATCCCAGCTACTAGGGAGGCTGAGGCAGGAGAATCACTTGAACCCAGGAGGTGGAGGTTGCAGTGAGCCGAGATCGCGCCACTGCACTCCAGCCTGGGCAGCAAGAATGAAACTCTGTCTCAAAAAAAAAAAAAAAAAAAAAAAAAGAAGAAAAGAAAAAGCAAGCAAGCAAGCAAGCAAGCTCAGGCTAATTCCCAGCTCCCTGGTTGTGAGCACCCCTGGGCTTCTACAGTGACCTCTTTTGGGCAGAGGCCTACCAGGTGAGCCAGAAGGTACAATGTTAAAGAAAATTGTTTCTGACCCCCTTTCCAGAGCAGAGAGGAAGGGAGGGGGTGAGACGCCCACAGGTGACTGATAGCACAAGTCAGCCCTCGTTCCTGGGCTCCACAGAGGCCTGCCCTGGTGCTGTCCCACCTTCAGGAGAGGTGGCTCCCTGGCTCCCCCCAGGACCATCTTCCAACCCTCCTGCCCCTCAGGGTTGCTCTAGGTGGCCAGGTATCCTGCTAGCAAACCCTCTCCCCCAATGATGGCCCAGACGGAACTCTTAATAAAAAAAAATAATTTATTGTCAACAAAGGTGATATATACAACAGGAAAACAGATGTAAATGAGAACGGGAGTGAATGGGGTGCCCAGGCCCAGCTTCAGGCCTCTGCAGGGGTGGGACAGGAAGAGGTAATGGAGGCCTCCTGGTTTAGAAGCCTGAACAAGTGGGGAGGAGAGGTGTCCCCCGAGGTAGTGGGACTCAGTTCAAACCCCCTTATGACCACTCTTGTGTAAGGCACTGTGCCAAGGGAGAATGGTGGGGAGCAGGGGGAGGGTGGGAGGAGGTCATGGGGGACAAACAGAGGTGGGGGTCAGCGAAGGACTGGGGTAGGTGTTCTCCACAGGCCCAGTGCCCTACTGCACAACAGCCTCAGCCACCCTCGCCGACCTCAGGCCTGGCCAGGAACAGACACTTTCCAGTGCCCCGAAATAACAGTGGATGCTGCCCCAGCCCCCTCCTGCCCTGGCACCTGTTTCTACTCTCTCCACCAGGTGGGTGAGCCAGGCAGCTCTGAGTTATAAGCCACTGGGGGACGCTGCCTCATCCCTCCCTCCCTCCCCAGGAAAGCAAGAATTTACACTCCATTCCCTTTTTCCGGCTTCCCTGCCACAGTGGTGCTGGATTCTGACAGAACTGTGGGCCAGTCTGAGGTGTCACCTGCTCCCACACGCTTGGTGCCCTGGGGGTGCCTGGACCAGTCTTGCAGGAGGCTGACCGCTGGGGGCTCCTCCATCCGCACGCGGATAACCTGGAGATCCAGTGTCCCGCGGAGCCCCGGAGGGGGAGCTGGGCAGGGATGAGAGCAGAGAGCAGTCAGAGCCCCCCAGACACCCCACCACGAGGATGCCCCCTGGAAGCTCCGCAAACTGTACCCACATTTCCAGGGCTTTCATTATGTCCACAGCCCAGTGCCTGGCATGAGGGGAAGCCCAAGGATGGCAGGGAGCTCCACTCCTGGGTGATCGAGGACTGCTGCCAGCTAGAAAATGAGGCGCACAGCCTCCCTAGGGACAAGCCAGCTGAAGCCAGGCAGCCTTCCTCCTGTGTGTATTTTGGCACAGGGACGCCTGGTGCTCGTGCCTCTTCCTGTAACTCCTACCTGCAGCCAACTCCATTTTATCTCAAACTTACTGGGCATCCTAGCCTAACGGGTTCTGCCTGAGTGGGGCAGAGGTGATGGGGTGGGAACACCCAGAAGCAGTCTAAGGCATAGCTGTGCCCACCAAGGAGCTCATGAGGGACTACGTGGGGGACAGAAAAGACCCCTGGCGAACTTCCACCAGGCTCTTTATCTCCTGAGTGTCAACACCTACATCACCAAGACCAGGTGTCCACCTTACCAGTATGGAGAAGGCACTCATAATGGGCAAAGCTGGGCCTCGAGGCAGAGGAAAGAGGACTGAGGACTGCCGTGGCTGCGTGCAGCCATAAAAAACGAGCACGCAACAGGGACGTGTGCAAAGGTTACGTTACATTAGGGCTGGGCATGATGGCTCATGCCTGTAATCCCAGCACTTTGGGAGGCCAGGGTGAGCAGATCACTTGAGGTCAGGAGTTTGAGACCAGCCTGGCTAACATGGAGAACCCCTTTACTAAAATACAAAGAAATTAGGCAGGCATAGTGGTGCACCCCTCTAATCCCAGCTACTCAGGAGGCTGAGGCGGGAGAGTCGCGTGAACCTGGGAGGTGGAGGTTGCAGTGAGCCAAGATCACGCCACTGCACTCCAGCCTGGGCAATAGAGTGAGACTGTCTCAAAAAAAAAAAAAGTTACATTACATTGAAAGGCAAAAACAGAAGATGGTGATTTCAACTACTGCACTGTCTATATTGGGAAGGATTTATTTGTGTGTGTTCCTTTTCTACCCTGTTTTTAGAGACACGATTATTTAAAATGTGGCACAGAAAACAGGTACAATTTTGCTGTGCGATGTGCTGGAATTTAAAATGACTTAGTGGCTGCCACCCCATTTTTATCACCTACCAAATGCTATTCTGTGTTCCCAGAACACAGTTTGTCTCCCTGATAAACTATAGGCTCCCTGAAGGAACACTGAACCCCATTTGTTCATTAATTTGACAATAATTTATTGAGTACTATATGCCCAATGCCGTTTGGATTGCTAGGGGTACAGCGGTGAATGGAGCTCCCTAAGTGGCCTTCTGGGACTTCACATTCTATTTATCAGAGCTAATAAATAGGATAAACAAATAAAAAATGCAGTATGTTATATATGGACAGATGCAAAGTAGCAAAGTACACCAGGGAAAGGAGATAGGATAATAGGATAGCAGAAAGCTGACAGGGGACCACAGACACAGAGGGAGTGAGGAGCCAGTGAGGCAGACAGGGAGGGAACAGCATTTTGAGCAGAGGGAGGAGCAAATGTGGATGCCCTGGTGGAGCACGCTGGCTTCCCCAGGAACAGCAAGGCCAGTGCCTGTGCGGGGAGCGGGATGTGGGGGGAGAGGTCAGGAGCCTGTGGGGAGCTCACTAGTCACCATGAAGGCTCTGGCTTTTATCTGGAGTGCAACAGGAGCAGCACAGAAAGGCCATGAGTAGAGGAGTGACTGGATCTGACTTGTGTTCTCAGCAGGGACACTCTGGCTGCTACAGGAGAGCAGAGCATAGCGGGCAAAGCTCAGCAGCCAGGAGACCTGGCTTAGGTTTGTTACAGGAACCAGGCGAGAGCCGGCCCTGACTAGGGTAGCAGCAGTGGATGTGGTGACAGCAGTGTGAGCTCTGAACTTGTTTTGGAGGATCGGCTGCTGGACAGATGCTGGGCTGGAGAAAGAAGAGGATGACTGTGTGGGTGTGGTCACAGCAAACTGAAGCCTGGGGCTGCCTGTTCACTGGGAAAGGGAAGATTGTGGAGTCTAGGGGTAGGGTGCATTGGTGAGACTGGGGGTTCAGTTTCAATGTGGCGAGTTTGAGATTTTTTTTTTTTTTTGAGATGGAGTCTCGCTCTGTCGCCAGGCTGGAGTGCGGTGGCACAATGTTTGAGATCTTTTAGACACCCATGTAGAGACGCCACCTGGGCAACTGGAAAAGAGGATGGAACCAGGAAGGAGCAGCCAAGGTGGGCATTATGAGCACACACATGTCATTGAAAGCTGTGAACCTGGATGAGATCTCCCAGGGAGCGAGTACCGACACTGACCCACGGCTGCGGATACTTAAGCACGTACTCATTCACCAAACACATAAGCCGGGCCTACGCTGTGCCAGGCACTGTTCTGGTTACCGCAGATATTATAGTGCAGGACGCAAACACCCTAACCTGCAGGCCCTTACATTCTAGAAAGGGAAAGGCAGACAATGATACGACGTGTTCCAACTCTGGGAGCTGAGAGTGAGCGGCAAGAGAAACTGAGAAGGAACAGTTAGTGAGGGAAGAGGAACACCAGGCGAGCAGCTGCCTGAAAAGCCAAGGGAAGAAAGTTGTCTCCAGGAAGGAGTGAGTGATCAGCCCACCGTAACCACGAGATCATAAAGAGAAGGACCGGCCAGGTGCAGTGGCTCATGCCTGTAATCCCAGCACTTTGGGAGGCCGAGGTGGGCGGATCACCCGAGGTCAGGAGTTTGAGACTAGCCTGGCCAATAGGGTGAGACGCCATCTCTACTAATAATACAAAAAAATTAGCCAGGCGTGGTGGCGCACGCCTGTAATCCCAGCTACTCAGGAGGCTGAGGAAGGAGAATCGCTTGAACTTGGGAGGCGGAGGTTGCAGTGAGCCAAGATTGCACCACTGCACTCCAGCCTGGGCGACAAGAGCAAAACTCCATCTCCAAAAAAAAAAAAGAAAAAGAAAAACAGGCCAGGTGCAGTGGCTCACGCCTGTAATCCCAGCATTTTGGGAGGTTGAGGCGGGCAGATCACGAGGTCAGGAGATCGAGACCATCCTGGCTAACACAGTGAAACCCCGTCTCTACTAAAAATACAAAAAATTAGCCAGGTGTGGTGGTGGGCGCCTGTAGTCCCAGCTCCTTGGGAGGCTGAGGCAGAAGAATGGTGTGAACCTGGGAGGAGGCGGAGCTTGCAGTGAGCCAAGATCACGCCACTGCACTCCAGCCTGGGCGACAGAGCGAGACTCCATCTCCAAAATAAAAAAAAGAAAAACACCAGCAAGACAGAGAGGCTCCTCTTTCCATTACTTGTCAGTGGGTCATTGTGGCCCACCTCCTCTCCTGGCCTGCACACTCTCCCCATCCTCCTCTGGCAAGGTCCTCAGAAGGTTCTAGAGTCTTCCTGGACTACCTCACATTCACATTCATCAGCTCAGCTAACCTGACCACAGGTGGCCTTTTCCAACTGTTAAATCCACGATTTTTACACCTCTAATTTTTTTTAAAGTGGCAGGATCTTTATTTAAATAAAGTCTTCAGAGAACTTCAATACGTACATAACAACACAGAAAGTAGAGACATTTTGGTCGAAGCCTCACAGGTTTCTGAGAAATCTGTCCAAGCTTTGGGTTCGTGAGATCGTCTGAAACCACAGGTCCAGAGCCTCTGCTCCGCAAAGAACCGCCACGGGGGCCCCTGGTTTTTAAAGATTTACTGCCTCCAGCCTATATACCTGGACACAGAATTTTGGGGGACAAAGGCTGTCTCACTCATGCCATCTCCCAGGGTGCCTCCCTCGGGCACAGGCTCCAGGAACACTTGTGTACCAGTGAGGTATCCTCTATGGTTTCCCAGGCATCTCCAACCTCCACGAAGGCTGCCACTGCTGACAACACCCTACAATTGCCTCCGCCCCCTCAGATCACTCAAGCAGCCTGCTGAAGCCCCTTCCTCTCAGACTTTGCCCACTCACCCCAAAGAAACCTAGAATCTCAGGGATTCTCTTCTCATCTACTCACCACTCCAGATAGATGGAGTTTGCGCACAGGGTACCCCAGGACTTGAAATGAGGGCTCCCTTTCGAGAATGAAATCAGAAGACCCATTAGACAGTGGAAGAGGTCAGCCATTTAGAGCAGGGATCCACCGGAGAGGACCAGGAGACTCGGGACACGCTCAAGTCCAAGCAGCACACTCGGTCTCAGGGAGCCAGGACTGGAATGTGACTCAAGCTGAAACTTGAGACAGTTAAAACTGTGATCTACGTGAAGGGGTGAGGCCTGCCTCGAGATCAGAAAACGGGGGGCTCAAATTTAGGCAAATAAACAAAAGCAACTACACACACACGCAAACACACAGAGAGCTCTCTCTGAAGGATACAAACCAAATTAAGAGTGGTATAGCAGTGAACACAAAGAAAAACTTTGTGAGGGGTGAGTGGAGTGTGACTAAAGGAGTACATAATACGCTGCCTTTTTTCTTTGTTTCTTTTTTTTTTTTTTTTTTTTTTTTAGACAGTCTAGCTCAGTTGCCCAGGCTGGAGTACAGTAGTACAATCTGATTGGAGTACAATCAGAATTTACTGCAACCTCAAATTCTTGGGCTCAAGTGATCCTCTTGCCTTAGCCTCTAGTCTTAGTAGGGACTAGAGGTGCACACCAACATGCCCAGTTAATTTAAAAAATTTTTCTAGAGATGGAGTCTCCTTATGTTGCTCAGGTTGGTCTCGAACACCTAGCCTCAGGCAATCTTCCCACTTTGGCATCCTAAAGTGCTGGGAATGACAGGTCTGTGAGCCACTGTGCCTAGCCAAGGCTTTTTTCTTTATGCAAAAAAGCACACCTGTCATCCCAGAACTTTGGGAGGCCCAGGTGGGAGGACTGCTTGCACCCAGGAGTTGGAGACTAGCTTGGGCAACACAGTGAAAACCTGTCTCTACAAAAAATTTAAGAATTAGCCTGGTGTGGAGATGCACACCTGTGGTCCCAGCTACTCAGGAGGCTGTGGCAGGAGGACTGCTTGAGCCTGGGAGTTTGAGGTTGCAGTGAGCTATGATGGCGCCATGGTACTCCAGCCTGGGCAGGGACTCTGTCTCAAAAAACAAAAACAAAAGCACACCTGCTTTTTGAGAGCCCTACTCTCAGGAGAGCCTCCAGCCACCTCGTTGGCCATCATTCTATGGCTCTAGTTTCAAACACACATTTCAGACAAGTTGGTACAAGGAGACGTGCACTCCTACCTATTCACTTCTTCAAGAAGCATTTCCTGAGCGCCTGTAAACTATGCTTGGCATGGAGAGGTGAACAGAGGACTAGGCTTGGTCTCTGCCCTGCTGGACTACATTCCAGTCTCATCCTAATTCTGTCTGCTGGGTCATGTGTGGTTGGCAGAATGATGCCCCTCACCCTAATCCCTGGAACCCGTGAATGTTTTGTTACATGGCAAAGGGGAATGAAGGTTACAGATGAAATTAAGGTTGCTCATCAGCGGACTCAAAAAGAGATTATCCTGGACTGAGTAGCCCAATATAATCATGAGGGTCCTTGAATGGGGAAGAGGCAGATGAGCCGGAACCCAGGACAGTATCTGAGAAAGACTCTACTAGCCACTGCTGGCTTTGAAGATGGAAGGAGGCCACAAGCCAAGAAATGCAGGCAGCCTCTAGGAGCTGGGCAAGTCAAGAAAATAGATTTTCCCCTAGAGCTTCCAGGAAGGAACACAGCCCTGCCAACAGCTTGATTTTAGCTCAGTGAGACCCATTTTGGACCTCTGACCTCCAGAACTGTAAAATAATAAATTTGGGTTTTGTTTTGTTTTTAGAGAGGGTCTCGTTCTGTCGTCCAGGCTGGAGTGCAGTGGTGTGATCATAGCTCATTGCAGCCTTGAACTCCTGGGCTGAAACAATCCTCCTGTCTCAGCCTCCCAAGTGGCTGGGACTACAGGCACAAGCGATGTGTGTTGTTTTTTTTTTTTTTTTTTGAGACGGAGTTTCGCTCTGTCGCCCAGGCTGGAGTGCAGTGGCGCGATCTCGACTCACTGCAAGCTCCGCCTCCCGGGTTCACGCCATTCTCCTGCCTCAGCCTCCCGTGTAGCTGGGACTACAGGCGTGCGCCACCATGCCCGGCTAATTTTTGTATTTTTAGTAGAGACGGGGTTTCACCGTGTTAGCCAGGATGGTCTCGATCTCCTGACCTCGTGATCCGCCCGTCTCAGCCTCCCAAAGTGCTGGGATTACAGGCGTGAGCCACCGCGCCCGGCCCGATGTGTGTTGTTTTAAGCCATTAGATTTGTGTGATTTGTTACAGCAGCAAATAGGAAACTGACATAAGGACCATGGGGAAGAAGGAACCATTTCTTTGAGAAATGGTTTTCCCTTTTGGAAAAAGGAATGGACATCTGCCCTTCTATACAAGTTATTTTTGTAAGGGCCAAATAAACTGTATGTAAGCTTCTTTTTTTTTTTTTTTTTTGGAGACAGAGTTTCACTCTGTTGCCCAGGCTGGAGTGCAGTGGCGCAATCTCGGCTCACTGCAACTTCCACCTCCCAGGTTCAAGCAATTCTCCTGCCTCAGCCTCCCAAGTAGCTGGGATTACAGGCGCCTGCCACCACACCTGGCTAATTTTTATATTTTTAGTAGAGATGAGGTTTCGCCATATCGGCCAGGTTGGTCTCAAACTCCCGACCTCAGGTGATCTGCCCGCCTCAGCCTGCCAAAGTGCTGGGATTACAGGCGTGAGCCACCACGACTTGCCTTGTATGTAAGCTTCTTAAACTCAGTAGGAGCCCAAACAACACAAGCACTTACTGCTGTTATGAGGCAATTTACTGAGCTGGTGTCCCCTGGAGGTGTCTGTCCACTGCTCATCTTATCTATTCTCTGGACACCTAACTGAATTGCTGAGTGGCCCCATCTGGGCCTCAGCTCCACCAGGGTAAGGTGGGCACCCCTCAGGCTCTAGCTAGAACAAACTGCATGTGTGGAAATCAGTATCAGGCTTCTGGGAAACACTGGCCTACCCGGACCCAGTGACCAATTCCAGGAAACAAGGAAACACTAAGAAAAGCCCACCTGGTCAGGTGCGGTGGCTCACGCCTGTAATCCTAGCAGTTTGGGAGGCTGAGGCAGGTGGATCACCTGAGGTCAGGAGTTCGAGACCAGCCTGGCCAACATGGCGAAACCCTGTCTCTACTAAAAATACAAAAATTAGCTGGGCATGGTGGCACACGCCTGTAATCCCAGCTACTCAGGAGGGTGAGGCAGGAGAATCGCTTGAACCTGGGAAGCAGAGGATGCACTGAACCGAGATCGCGCCACTGCACTCCAGCCTGGGCGACAGAGCAAGACTCTTGTCTCAAAAAATAAAAAATAAAAAAATAGGCCAGGCGTGGTGTACTTTGCGAGGCCAAGGCAGTTGGATCACCTGAGGTCAAGAGTTTGAGACCAACCTGGCCAACATGGGAAAACCCTGTCTCTACTAAAAATACAAAAATTAGCCGGGTATGGTGGCGCACGCCTGTAATCCCAGCTACTAGGGAGGGTGAGGCAGGAGAATTGCTTGAACCTGGGAGGCAGAGGTTGTAGTGAGCCGGGCTTGTGCTACTACATGCCAGCCTGGGCAACAGAGCAAGATTCCGTCTCAAAAAACAAACAAACAGAAAAAGAAAAGCTCAGCTTTCAGGCCAGCCTTCCTCATCATTCAGATCCCCTGCCCCGGCCCCGTGTACCAGGAAACCTGAGCACCACCCACCCCACCCACCCCACCCACCCCTACTGTGGGCTCTGCCATAGAGCAGCCTCTCTGAGGCCTGGCCCAGGAGCGCTGCCTGCGAGGTCCCTACTGTGCTTCCCTCTCAGGAGGGCTCACCTGGAGAGGGGCTCTCCGCCCGGGGAAGGCCTCCTTCTGCCACTTCCCTGTCTTTGGGTGAGTCCTTGCTGTCTGGGCCCCTGAGCTGGGTGTGGGAGAAGAGCTGCAAGACGAAGCCGGCGGGGAAGCTGCCGTCAGTGAAGTGTCGGACCTCGGCTGGTGCTGCGAAAGTCTCCGTGGGCGAGTCTGGCGATGGGGGCTCTGGAAGGGAGGACGGGATGGAACTGTGAGTGAAAAAGCCTCAGGAGCTGCAGGCGCCCTGCGCCCAGGCCCTGCTCCATCCTCACTGATGCGGATTTCCTCAGAGCACTGCGGCCAGAGCCCACGCCTCCCCCGGGCCTCCCCTTCACCTGGGTCAGGGTCCAGGTTTTTGGTCATAGGTCTGCCTCTTTTCTTTCTGACTGGCTCTTCCCCTGGGGGTTCCTTCCATCTCTGACCACGGGGCTTCTTATTTCCTGGCTCTGTGGCAGGGACAGCTGCAAAAAGAAAAGACCTCATACCCTTTTAAAGAGGCCATCCCCGAACCCTGCCACCCCAGGGCTCCTGAAGATACCTGCCCAGAACACAGGGCCTGTATTTCACCCTGTCCCCAAACCCCCACCTCCACCGGGGCTCACTGGCTTCTCTGTTGACTAACCAGGAAGCTCGAGGGGGCGGAGTCCCCTGGGCCGGCTCCTTTTAGGGAGGGATGGGTTATCCTCAGAGTCAAGGAGAACGACGATTTCGGCTGGCATTCTGGCAGCGTCTGGGTTGGCGTCTGGGTCTGGGTGGGCATCCTGGCCCGAGTCTGCAGGGAGCAAGAGCACAATGAGCTTCTAGTGCCCCAACAAGTCCGACTTCTCCCTTCGCCAGCCCCAGGACCAACTACCTGAGTTGGGTGGGGACGGCTGCTCAGCTCTCACGTCTTGCAAGAGGGCCACCCCTTCACTCCAGGCCTCCAGGATATTGCTCTTCTCAGAAGGGCTCAGGTCCAAGGTGTGAGGGTGCTGCTCCAAGATGTGCGAGCGAGCTGTGTCGGCCGAGGGTGCCCGGATCTCAGCGCCACACACCATGCACAGTGCCCGCCCGCTGCCTCCTGGGCTGCTGCCCACCAGGAACTCCTGCTCCCAAGACACCTGCTGCTTCGGCTCCTCACAGCCATCACTGCCTGCCTCTAGCGGGCTGGGTCTAGGCGGTGGGGTCTTCTCCTGTTGGGTCACTGCGAGGGGAGAGGGGGAGGGTGTTATCACTAAAGGTGCCCACAACCAACAACACTTAGCACGTCTCCAGACTCAGTGGTTTGAGTGGGATGGGGGAGGAGAGCATTTCTGGCCAAAGTGTTCTTCTTCCTTCCCCTGGAGCCCATGAGGCACACGCCACACTCAACACAGCCGATGTGCCCGGGATCCCACGACTCTCGCGTCTATACTTCCTCTTGATCTAGTCTTGGACCTTAGGACTAACTACACATACTTTCCCAACAGGCTGCATTCTTGCAGGTCTCCAGCCTTTGCACATCTGTCCAGACCACCCTAATTGGGCTGGGCAACATCATCCCTGCGAAGCTTTCCAGAACCCCAATCCCTGACAATAGATTTCATCCAAATCTGACTTCTACACTTTCTTGAGGATGAGGAAGGTAAATTCTTTTAATTTTTAAATTTTATTTATTTATTTTGAGACAGAGTCTCACTTTGTCACCCAGGCTGGAATGCAATGGCGTAATCTCAGCTCATTGCAGCCTTGACCTCCTGGGTTCAAGCGATCCTCCTGCTTCAGCCTCCCAAGCACCTGGGACTACAGGTGAGCGCCACCATGCCTGGCTAATAATTTTTTTTTTAAAAGATGGGGGTCTCATTTTGTCACCCAGGCTGGAGTACAGTGGTGTTATCATAGCTTACTGCTGCCTTCAACTCCTGGACTCAAGGGACCCTCCAGCCTTAGCCACCTGAGTAGCTAGGGCTACAGATAGATGCATGCTATCACACCCAGCTAATTAACAAACAAAAAAATAATTTTTAAGAGATGGGGTCTTGCTATGTTGCCCAGGCTGGTTGTGAACTCCCGGGCTCAAGCAATCCTCCTGCTTCAGCCTCCCAAAGTGCTGGGATTATAGGCATGAGCCACCATGCCCGTTCTAAAGGCCACCCCATCCCCTCAGAACTCGCCTCCCTTCTCAGTGCTCACAGAGCATTTACAGCCATGGTCCCACTCCTATTGCTGCCTGATACCTGCTCTTTGTGTACACAGACAGACCATAAGCTTTCACAGGGCATCACCCTTTCCAGTTCAGCAAAGAAGGCAGCCTTAGACCTGCATCAGCCTGGAAGCTCAGTGCTTTTACGAAGTGCCCATGATCCTTCACGGCTGCATCTCCCTCCTACCTTCCAGAGAGGATGGGACAAAATTAAAACACAGGAGGCCCTAATACCTGGGGGCTGCATGGAAGAGGTGGTATGAGAAATAGGAGCCTCGGCTTGCATGGATACAAGAGGTGGTGTCTGAAAGAGATACGAGATATGTCTTGTACCTATCTCTCATGCGACCATGGGCAGAAATGACCTCTCAGTTGCAATCAGCTTTCTTCCCTACTAGTCTTCCAAAACAGCTCTCATCCAAGTCAGCAGTGCTAAACTCTGCGGTCAGTTTCTCAACTTCATCCTCTGCCGATCACCTCTTCCATCTTGATTTTCATCACTTGCGTCTAGGGCATGACCTTCTGTTGGTTCTTCTTTTGCTTCCCTGGCCCTCTTTCTCAGTTATGTGTGCTAGTTCTTCCTCATCTCTTCTCAATATTCCCTCCCTTCCTCTGGCTTGTTGCTGAAGACCATCTCCCCTCACTAGAGCACCCCATTCCCCTTATGCATCACCTCCAACACAGCACACATCACCACCTGGCACTTGTTTTTGGGATGTTCACTGCCTGTCTCCTTACCACACCATAGCATCCATGACCACGGCCAGGTGCGGTGGCTCACGCCTGAATCCTAGCACTTTGGGAGGCCGAGGTGGGCGGATCACCTGAGGTTGAGAGTTCAAGACCAACCCCACCAACATGGGGAAACCCTATCTCTATTAAAAATACAAAATTAGCTGGGCGTGGTGGCACATGCCTATAATCCCAGTTACTCGGGAGGTTGAGGCAGAAGAATCACTTGAACCCGGGAGGCGAAGGTTGCAGTGAGCCGAGATTGTGCCATTGCACTACAGCTTGGGCAAAAAGAGCAAAACTCCGTCTCAAAAAAAAAAAAAAAATCCATGACCATACAGATTTCTGATGTTTTGCATCTGTATCTCCAGCATCTGTATCTGTATCTCCTCGCATGCAGTGGCATTTAGTAATGTGTGATGAGGGACTGACTCGGTCTCCAACCTGCCATCACTGGAGTTTCCCAGGACTCAGTCCTTAGACACTTCTCTACTTCCTTCTCTTCCCACTGTCTGCCTGCTGGCAATTTCTGTTTACGCCACTAGCTAGATACTTCCAGGAAATCTAGGCCCATGTATCTGACTGCTTAGTTGACCTCTCCACCTGAATATGTCATAAATAGGCATCTCAAACGTAATCATATTCAAACTTTCACTCCCAGTCTCCCAAGAGCACCGCAGCCTTCCCCATCTCGGAAAATGGGAAGGCTCTTCCTCCAGTTGCTCAGGCCAAAAACCTTGAATTCAATCTTTCTTCCTCTCTCCACCGAAATCTTTCCAGAAGCTTGTGCTGCCGGACCTTTGCACTTGCTATTCGGCCTGAAATGCTCTTCCTGCAGATATCTGCAAGGTTGGCATCCTCACTTCCTTCGGGTCTGTGCTCAAAATTCACCTTATTAGAAAACCCTTTCTGAACCACTCGATATATTCAATTAAATACCCATTCCTCCTCTTTCTCCTTTTCCTGCTTTAGTGATCTCTGAACCATTTATTGCCACCCAACATACTATACATGAACCTATTTCTCTGTCTTTAGCCATTGGTATATATATGTTCTTCAAGAGCAGGGTTTCGGTTGCTCTGTTTACTACTACTTCCCAGCCTAAAAACACTAGCCTAAACAGCCTAAAGTAGACGTCCAGTGAATATTGGTTGAATGAATTCACCTGTCTATTCCTGCCCTAACAGTGGGGATAAGGCCACCCTTGCAGGGTTGAGAGGATTAACTGAGACAGCCTCTGACAATGCCCAATGAACACTCAACAAATATTAGCAGAAGTAGGAAAACAACCTATCTTTTGGACTAAATGCTCCGAGAAGGGAGGTGACCTTTATTTCCCTCATGAATTTTATAACCCTTCCAGTTCCAAAAAGGATGACAGGCAGTGCAGGCAGACATCATTCTGTTCGGCTGAAGTTCAATGAATGGCATTGCTGCTCTCAACCTCTTTTGGGTACTATCCCGCCTAAGAAAAGCGGGGTGGGAGAATGGAAATATATTTGCATTTTCATGCATATTAAGTCTCCCACAAAGATGGCTCTTTGTTTTCTTACGGTTTGCAAGCTCCTGAGGACTAGAAATCGGTGAAGGGGGAGGGGAGAGCGAGTGTTCTGAGATTGTTCCTCCCATCCCCTCCCAAAGCTAATCTCGTTCTAGCACTGCACTGCTTTTCCAAACTAGCTGTTGTATGCAGTCCCATTCATCCCTTCTCTCCAGAACTTGACACCTGTGGCTCCTGCAAGTGGAAGGCCCGGGAATGGGAATGAAGCGGGGTGGTGGGCAGGGAAGCGTTATGCTCGGAGAGCCCTTAAAATTCTCCTGGAGGTCGGCAGCGGCGCCCGCCTGTAGCCTCCGGCCTAGAGGCTTCGCCGCCCCTCGGACTAGAACACAGCCCGGCCGTTGTGCTTGCCTCCCCTTCCCAGGCTGTGAGACGGCGGCCGCAACCACCCAGCGCCTCTGGGGATCCGGCCTCTGGTGCTGGGCCCGGGAGAGGGGGCGCTTGGGCACCGGAAGATCCGGAGCGTGCGGGGCGTGGATCGAAGTCTCCAGACCCTGGGCGGGGGAAAGGGGAAGGGAGGGGGAAATCGAGGAGGCCTGAGCTTCTAAACCATGGTGGGGGAGGTGCAAGAGCGCGCCCTGGACCCAGATCCGAGAGGGAAACCTGGGCCCCAAGGCTGAAGGGGGTGAGAAGGTGCCCGGGTCCCGGACCCCGACTGGGGAGGGACGGCCCCAGCCCCGGCCCCGCACCGTGACGCGGAAGTGGAATCCCCTCCATCCTCACCTCTGAGCATCGGCTCGGGCCGCGGAATTACGGCCACCACCATGGCCTCCTCCTCGTCCTCCCCTTCCTCGCATTTCAGCGTCACCTCGAAGCAGTCGAGTGCGGCGCCCTCGGCCTTTAGGGCCATGGTGCGGCCGTGGGCGATAGCAGTGGCCGGAGGACTGGCGCGCAGGCTTCGGCGCGCAGCCGGCAACCGCCTCCCGCCTCCTGGCCGGAATAGCGCCGGGCCCGCCGCCCGCCCCGCGCAGCCCCCTCCCCGCCGCCCGCCCGCCGCTCGCCGGCCGGGCCTGCGACCGGCGCGTCCGGGCCTCCCCGAGACCTCGGCGCGTCGGGAGCCCGGGCGGGGAGGGCTCAATCCGGGGCCCCTGCCCCCCGCCGCTCCCTTTTATGGAGGCTCATTGTCGGCGCCCGCCCGGCCGGCCAGCCGCGGACCCGCCCCCGATGCCGCGCGGCCAATCGCGCGTGGCCCCGCCCCGGGCACGCGGCCCCGTTAGAAACCCTGGACCCGGGAGGCGGCGGGAAGGGCCGAGGGGACCCGGGGCCACCCGGTGCGCAGAGGCAGAGGGGCCCCCAAAACCCGCAACGCGGGCCCCTCAGTCTGCGGGCCAAGCCCGGGGTTTCCCTCCATTAAGAAGTCAGTTGGGCGTTTCTGCTGGCGTGGAGAGCGCTACCAGGTGCCCCCGGATTTTGATCGGGAGTCGCTTTTGCCTTTCCGTGGACAAGCCTTCCTCCGCCAGCAGATGCCCCGGGCAGGAAGAGAAGCGGTGGGTGAGTGGAAAGGGCCTTGGTATGGAAACGCAGAGACCGAATTCCTTCTCATCTGCCAGCTCCGTGGCCGTGGGCACATTATCTGTTTTCTTAGTCCGGCTCATCGTTTCTTTCAAAAACCATTTTGGACCCTTCTGGGAAGGCAAAGAAGAGAAGCAGAGTGGACTGTGAGCGGACATAAACCACCCTGATGGGTATGATTTCCATTTTTGGCACGGGAGTCCGGAGATTTTGTGACCCTCTCCAAGGACACACAGCAATCCCTTGAGAGCCCCAAGACCAGAGTCCAGTTGCCATGACATTGCTGCCCTATAACCACACTCTGGGTGAGCTTTTACTTCTGTGACATGGAATGTGCATCTCCCTCTTCTATAGCAACCCTCATGAGATTTCAGCTCAGAAAATGCAAAATGTCTGACACTGAAAATCCATCTTCGAATGTCGTTATATCAGACCAGACACAGTAGTATTCAGAATCGCGTAGTAGGATGGGGGTGTGAGAAGAGGTGTGAACTAGTCTATATGGATTGCAGTCAATTTTTTAATTTTTTTTTTTTTGAGACAGAGTCTCGCTCTGTCACCAGGCTGGAGTGCAGTGGCGCTATCTCGGCTCACCACAACCTCCGCCTCCCAGGTTCAAGCTATTCTCCCGCCTCAGCCTCCTGGGTAGCTGGGACTACAGGCACGTGCCACCATGCCCGGCTAATTTTTGTATTTTTAGTAGAGACGGGGTTTCAGCATGTTGGCCAGGATGGTCTTGATCTCTTGACCTCATCATCCGTCTGCCTCGGCCTCCCAAAGTGGGATTACAGGCGTGAGCCACCGCGCCTGGCCTTGCAGTCTATTTTTAAGGGAATTATTTTGTTATGTGCAAGTGTATCTGATATTTTAAAGGTTTTACAACAAAGGTATTACCAAGCCTGTTTAACTATTTCTGCTGAATGGTCATTCTCTACCATTTGCTACAGATCCCTTCCGTGCCCCTCTGCTCTGCTCTGTATTGCAGTGGGCTGAGTCTTGCGGGGGGCAGTTTCTCAGGCTCCCAGAGCATCTGGCTTCAGGCCTCGGTTTAGCCAATGGGAGGCAGTGGCAGGAGAAGAGAAGGCAGGAGGAAAGAAAGAGCCATGGTATTTCTTCTCTTTCTCTCTCTTGCTCAGGCTCAGGTGACATCTCCAGCAGCAGATGAGGCCTCTCTGTGGCTCCAGCTCATGGATAGGTAGCTGTGGTCCCAACATCTGTAGGATGATCCATGCCCCTGGGCTCTACTCAGTCCACCTCCTCTTTTTGTCCCTGCAGGTTAGGAGTTGTAGGCAGCTTCTTGCTTTTGCCAGTCTCTGTACTGCCTCTCTCTGTCCCCTGCTGGGCTTTCCAGACCTCCCTGTTAACCCCTGTTAATCGTGTCACCAAAACCCTGCATTACATTCTCTCTGTTTTCAATACTTAAAGTGGTTCCCTCCTGGCGGGGCGCAGTGGCTCCCAACTGTAATCCCAGCAGTTTGGGAGGCCAAGGCAGGTGGATCACTTGAGGTCAGGAGTTCGAGACCAGCCTGGCCAACATGGTGAAACCCTGTCTCTACCATAAGAAAAAAGAAAAAAGAAATTAGCCCGGCATGGTGGTGTGTGCCTGTAATCCCAGCTACTTACGAGGTTGAGTCAGGAAGATTGCTTGAGCCCAGGAGGCGGAGGTTGCAGTGAGCCAAGATCATGCCGCTGCACTTGACTCCAGCCTGGGCGACAGAGCTAGATTGTCTCAAAAAAAAAGTGGTTCCTATTTTCCTGGTTGAACCTTGAGTGATACACCCAGTATTGTACCACCCAATTAGTAGACATTATTTCTTTTAGGTCATATTATTCTCAGCTTATAGAGCAAGAAGTTGAAGCTTAAAGGGTTAGATTACTTGCCCAAGGTAATACAGCAAGAATCTTATTTCATCCAACCTAGAGTGAATATTTCCCCCACATTTTAATATCCCTCAAATGGTGATGCTTTCTATAATCAACATCAACGTGAAGTTTAGGACTGAAGTTTAGGACTATCAAGAAAGTGAAAGATGGCTTTTCTGGCATTCAGACTGTGCTGTTACCAGCAGAAAGTAAGCTATGTTTAGAATGAGACATAGATGAAGCCACTTCATGACCACAAAGTGACTTCGCCTTTTTTTTTTTTTTTTTTTTTGAAATGGAGTCTCACTCTGTCACCCAACCTGGAGCGCAGTGGTGCAATCTCGGCTCACTGCAACCTCCGCCTCCCGGGCTCAAGCAATTCTCTGCCTCAGCCTCCCAAGCAGCTGGGATTACAGGCGCCTGCCACCACACTTGGCTAATTTTTGTATTTTTAGTAGAGTCAGGGTTTCACCATCTTGTCCAGGCTGGTCTTGAACTCTGACCTTGTGATCCTCCTGCCTCGGCCTCTCAAAGTGCTGGGATTACAGGCGCGAGCTACTGCTTCCGGCCTTTTTTTTTTTTTTTAAAACGGAGTTTTGTTCTTGTTGCCCAGGCTGGAATGCAATGGCGCAATCTCAGCTCACTACAACCTCCGCCTCCCAGGTTCAAGATTCTCCTGCCTCAGCCTGCCGAGTAGCTGGGATTACAGGCATGCGCCATCACACCTGGCTAATTTTGTATTTTTAGTAGAGACGGGGTTTCTCCATGTTGGTCAGGCTGGTCTCGAACTCCGACCTCAGGTGATCCGCTTGTCTCGGCCTCCCAAAGTGCTGGGATTATAGGTGTGAGCCGCTGCTCCTGGCCGACTTTGCCTTTTTTTAAAAAAAGAATTTTTTTTTTTTTAGAGATGGGGTTTCACCATGTTGTCCAGGCTGGACTCAAGCAATCCACCTGCCTCAGCCTCCCAAAGTGCTGGAAAGTAGGTGTGCGCTACTGTGCCCGGCCTGACTTCACCTTTTTTGGAGCAATTGCTATTTCTCTTTAGCAAAAATTACTGTAGTCCAGGCTGGGCGTGGTGGCTTACACCTGTAATCTCAGCACTTTGGGAGGCCAAGGCGGGCTGATCACTTGAACCCGGGAGGCAGAGGTTGTAGTGAGTCGAGATTGCGCCACCGCAATCCAGCCTGGGTGACAGAGCGAGACTCCATCTCCAAAAAAAAAAAAAAAAAAGATACCCAGTTTCTGAACTGCCCCTGTTTCTTGACAGCATTCAATCCTGAACCAGTTCCATTTCCCTAATTCTTCCATAGAACTATGGGAACGAGGCCAAATTTAAGGAGTTTCCTGAGGGTGCCTTGAGGGTTTCCCTGGGATGTATTCTCCTTCACTGCAGCAAATTAAACCTAATTTTGGTTACAAGTGTGTTCCTGGTGGTCCTTGGTCACAGGGCTTTGACAACCCCAACCAATTTATTTTGCCTACATTTTCATGTATATGAAGAGTGATATATCATGAAAACCTATGTTAAAATATCAACAAATCTAGGGCCAGGTGCAGTGGCTCACACCTATAATCCCAGCACTTTGGGAGGTCAAGGCGGGAGGCCAGGAGTTCGCAACCAGCCTGGCTAACATGTCCAAACCCAGTTGCTACAAAAAATACAAAAATTAGCTGGATGGCTGGGCGTGGTGGCGCACGCCTGTAATCCCAGCACTTTGGGAAGTCAAGGCGGTTGGATCACCTGAGATTCGGAGTTCGAGACCAGCGTGGCCAACATGGTGAAACCCTGTCTCTACTAAAAATGCAAATAATTAGTCGGGTGTGATGGCGGGCACCTGTAATCCCAGCTACTCAGGAGGCAGAGGCAGGAGAATCGCCTGAACCCAGGAGGCGCAGGTTGCAGTGAGCTGAGATTGTGCCATTGTACTGCAGCCTGGGCAACAAGAGGGAAACTCCATCTCAAAAAAAAAAAAAAAAAAAAAATTGCCAGGCACAGTGGCTCATGTCTCTAATCCCAGCACTTTGAGAGGCCGAGGCAGGGGAATCACCTGAGGTCAGCAGTTCGAGACCGTCCTGGCTAACATGGTGAAACCCCATCTCTATTAAAAGTACAAAAAATCAGTCGGGTCTGGTGGTGGGCCCCTGTAATCCCAGCTACTCAGGAGGCTGAGGCAGGAGAATCACTTGAACCCAGGAGGTGGAGCTTGCAGTGAGCTGAGATTGGGCCATTGCACTCCAGGCTGAGCAACAAGAGCAAAACTCTGTCTCAAAAAAAAAAAAGGCCGGGCGTGGTGGCTCATGCTTGTAATCCCAGCACTTTGGGAGGCCGAGGTGGGTGGATCATGAGATCAGGAGATCGAGACCATCCTGGCTAACATGGTGAAACCCCATCTCTACTAAAAATACAAAAAATTAGCTGGGCGTGGTGTCAGGCGCCTGTAGTCCCAGCTACTTGGGAGGCTGAGGCAGGAGAATGGCATGAACCTGGGAGGTGGAGCTTGCAGTGAGCCGATCTCACGCCACTGCACTCCAGCCTGGGCGACAGAGTGAGACTCCGTCTCAAAAAAAAAAAAAAAAAAATTAGCTTGGTGTGGTGGAGTGCCCCTGTAATCCCAGCTACCTTGATGTCTGAGGCATGAGAATCGCTTGAATCTGGGAGTTGGAGGTTGCAGTGATCTGTGATTGTGCTACTGCACTCCTGCCTCGGCACTCCTGCCTCGGTGACAGGGCAAGACTCTGTCTCAAAAAAAAAAAAGAAAAAAAATCTGCAAGTCTAAAAGAGCTCTTTTTTTTGTTGTTGTTGGGACAGAGTCTCACTCTGTCTCCCAGGCTGGAGTACAGTGGCACGATCTCGGCTCACTGCAACCTCCATCTCCCAGGTTTCAGTGACTCTCCCATCTCAGCCTCCTGAGTACCTGTGATTACAGGCGTCCGCCATCACACCCGGCTAATTTTTTGTATTTTTAGTAGAGATGGGGTTTCACCATGTTGGCCAAGCTAATCTCGAACTCCTGATCTCAAGTGATCCGACTGCCTTGGTCTCCCAAAGTGCTGGGATTACAGGCATGAGCCACTGCACCGGCCTAAAAGAGCTCTTTTAATTTTTTTTTTTTTTTTTTTGAGACAGAGTCTTGCTCTGTTGCCCAGGCTGGAGTGCAGTGGCGCTATCTTGGCTCACTGCAACTTCCACCTCCCGGGTTCAAGCGATTCTCCTGTCTCAGCCTCCTGAGTAGCTGGGATTACAGGCATGTGCCACCATGCTCAGCTAATTTTTGTATTTTTAGTACAGACGAGGTTTCATCATGTTGGCCAGGCTGGTCTTGAACTCCTGACTTCAAGTGATCTACCCACCTCGGCCTCCCACAGTGATGGGATTACAGGCATGAGCCACCGAGTCTGGCCAAAAGAGCTCTTTTAATAAACGTAAAATAAAATTCCAAGTGATAAGAGATCATTGTCATAGTTTGGCAGTATTTTTTTCTTTGGGGATACATAAAATAATGGTTCATCTTGCAAACCATGATGTCCTAGATTTAATGAAATGTGGCTAGTTGCTAAGGCAGGACCCAACCCTAGCTCTATCCCCTGTCCTTGCTCTTAAACACTGCAATGCTTAGATGAAGAAACCAAATCAAACAACATGAAAGTCACAGAAGCGAATTGGTCGGCCTGCAAAGCCAGGCCTTCTGCCTTGCATACCTGCTCTGCTGAGCAAACCTTCTCTGCGCTGAGCTCTGAGGGAAGACTCCAGACCATCTTCAGTGGAGTTATTAGGAATTCCAGGAATTCTCCTCCACCAGCTACACAGCTACATAGAAAGTGCCATATACAGGAATCAAATTTTTGTTTGTTTGTTTGTTGTAGAGGCAGAGTCTGGCTCTGTCACCCAGCCTGGAGTACAGTGGCGAAATCATAGCTCACCACAGCCTCGAACTCCTGGGCTCAAGCGATCCTCCCGCCTCAGCCTCCCAAAGTGCTGGGATTACAAGTGTGAGTCACTGTGCCTGGCCAAGAATTGGAATTTATTTATTTAATTTATTGTTATTATTACATATATATTTTTGAGGTGGAGTCTTGCTCTGTCGCCCAGGCTAGAGTGCAGTGGCACGATCTCTGCTCACCGCAGCCTCTGCCTCCTGGGTTCAAGCAGTTCTCCTGCCCCAACCTCCTGAGTAGCTAGGATTACAGGTGCGCGCTACCATGCCCAGCTAATTGTTTGTATTTTTTTTTTTTTTTTTTGAGACAGAGTCTTGCTCTGTAGCCCAGGCTGGAGTGCAGTGACGTGATCTTGGCTCACAGCAAGCTCCACCTCCCGGGTTCACACCATTCTCCTGCCTCAGCCTCCCGAGTAGCTGGGACTACAGGCGCCCGCCACCACGCCTAGCTAATTTTTTTGTATTTTTAGTAGAGATGGGGTTTCACCGTGTTAGCCAGGATGGTCTTGATCTCCTGACCTTGTGATCCACCCACCTCAGCCTCCCAAAGTGCTGGGATTACAGGCGTGAGCCACTGCGCCTGGCTAATTGTTTGTATTTTTCGTAGAGATGAGGTTTCACCATATTGGCCAGGCTGGTCTGGAACTCCTGACCTGGTGATCCACCTGCCTCGGCCTCCCAAAGTACTGGGATTACAAGTGTGAGCCAATGCGCCTGGCCCCATTTTGTATTTTTATAGAGTCAGGGTTTCCCTATGTTGCCCAGGCTGGTCTCAAACTCCTGGGCTTAAACGATCCTCCCACCTCAGCCTCACAAAGTGCTGGAATTACAGGCATGAGCTACTGTGCCCAGCCAGGAATCTTAATTGTTGAGACAGCTTCCTGTGGAGGAGAGAGGGTAGACCCTTACTAATCTAAGTTATGTCTGTAACTCGTCTTTTGACTTAGCGAATTTGGCCTTGAGACATGAGATTCCTAGGACGGGGCAGGACAGACTGAAAACAGGAAGAGTGGAGAACCAATGGCTTCTGTCCCAGCAAATAGTTGCTCCAGGCCACTCCCCATGGTGTCCCCTAGGCTGGAGGCCCAAGCTGGAGGAAGCATTTCCTTTTGGCACAGCTTTTATTGTTGGTAGCATTTTAGGACACCAGTGACAAGCTGAGACAGCGAGTGGACTGCCTCAAGTGGGAATAGCTGTGGGGATATTGAAATATGGGGGCCGGGCGTGGTGGCTCATGCCTATAATCCCAGCACTTTGGGAGTCTGAGGCAGGCGGATCACGAGGTCAGGAGTTCGAGAGCAGCCTGGCCAATATGGTGAAACCTCATCTCTACTAAAAATACAAAAATTAGCCAGGCTGCTAATTTTTGTAAAAATACAAAAATTACAGGTGGTGGCACGCACCTGTAGTTCCGGCTACTCAGGAGGCTGAGGCAGGAGAATCACTGGAACCCGGGAGGCGGAGGTTGCAGTGAGCCGAGATTGCACCGTTGCACTCCAGCCTGGGTGACAGAGCAAGACTCCGTCTCAAAAGAAAAAGAAAAAGAAATATGGGTGGGCTGCTGTAGCAAGTGGACTAGACCCAGCTCCAAGTGAGGAGAGGGCTGTCTGAAGCCTAGGTAAGGGCAGGGGGGCTTCACTCTTAACTGGCTTGGCATTTAGTAGTGGTCTTTAGCAAAAGCCATAATAAATATATAGCCATGCTCTTCAGCTCAGTAATCCTATTGCCAGCTTATCCTAAAGTCATCCAAAAGAAGAAAAGTAATGACCTAACAGCAATGTTGGTATCAGTTCAGCCCCTAAAACTTAGCACTCCTTGGTGAAATTTTATTCAGTTGTTGTGTGTGGTCAGAAGTCCATCTCTTGGTCCCACATCCGTTGGAACCCCACTGTTATGAAACTTGGCACGTTGTGCTGTAATTATTTGTTTGCAGGACCAGTTTTTGTCCATCTTTATAGTTGCAGCATCAGCCCAGAATCTGTGGTGTTAGCACCAGCTGGGTGGCCACATTTTAGGGTTCTTGTTGCAGAACTCTCAATCTAAACTAGCTCAAGGTCAGGTGTGATGGCTCACGCCTGTAATCCCAGTAGTTTGGGAGGCTGACGTGGGTGGATCACCTGAAGTCAGGAGTTCCAGACCAGCCTGGACAACAAGACAAAACCTCATCTCTATTAAAAATATAAAAATTGGCTGGGCGTAGTGGCTGACACCTGTAACCCCAGCACTTTGGGACACCGAGGTGGGCAGATCACAAGGTCAGGAGTTTGGGACCATCCTGGCTAACACGGTGAAACCCCGTCTCTACTAAAAATACAAAAATTAGCTGGGTGTGGCGGCAGGCGCCTGTAGTCCCAACTACTCGGGAGGCTGAGGCAGGAGAATCGCTTGAACCCGGGAAGTGGAGGTTGCAGTGAGCCGAGATCGTGCCACTGCACTCCAGCCTAGGCGACTGTCTCAAGAAATAAATAAATAAATATACTAGCTTGAACAAAATGGGGGATTTATTGGCTCATGGAACTGAAGGAAGGGCTGAATGCCCAATTGTGGGAAGGGCAGGGATACAGGCCGACTTTAGGAATAACCGGACCCAGGACATAAATGCTACCAGGACGTTCTTTTCACCCCCAGTCTCTGCCTCTGTTTGTGTACATCAGCCATACTCCCTTTCCTGCAGCCTGTCTTTTTCCACATGGCAGGAGATGGGCCACTAATTCCCACAGACTAGCTTCTAGCTCTGTACATGTCAAACCTGTTTCTCCTCCTCTGTCCACGTGTGTGTTCAATGCTAGGCACTGTTTACATCCTCGTATCACCAAATGACTTTCTGCCCTGCACGTTGGTGTAATAAAATGAGGTGAGTCAGATTGGCGGGCATAGAATTATTCCTGGAAGCTGTTCCTACTTTTTTGTTAAAGTATCCTGTATTGTCTGATATTTTTGCTTTTATAATCAGAATTTAAAATGCCATTTCTATTTTTTAAGAAAAGACCTGGCCAGGCATGATCCAGCACTTTGGGAAGTCAAGATGGGCGGATCACTTGAGGTCAGGAGTTCGAGAGCAGCCTGGCCAACATGGTGAAACCCTGTCTCTACTAAAAATACAAAAATTAACCTGGTGTGGTGGTGGGTGCCTGTAATCCCAGCTACTTGGGAGGCTGAGGCAGAAGAATCGCTCGAACCTGGGAGGCAGAGGTTGCAGTTAGCCAAGATTGTGCCACTGCACTCCAGCCTGGGCGACAAAGCGAGACTCCGTCTCGGAAAAAAGAAAAAAAGACCCTATCACGCCTGTAATCCCTGCACTTCGGGAGGCCCGAGGCGGGTGGATCACCTGAGGTCAGGAGTTTGAGACCAGCCCAGCCAACATGATGAAACCCCGTCTCTACTAAAAATACAAAGAATTAGCTGGGCATGGTGGCGCGTGCCTATAATCCCAGGTACTCAGAAGGCTGAGGCAGGAGAATTGCTTGAACCCAGGAGGTGGAGGTTGCGGTGAGCCGAGATCGTGCCACTGCACTCCAGCCTGGGCAACAAGAGCAAAACTCCATCTCAAAAATACCCCCCAAAACCAAAAAAACACAAGATGCTAATGCAGCAGAATTAGACAAAATAGATCGATTCTTATCTTTTTATGTGTGTTTATCTCACTCTGTCACTCAGGCTGGAGTACAGTGGCACGAACATGGCTCACTGCAGCCTCAACCTCCTGGGCTCAAGCAGTTCTCCCACCTTAGCCCCCTTAGTAGCTGGGACTACAGGCACATCCCACCACGTCCAGCTAATTTTTATATTTTTTTGGTAGAGGCAGGGTTCTGCCATGTTCTGCCACTTGAACTGCTGAGCTCAAGTGATCCTCCCACCTCGGCTTCCCAAAGTGCTAGGATTACAAGCGTGAGTCACCATGCCTGGCCTGATGAATCCTTCTTGACCTGCTCCCTAAAGGTCTCGTAGAGCAAGAATGGCAAGCATTTGTTCTGAGTTGGTTGGCTTATTGTTTCCAGCTATCCCACCCCCTCCTATAATTAGATTATATGTCCAGCCCCATTACCTTGCTTTTCAGTGCCTCAAATGAGACAGTGAATGTTTCCCCACCCTTGTGACTGTGGACGTGACCATGTGACTTGCCTTGGCCAATGGGGCGTGAACAGACATGAAGTAAGCAGTAATCTTAGCTGAGGCGTTGTAGTAATTGTATGGTGTGTGCTTGGTTTCTATTGCGTGTGCCATCCATCTGAGAAGAGCATGCCCTAGGGATATGCTGCTTCTTCAGCTTGGGTCCTGGAATGAGAGACACCTGGAGTAGACTGGAACCTAACTCACAGTACAGCTGGGCCAAGTACAGTTGAGCCCAGCTAGCCTAGTGCAGCCACAGTTGACCTACAGACCTATAAGAAAGAAATGTTTGCTGCCGTAAATGACTAAGTTCCAGGGTTGTTGGTTACACAACATTGCCACAACAAAAAGCTGACTAATACTCCAGACACTGCATTCTCTCCCCAAATCCCCCCCGCCCCCTTTTTTTTTTTTAATTTTATGGGCCTGGCAGGCCGGGTGCAGTGGCTCACACCTGGAATCCCAGCACTTTGGGAGGCCTAGGTGGGTGGATCACCTGAGGTCAGGAGTTTAAGACCAGCCTGGCCAACATGGTGAAACCCTGTCTTTACTAAAAATACAAAAATTAGCCGGGCGTGGTGGTGAGCACCTGTAATCCCAGCTACTCGGGTGGCTGAGGCAGAGAGAAATGCTTAAAACCCTGAAGGCAGAGGTTGCAGTGAGCTGAGATCACACCACTGCACTCCAGCTTGGGTGATAGAGTGAGACTCCGTCTCAAAAAAAAAAAAAAAAAAAAAGGTATGGGCCTGGCGTGGTGGCTCATGCCCGTAATCCCAGCACTTTGGGAGACCGAGGTGGGCGGATCACCTGAGGTCAGGAGGTCGAGACCAGCGTGTTGAACATGGTGAAACCCTGTCTTTACTAAAAGTAAAAAAAATCAGCTGGGCATGGTGGCGGGCACCTGTAATCCCAGCTACTCAGGAGGCTGAGGTAGGAGAGTCACTGCTTGAACCCAGGAGGCGGAAGTTGCAGTAAGCCGAGATCGAGACACTGCATTCCAGCCTGAGCGACAGAGAGAGCCATCTCAAAAATTAATTAAATAAATAGATAAATACATAAATAAATTTTATGGAGATAAGAGTGGTGCCAGGGAGACCTCCCGGTTTGCCCAGCATTGAGAGGTTTCCCAGAATTTGAGATTTTCAGGTTTTATTTTTTATTTTATTGTATTGTATTTTATTTTTTTGAGGTGGAGTCTTGCTCTGTCGCCCAGGCTGGAGTGCAGTGGCGCCATCTCAGCTCACTGCAAGCTCCACCTCCTGGATTCACACCATTCTCCTGCCTCAGCCTCCCGAGTGGCTGGGATTACAGGCGCCCGCCACCACGCCTGGCTAATTTTTTGTATTTTTAGTAGACATGGGGTTTCACCGAGTTAGTCAGAATGGTCTCGCTCTCCTGACCTCGTGATCCGCCCGCCTCAGCCTCCCAAAGTGCTAGGATTACAGGCGTGAGCCACCGTGCCCAGCCTGAGACTTTCAGGTTTTAAAAAACAGCTTTATTGAGATAGAATTTATATTCCCATATACCTCGTTCACTTAATGAGCATATCAATGTTTTTTAGTATATTCACAGGGTTGTGAAATTATCACGGCAATCTTATTTTAGAATATTTTCCTCCCTCTTAAAACGAACCTCATACCCATTAGCGGTCACTCCTCACTCTTCTCCCTCGACCCCAATCCCTAAGCAACCACTAACCTACTTTCTGTCCCTACAAATTTGTGTATTCTGGACCTTCTGTATACATGGGATCATATAATATGTGGGCATTTTGTGACTGGCATTTTTAAATTAGCAATATATTTTCTAGGTCTATCCACGTTGTAACATGTATCAGTTCTTCATTTCCTTCCTTCCTTCCCAACCTCCCTCCCTCCCTCCTTCCCTCCTTCATTTCCTTCCTTCCTTCACTCCTTCCCAACATCCCCCCTCCTTTCTCTCTCTCTCTTTCTTTCTTTCCCTTCCTTCCTTCCCTCCTTCCTTCATTCCTTCCTTCCCTCCTTCCCAACATCCCTCCCTCCTTTCTTTCTCTCCCTCTCTTTCTTTTCTTTCTCTTCTCTTCTTTCTCTCTCTCTCTCTTTTTCTTTCCTGTCTTTCTTTTTTTGATGGAGTTTCGCTCTTGTCCCCCAGGCTGGAGTGCAATGGCGCAATCGTGGCTCACTGCAACCTCCACATCCCGGGTTCAAGCAATTCTCCCGCCTCAGCCTCCCGAGTAGCTGGGATTACAGGCCCCCACCACCACACCCAGCTAATTTTTGTATTTTTAGTAGAGACGGGGTTTCACCATATTGGCCAAGCTGGTCTCAAACTGCTGACCTCAGATGATCTGCTCACCTCGCCCTCCCAAAGTGTTGGGATTACAGGCGTGAGCCACCCTGCCCGGCCCCTTTCTTTCTTTTTCTTTTTCTCCTTTTCTTTTTTCTTTCCCTTCCCTTCCTCCCTCCCTCCCTCCTTTCCTTCCTTCCTTCTTTTTCCTTTTCTTTCTCCTTCTTTTTCTGAGACAGAGACTCACTCTGTTGCTCAGCCTGGAGGTACAGTGGTGTGATCACAGATCACTGCAGCCTGGACTTCCTTGGCTCAGGTGATCCTCCTACCTCAGCCTCCTGGGTAGCTAGGACTGCAAGTGCACGCCACCATGCCCGGCTAATTTAAAATAATTTTTTGTAGCATGGGATCTCACTGTGTTGCTCAGGCTAGTCTTGACTTCCTGTGCTCAAGTGATCCTCCCGCCTCAGCCACCCTAAGTGTTGGGATTATAGGCGTGAGCCACTGTGCCTGGCTTCATTTCTTTTTATTTCTGGATAATATTTGATAGTATGTATATATAATCTTTTACTTCCATTCATCAGTGATGGGCATCAGGTTGTTTCCACTTTTTGGCTGTTGTGAATAGAGCTGCTATGAACATTTATGTACAAGTTTTTGTTTGAACATGTGTTTTTTCAGTTATTCTGGGTATATGCTTGCGAGTGGGATTGCCGAGTGATATGGTAATTCTGTTTAATTTATTGGAGAACTGCCAAACTCTTTTCCACAGCTGCCGCATCATACGTTCCCACCAGTAGTGTAAGAGAAATCCGATTTCTCCACATCCTTGTCAATACTTGTTATTGTCCATTGTTTATATTACAGCCATCCTGGTGGGGGCACAGAGATACCTCACCGTGGTTTTGATTTGCATTTCCCTGTTGACTAATGACATCAGACACCTTTCATGTGCTTTTTTTTTTTGGTCATTTGTATATCTTTAGAGAAACGTCTGTTGAAATCCTTTGCCCCTTTAAAAAATTAGATTATTAGTCTTTATATTATCAAGTTGTAAGAGTTCTTTATATATTCTGGATATTAGACCCTTATCAGATATATGATATGGAAATGTTTTCTCCCATTCTGTGGGTTGTCTTTTCACTGTCTATGATTTGCAGCACAAAAGTTTCTAATTTTGATGTCCAATTTCCAGTGTATCTAGTTTTTTGTTTTTTTTTTTTTTTTTTGAGATGGAGTTTCGCTCTTTTGCCCAGGCTGGAGTTAAGTGGTGTGATCTTGGCTCACTGCAACTTCCACCTCCCGGGTTCAAGTGATTCTCCTGCCTCAGCCTCCCGAGTAGCTAGGATTACAGGCGCCTGCCACCACACCCAGCTAATTTTTGTATTTTTAGTAGAGACAGGGTTTCACCATGTTGGCTGGGCTGGTCTCAAACTCCTGACCTCAGGTGATCTTCCCGCCTTGGCCTTCCAAAATGCTGGGATTACAGTCGTGAGCCACCGTGCCCAGTCTGGTTTTTCTTTTGTTACTTGTTCTCTTGGTGTTGTATCTACCAATTCCTTTGGTAGACACTCTAATCAGTTATGGTATTCTTTCTCACTGAACCCAGATGCCACTTACCTTGAAATTTTTCTCAGCACTGCGTGGTTAAAAGCCCCAATTCTCTCCAGGCGCGGTGGCTCACACCTGTAATCCCAGCACTTTGGGAGGCCGAGGTGGGTGGATCATGAGGTCAGGAGTTCCAGACCAGCCTGGCCAAGATGGTGAAACCCCGTCTCTACTAAAAATACAAAAAATTAGTCGGGTGTGGTGGCACGCGCCTGTAATCCCAGCTACTCCTGAGGCTGAGGCAGAGAATTGCTTAAACCTGGAGGGGAGGAGGTTGCAGTAAGCCGAGATTGCGCCACTGCACTCCAGCCTGGGCGACAGAGTGAGACTCCATCTCAAAAAAAAAAAAAGCCCCAATTCTAGGCCAGGTGTGGTAGCTTATGCCTGTAATCTCAGCACTTTGGGAGGCCGAGGTGGGCAGATTGCCTGAGGTTGGGAGTTTGAGACCAGCCTGGCTAGTATGGTGAAACCCTGTCTCTACTAAAAATATAAAAATTAGCCAGGTATGGTGGCAGGCGCCTGTAATCCCTGCTACTCGGGAGGCTGAGGCCAGAGAATCGCTTGAACCCAGGAGGCGGAGGTTGCAGTGAGCCAAGATCCCGCTATTGCACTCCAGCCTGGGCAACTGAGCAAGACTCCATATCAAAAACAAACAAAAAAACACCCAAACAAATTCTAGAGAAGAACTGAGCGGGTGCAAATCCCCACTAGTGCCATCACTTAATGGTGGTGGGTTTTTTTTGGTTTTGTTTCTTACCTCTGGGTCACTTTACCCATTAAACAAAATGTTGGGTGTAGGTGAGAGAGACTGAGAAGGGGAATAGCGGAGGAAGGTAATGAACATAGCTGGTCCTACACATCTTCTTGTGATGGATTGGTCTTAATGGAGGGCCCATGCAGGGCTGAGAGCTGGAAGAAGTGGAGCATATGGGAAATCTCTTGTGCATTACTTCAAATCCTCTTGGCCATACCTCTGTGTGTGTGTGTGTGTGTGTGTGTGTGTGTGTGTGTGTGTGTAGGTATGAGATATGAGACAGTGCCAGGTGTGGTGGCTCACGCCTGTAATCCCAGCACTTTGGGAGGCCAAGGCGGGTGGATCACGAGGTCAGGAGATCGAGACCATCCTGGCTAGCATGGTGAAACCCCGTCTCTACTACAAATACAAAAAATTAGCCGGGTGTGGTGGCGGGCGCCTGTAGTCCCAGCTACTCGGGAAGCTGAGGCAGGAGAATCGCTTGAACCTGGGAAGCGGAGCTTGCAGTGAGCGGAGATCGTGCCGCTGCACTCCAACCTGGGCGACAGAGTGAGACTCTGTCTGAAAAAAATAAAAAATAAAAATAAAAATAAAAAATGAGATATGAGACAGAGTTTCGTTCTTGCTGCCCAGGCTGGAGTGCAGTGGCGCAATCTCGCCTCACTGCAACCTCCGCCTTCTGGGTTCAAGTGATTCTCCTGCCTCAGCCTCCCAAGTAGCTGGGATTACAGGCGTGAACAACCAGGCCTGGCTAATTTTTTTGTATTTTTAGTAGAGATGGGGTTTCAACATGTTGGCCAGGCTGGTCTCCAACTCGTGACCTCAGGTGATCTGCCCGCCTCGGCCTCCCAAAGTGCTGGGATTACAGGTGTGAGCCACAGCGCCCAGCCCATGCCTCTTTTTCAAGCCACAGCTGCTACCGCCAGTTCTATGCAGGCTCTGCTGCCTTGGCATGGGTGCAGTGTGATTGCACCTGGCCCACACCTGGTGCCTCTTGCTTTTTGCCCTGGAGCTTCTCTGATACTTCAGTGTGGGACTCTTGCCTGCTCAGCGCTAGCACACGTGCATCCTAGAAGTGGCAGAATCGATGCCTTGGGGCCATCACTGACTGATGGGGATGGGAGCTAATGAATAAGTCCTTATGGATTTTGTCCTCCAGTTTGTTTCCCAGAAGTATTCCAAAAGAGAGGGTGAAGGATGCTGAACAGGATAAACCACAGCTGTCTGCCTTTTCTACTAATTCAGACTCTATAGAAGGATTCTAGGAATTATATTTACAACAAATAGAGGTCAGGGATCCCTGAACCCAGAGCTGCAGACCAGTATGGGTCTGTCACCTGTTAGGCACTGGGTACACAGCAGGTGATGGGGGTGGTGAGCCATTACCACCTAAGCTTTGCCTCCTTTCAGATCAGCAGTAGCAGTAGATTCTCACAGGAGCGTGAACCCTATTGTAACTGTGCATTTGAGGGATCTAGGTTGCATGTTCTTTATGAGAATCTAATGCCTGATGATCTGAGGTGGAAGAGTTTCATCTCAAAGCCATCGGTCCCCCGATCCTACGTCCCCCCAACCCTGTCTGTGGAAAAATTGTCTTCCATGAAGCCAGACCCTGGTGCCAAAAAGGTTGGGGACCACTGCTATAGGTGATTCCCATGAATACTAATGCTTGGAAAACATGGAATTATGGCATTTTCAGAAGGAATTTACATTATAAAAGAGACAGAAATTACAATTCAGGCTCACTTAGCCATTCATTCCCTTGTAGCATGCAGTAAAGCAGTACATCTCTTGATCTTCTCAAGGATGGCATCTTCATGGATTCTTCTCCTCTTCTGGTCCTCAGGTTCACCCTGCATGTGTCCATGAACTTCCTTCCTAGTCTCTAAGGAAGGCGACTTCTCTCTTCCTAAGGAAGACTCCACCCCTTTCCACAGGAGGAGGTTTTGCTTCTGGGTTCCTTCCTATATCCTGTTGTCTAGAGCTGTATCCTGGGCTTCAGCCAACAGGGCACTGATGTTCACTTCTTGCCAGCCCAGCAAGCTCCAGGTGATGACAGGCATCAAGAACCCAGAGCAATGGCCAGGCGCGGTGGCTCACTCCTGTAATCCCAGCACTTTGGGAGGCCGAGGCAGGCAGATCACTTGAGGTCAGGAGTTTGAGACCAGCCTGGCCAACATGGCGAAACCCCGTGTCTACTAAAAATATAAAAATTATCTGGGCGTGGTGGTGTGCGCTTGTAATCCCAGCTACTGGAGAGGCTGAGGCAGGAAAATCGCTTGAACCCGGGAGGTGGAGGTTGCAGTGAGGGGAGATGGTGCCACACTGCACACCAGACTGGGTGACAGAGTGACACTCTGTCTAAAAAAAAAAAAAAAGGCTGGGCACGGTGGCTCACGCCTGTAATCCCAGCACTTTGGGAGGCTGAGGTGGATGGATCACCTGAGGTCAGGAGTTCAAGACCAGCCTGGCCAACATGGTGAAACCCCATCTCTACTAAAAATACAAAAAACATTACCTGGGCGTGGTGGTGGGTGCCTGTAATCCCAGCTACTCAAGAGGCTGAGTCAGGAGAATCACTTGAACCCAGTAGGCGGAGGTTGCAGTGAGCCGAGATTGCACTATTGCACTCCAGCCTGAGCAACAAGAGCAAAACACTGTCTCAAAAAAAAAAAAAAAAAAAAAGCAGGTATGGATTCATGATACCTCCAAGGCCCCAGGAAGTACAGGAAGAAATAATAACTATTGGAAAAGATAAGTCCAGGCCGGGCACAGTGGCTCACACCTGTAATCCCAGCACTTTGGGAGGTCGAGGCAGGTGGATCACGAGGTCAGGAGTTCGAGACCAGCCTGGCCAAGATGGTGAAACCCCGTCTCCACTAAAAATACAAAAAATTAGCCAGGCGTGGTGGCAGGCGCCTGTAATCCCAGCCACTCAGGAGGCTGAGGTAAAGAATTGCTTGAACCCGGGAGGCGGAGGTTGCAGTGAGCCGAGATTGCGCCACTGCACTCCAGCCTGGACGACAGAGCAAGACTCCATCTCAAAAAAATAAATAAATAAAAGGACACACATTTTAGACACACGTTTATACTTACTGCTCTCAGAAACTTTTTTCCCCCAAGATACGCTTAAGAAATCACCAAATTTACCAGCCTGGCCAACATGGTGTAAAAATACAAAAATTAGTCAGGCGTGGTGGCGTGCGACTGTAATCCCAGCTACTTGTGGAGCGAGGCATGAGAATCACTTGAACCTGGGAGGCGGAGGTTGCAGTGAGCCAAGTTCACACCACTGCACTCCAACACGGGCGACAGAGTGAGACTCTGACAAAGAAAAAAAAAAAAGGAAGGAAGGAAGGAACCACCTGATTGGCTTGGCGTGGTGGCTCACGCCTGTAACCTCAACATTTTGGGAAGCAGAGGTTGGCAGATCACTTGAGGTCAGGAGTTCGAGACCAGCCTGGCCAACATGGTAAAACCGTGTCCCTACTAAAAGTACAAAAATTAGCCGGGTGTGGTGGCACACACCTGTAATCCCAGCTACTTGGAAGGCTAGGCAGGAGAATCGCTTGAACCTGGGAGGGTTTCAACTGTGGTTTTAATTTGCATTTGCCTAATGTCTAATGATGTTGAGCATCTTTTCATGTACTTATTTGCCATTTGTGTATCTTCTTTAGAGAAATGTCTATTCAAGTCCTTTGCTAATTTTTTTTTTGTGGGAGGTGAGTAGAGACAGGGTCTCTCTATATTGCCCAGGCTGGTCTTGATCTCAGCCTCAAGCAATCCTCCCACCTTGGCCTCCCAAAGCACTGGTATTACAATGGTGAGCCACTGTGCCTGGCCCTTTTGCGTGATCTTTTTTGTGGGGGGGGTTGTTTTTTGTTTTTTTGAGATGGTGTTTCACTTTGTTGCCCACGCTGGAGTGCAGTGGCTGGATCTCCGCTTACTGCAACCTCCGCCTCCTGGGTTCAAACGATTCTTGTGCCTCAGCCTCCTGAGTAGCTGGGACTACAGGCACCCACCACCAAGCCTGGCTAATTTTTGTATTTTAGTAGAGGTGGGGTTTCACCCTATTGGCCAGGCTGGTCTCAAACTCCTGACCTCAAGTGATCCACCCGCCTTGGCCTTCCAAAGTGCTAGGATTACAGGTGTGAGCCACCGCGCCAGGCTCTCCCTTGCCTATTCTTAATTGTCTTTTTCTTGAGTTGTACAAAATTTTTTCTTTTTTTTGACAGAGTCTCACTTTGTTGCCCAGGCTGGAGTGCAGTGGTGCGGTCTTGGCTCACTGCAACCTCCACCTCCTGGGTTCAAGCCATTTTCCTGCTTCAGCCTCCCGAGTAGCTGGGATTACAGGCATACACCACTATGCCCGGCTAATTTTTGTATTTTCAGTAGAGACGAGGTTTCACACTGTTGGCCAGGCTGGTCTCGAACTCCCGACATCAGGTGATCTGCCTGCCTCTGCCTCCCAAAGTGCTGGGATTACAGGCATGAGCCACCTCGCCCGGCCATTTATTATTATTATTGTTATTATTATTATTATTTTTTAGAGGCAGGTCTTGCTTCTTTGCCCAGGCTGGAGTGCAGTGTGGCAATCATAGCTCACTGCAGACCTGAACTGCAGGGCTCAAGGGATCCTCTTACCTCAGCCTTCTGAGTTGGTGGGATTATAGGCACACACCACCATGCCTGGCTAATTTTTACTTTTGTAGAGATGGGGTCTCCCTATGTTGCCCAGGCTGGTCTCAAACTCCTGGCCTCAAGTGTTCTTCCTGCTTCAGCCTCCCAAAGAGTTGGGATTACACACGTGAGCCATGATGCCCAATCGATATATTTTAATGTTCAATTTTTTCTAGATTAGGCCAATGAAAACCCCTTCAAGCTGGTTTCTGTATTCTTTTGACATTCCACAATTCTTCTATGCACACATCCTTACTTTTTGGTACAAGTAATAGACATCTATGTCTATGTATATTAAAAAAACACAATCACAGCCAATACTCCAATTTCTAGTCCAACCCTGCAGGGTTTATTCCAGCCTTCCCTCTTTCCATGTGTAACATATTACAGTGGCAAGTCTGACTCCCTTCATCCTTAATGTGCTTACTCACTTCCCCAATCCCACTCCTTCCCTCTGTCCTAGTCACACAGGTTGACTGGAACATACTGGGCC
The DNA here is from genome assembly GCF_000001405.40 of Homo sapiens. NCBI lineage: Eukaryota > Metazoa > Chordata > Mammalia > Primates > Hominidae > Homo > Homo sapiens. The sequence goes on along the minus strand of NC_000011.10, from coordinate 63,793,316 downwards.
CCCTCCTTCTGCTTTATGGGCCAGTGGAAAGCTCAGCCCTAACAAAGGGGAAGGAGAGAAGAAGGAGAAAAAAGGAAGGAGGAAATGACATCTTTTTCTATTTTTTCTAGGGAAATTTTCTCTACTCCAATGTTTTAAAAATATTCATCTCTCCTTTTTATTAAATTTTAAAGTTTTGTTTTAATATTTACACCCTGGCCAAGTGTGGTAGCTCATGCCTGTAATCCCAGCACTTTGGGAGGCCAAGGTGGGTGGATCACTTGAGGTCAGGAGTTCGAGACCAGCCTGGCCAACATGGTGAAACCCTGTCTCTACTAAAAAATACAAAAATTACCCAGGTGTGGTGACTCATGCCTGTAGTCTCAGCTTCTCAGGAGGCTGAGTCTGGAGGACTGCTTGAACCTGGGAGGCAGAGGTTGCAGTGAGCCAAGATTGGGCCACTGCACTCCAGCCTGGGAGACAGAGTGAGAAGACTCTGTCTCAAAATACATATATATATACATATATATGTTTACACCCTTATCCATGTGTAGTTGCTGGTGTAATATGGTATAAGGGAGTGATCCATTTTAACTTTTGTTTATAAGGATAGCTAAGTTTTCCATCTCCATTTTTGAACAATACCTCCTTTCTCCAGTGACCTAACAAAACATGTCTGTCATACATCAACGTTTCATACAAAGCATGGGTCTGTGTCTGGGTTACTTAATCTGTCTTCTCCTGCCTCAGCACCTCATGTTATTAAGTACCATGGCTTCCTAGTAAGTTCTGATCCCTAGTTGGACAAGTCTTCCTTTCTGCTTTTTTTATTCAGAAGAGTCTTGACTATCATTGGTGATTACACTTCCTTATAAGTTTTGGAATAATCATAAAAGGTTCCATGAAAAGTTCTATTGGTCAGCACCATAAGACAAAGTGAAGGCCGGGCATGATTGCTTATGCCTGTAATCCCAGCACTTTGGGAGGCTGAGGTGGGTGGATCATCTGAGGTCAGGAGTTTGAGACTAGCCTGGCCAACATAGTGAAAACCCGTTTCTACTAAAAATACAAAAATTAGCCCAGAGTAGTGGCACATGCTTGTAGTCCCAGTTACTGGGGAGGCTGAGGCTGGAGAATCACTTGAACCTGGGAGGTGGAGGTTGCAGTGAGCCAAGATCCCACCACTGCACTCCAGCCTGGGCGGCAAAGGGGGACTCTGCTTCAAAAAGAAAAAAAGTGAGAAAAACAAATAATAATAATAATGTTATATATAAAATGTTTATTTAGAAACAGAATACTTGTTCGTCGGTACTGCAAGGAAAAATCAGCATTCAGACAAAAAGTTTTCTTAGCAAGGCAATTTTAATTTCTACAGAAAGGGTGCTCCTCGCAGATGGAACACTGGTGAGAGCACACCTGAACAAAGGAGGGAAACAATTTTTATTCCTTATGCAGTTTGTCCCTGCTACTGTGTCCGGTCTCCATCAGTTGGAGCCAGACTGCATGATCTAAACTAAAACCCGATTGGCTAATAATTTAAAACTTTTCTAAATAGGTAAAAGCAATGGAGAACAGAGGAAAAGAGGAAGTTCCTTATGAAAGGACTTAGAAAAGTAATAACATTCCCAAATAAGGAAGGGGCATAGGCTGTGAGCTGGGACATGCCTGAGCATGTCCAGAACAAATGTCTTGGTTAAAGTACAAGGACATAGAATGTACTTATTCCCTTATGTCTAACAGCTGCATAGGATAGGGCTTAACAAAGAGTTATTAGCACAAAGCAAGGAGGCTTGAAGGAAGTTAGTCTTTACAAGAAACTATTCTTTCTTTCTTTTCTCTTTTTTTTTAGACAGAGTCTTGCTCTGTCACCCAGGCTAGAGTGCAGTGGCACAATCTCTGCTCACGGCAACCTCCATCTCTCGGGTTCAAGAATTCTCTGCCTCAGCTTCTTGAGTAGCTGGGATTACAGGTGCCTGCCACCACACCTGGCTAATTTTTGTATTTTTAGTATAGACGGGGCTTCACCACGTTAGCCAGGCTGGTCTTGAACTCCTGACCTCACCTGCCTCGGCCTCCCAAAGTTCTGGGATTACAGGCATGAGCCACCGCACCCGGCCAGAAACTATTATTTCTAACACTTATGATTTATTCTTTAACAAGAAGGGAAACTTTGAAGAGCAAATTTTTTACTTTCTACACTAAGTATATCATATTTTTGGTTGCTAATATATACAGTATTGTTGTATTGTTGTTATAGTTTTTGAGATAGAGTCTCACTCTGTTGCCCAGGCTGGAGTACAGTGGTACAGCCTTGACTTGCTGCAACCTCCACCTCCTGGGTTCAAACAGTTCTAGTGCTTCAGCCACCCAAGTAGCTGGGATTACAGGCATTCACCACTATGCCTGGCTAATTTTTGTATTTTCTGTAGAGATGGGGTTTCGCCATGTTGGCCAGGCGGGTCTTGAACTCTTGGCTTCCAAGTGATCCACCTCCCTTGATCTCCTAAAGTACTGGGATTACAGGCATGAGCCACTGCACCACGTCAGCCTCCCGAGTAGCTGGGATTACAAGCACCTGCCATCATGGCCGGCTAATTTTTGTACTTTTGTAGAGATGGGGTTTCACCATGTTGCTTGCCCAGGCTGGTCTGAAACTCCTGACCTCAAGTGATCCGCCCACCTTGGCCTCCCAAAGTGCTGAGATTACAGGTGTGAGCCACCACGCCCGCCCCTCCCTTCCTTCCTTCCTTCCTTTTTCTTTCTTCCTTTTTTTTTTTTTTTTCAGACAGTGTCTTGCTCTGTTGCCCAGGCTGGAGTGCAGTAGCATGACCTAGTTCACTGTAGCCTCAAACTCCTGTGTTCAAGTGATCCTCCCACCTCAGCCTCCCGAGTAGCTGGGACTACAGGTGCATGCCACCCCACTCAGCTAATTCAAAAAAAATGTTTTGGCTGGACATTGTGGCTCATGCCTGTAATTCTAGCGTTTTGGGAGGCTGAGGCAGGTGGATCACCTGGGGTCAGGAGTTCAAGACCAGCCTGGCCAACACTGTGAAACCCTGTCTCTATTAAAGTACAAAAATTGGCTAGGGGTGGTGGCGAGTGCCTTTAATCCCAGCTACTTGGGAGCCTGAGGCAGGAGAATTGCTTGAACCTGGGAGGCGGAGGTTGCCGAGAGCCAAGATTTCGCCACCATACTCCAACCTGGGCAACAGAGTGAGACTCTGTCTCTACAAAAAAAAAAAGCGAAAAAAACAAAAGATGGAGTCTCACTCTGTTGCCAGGGCTGGTCTGAAACTCCTGACTTCAAGGGATCCTCCTGCCTCCGTCTACCAAATTGTTGGCATTACAGGCATGAGCCACTTTGTGTCCTCTATATTTTTTCTTAGCCTGGCTAGATGCTTATTGATTTTATTTATTTTTTCAAAGAGCCAGCTTTTGGTTTTGTTGAGTTTCTCTATTGATTTTTCTTTTTTTTTTTTTTAACTTTCATTCATTTCTACTCTAATTTGTTACTTCTTTTTACTGCTTACTTTGGTTTTAATTTTCTTTTCTTTTCTTTATCTAGTTTCCTAAGTTGGAAGGCTAAGTTGCTTTTGTTAGATGTCTTTCTTCTTTTCTCTTCTTTTTTTTTTTTTTTTTTTTTTTTGAGACAGGGTCTGGCTCTGTCACCCAGGCTGGAGTGCAGTGGCCCAATCTTTTCTCACTGCAACCTCCGCTTCACAGGCTCAAGTGATCTTCCCGCCTCTGCCTCCCAAGTAGCTGGGAGTACAGGCACGCGCCACCATGCCTGTCTAGTTTTTGGAATTTTTTTTTTTTTTTTTTTTGAGACGAAGTCTTGCTCTGTTGCCCGGGCTGGAGTTCAGTGGCTCACTGCAACCTCTGGCACCTGGGTTTAAGCGATTCTCCTGCCTCAGGCTCTGAAGTAGCTGGGATTACAGGCGCGTGCCACCACGCCCAGCTAATTTTTTGTGTATTTAGTAGAGACGGGGTTTCAGCATCTTGGTCAGGCTGGTCTTGAACTCCTGACCTCGTGATGCACCCACCTTGGCCTCCCAAAGTGCTGGGATTACAGGCGTGAGCCACCGCGCCCGGCCTAGTTTTTGTGTTTTTTTGTAGAGATGGGGGTTTCACCATGTTGCCCAGGCTGGTGTCGAATTCCTGTACTCAAGTGAGTTGGCCTTGGCCTCCCAAAGTGCTGAGATTACAGGTGTGAGCCACCGTGCCCAGCCTCTTTCTTCTTTTCTAGTACATGCATACAATGCTATAAATTTTCTCTAAGCACTGCTTTTGTTGCATTCCACAAATTTTGATAAGTTATGGGGTTTTGTTCTTTTGTTTTTCTTTTTTTGAGACAGAGTATTGTTCTGTCCCCCAGGCTGAAGTGCAGTTGGGGGATCTCAGCTCACTGCAACTTCCGCCTCCCCGGCTCAAGCAATCCTCCCACCTCAGCCGCCTGAGTAGCTGGGACTACGGGTGCGTGCCACCATACCCGGTGTGGCTAATTTTTTGTACTTTTTTTTTTTTTTTGTAGATATGGGGTTTTGCCATGTTGCCCAGGCTGGTTTTTTCTTTTTTAAATTTATTTTTATTTTTAGGGGAGACACGGTCTTACTGTCTCCAGGCTGGAGTGCAGTGGAGCAAACATTGCTCACTGCAGACTTGAACTCCTGGGCTCAAGTGATCCTCTCGCCTTGGCTTTCAGAGTAGTTGTGATTATAGGCATGTGCCACCAAACCTGGCTAATTTTAAATTTTTCTGTAGGGATGAGTTCTTGCTATGTTGCCCAGGCTGATCTCGAATTCCTGGTCTCAAGCGATCCTCCCGCCTCAGCTTCCCAAAGTGCTAGGATTATAGGCGGGAGCCAACCTGCCCGTCCAAGTTCAAAATATTTTGCAATTTCTCTTGGGATTTTTTGTTTTACCCATGTGTTATTTAGAAGTGTGTTGTTTAATCTCTCAAGTTTTTGGGATTTTCCAGCTATCTGTCTTGTTTATTTCTACTTTAATTCCATCATGGTCTAAGAGCATACTTTGTATCTTTTCTATTTTAAAAAGTTTATCGGCTGGGTGTGGTGGCTCATGCCTGTAATCCCAGCACTTTGAGAGGCTGAGGCAGGCTGATCACAAGGTCAGGAGATCGAGACCATCCTGGCTAACACGGTGAAACCCCCTCTCTACTAAAAATACAAAAAAAAAAAGTTTATCATCATCAGGGTGCAGTGGCTCAGGCCTGTAATCCCAGCACTTTGGGAGGCTGAGGCAGGTGGATCACTTGAGGTCAGGAGTTCGAGACCAGCCTGGCCAACATGGTGAAACCCAATCTATATTAAAAATACATACATTAGCTGGGTGTGGTGGCAGGCACCTGTAATCCCAGCTACTCGGGAGGCTGAGGCAGGAGGATCGCTTGAACCCAGAAGATGGAGGTTACAGTGAGCAGAGATCACGCCATTGCACTCCAGCCTGGGTGACAGAGCAAGATACTGTCTCAAAAAAAAAAAAAAAAAAAAAAAAAGTTGACTGGGCACGATGGCTCAGGCCTGTAATCCTACCACTTTGGGAGGCTGAGGCGGGTGGATCACTGAGGTCAAGAGATCAAGACCATCCTGGCCAACATAGTGAAACCCCGTCTGTACTAAAAATGCAAAAATTAGCTGGGTGTGGTGGCACGCACCTGTAGTCCCAGCTACTCAGGAGGCTGAGGCAGGAGAATTGCTTGAACTCAGGAGGCGGAGATTGCAGTGAGCCAAGATTGTGCCACTGCACTCCAGCCTGGTGACAGAGCAAGACTCTGTCTCAAAAAAAAAAAAAGTTTATTAAGATATCGTAATTCCAGCACTTTGCAAAGCCAAGGCAGGCAGATCACTTGAGGTCAGGAGTTTGAGACCAGCCTGGGCAACGTGGTGAAACTGCATCTCTACTAAAAATACAAAAATTAGCCGGGCATGTAATCCTAGCACTTTGGGAGGCCAAGGTGGGTGGATCACCTGAAGTCAGGAGTTCGAGGCCCAGCCTGGCCAACATGGTGAAAGCTTGTCTCTACTAAAAATACAAAAAATTAGCTGGGCATTGTGGCAGGTGCCTGTAATTCCAGCTACTCAGGAGGCTAAGGCAGGAGCAGCGCGTGAACCCAGGAGTTGGAGGTTGCAAGGAGCTGAGATCGCACCACTGCACTCCAGCCTGGGCGACAGAGGGAGGCCATCAAAAAAAAAAAATTATCAAGATGTGTTTTGGCCGGGTGCGGTGGCTCACGCCTGTAATCCCAGCACTTTGAGGCCAAGGTAGGCAGATCACGAGGTCAGGAGATCGAGACCATCCTGGCTAACACGGTGAAACCCCATCTCTACTAAAAATACAAAAAAAAAAAAATTAGCTGGGCATGATGGCAGGTGCCCGTAGTCCCAGCTACTCTGGAGGCTGAGGCAGGAGAATGGCGTGAACCCGGGAGTCAGTGCTTGCAGTGAGCCGTGATCGAGCCACTGCACTCCAGCCTGGGCGACAGAGCGAGACTCCATCTCAAAAAAAAAAAAAAAAAATCCCAATTCTTCTCTCTCATTCCTGTATTATTGCTGTCATTCATTTCACGTATACATCAATATACATAAATGTATGTCTATGTACATAATAAATGCATACATAAGTACATCATTATTATTAGTTTAAACCAACTGTTATCTGTTAGATCAATTAAGGAGAAAAAAAGTAAAAAAGTTTTTGTTTTACTTTTACTTTGTCCTTGTTCAGTGCTCTTTTTTTTTTTTTTTTTTGAGATAGAGTCTCACTCTGTTGCCCAGGCTGGAGTACAGTGGCACGATCTCGGCTCACTGCAACTTTCGTCTCCTGGGTTCAAGCAATTCTCCTACCTCAGCCTCCAGAGTAGCTGGGATTACAGGTGCACGCCACCACACTCAGCTAATTTTTTGCATTTTTAGTAGAGACGGGGTTTCACCATGTTGGCCAGGCTGGTCTCGAACTCCTGACCTCAGGTGATCCACCCACCTCCCAAAGTGCTGGGATTATATAAGTGAGCCACCGCGCCTGGCCGCTCTTTCTGTCTTTATGTAGATTTAAATTTCTGACCTATACCATTGTCCTTCTCTTCAAAGAACCTCTTTTTACCATTTCTTGCAAGGTAGGACCACTGGCAACAAATTCCTTCAATTTCTGTTTGCCACTCTTTTCTTGTTTGCATGGTTTCTGAGAAGTTGGATGTAATTCTTATCTTTGCTCTTCTATAGGTATTATTCTTCTCCTCTGGCTTCTTTCTGGACCCTTCCTTTCCCTTCCCTCCCTTTCCCTCTCCTTTCCCCTTTCTTTCTTCCTTCCCTGCTTCCCTACTTCCCTCCCTCTCTCTTTCTTTCTTTCTCTCTCTCTCTCTCTTTCTTTTTTTCTTTTCTTTCCTTTCTTCATGGTCTTGCTGTGTCACCCAGGCTGGAGTGCAGTGGAGTGTGTGATCATAACTCACTGCAGCCTCAACCTCCCATGCTCAAGGGATCTTCCTGCCTCAGCCTCGTGAGTAGCTGGGACTACAGGTACATGCCACTGCCCTCACATAATTTTTATTTTTATGTTTTATGTATTTTATTTTTATTTTTTAATTTTTTTGTAGAGAGGGAGTCTCCCTATGTTACCCAGGCTGATCTTGAGCTCCTGGGTTCAAGTGATCTTCCCACCTTGGCCTCCCAAAGTGCTGAGGGTTACAGGTGTGAACCACTGTGCCAACCTTTTTTTTTTTTTTTTTTTTAACAGATGGGATCTTGCTTTGATGCCCGGGTTGGAGTGCGGTAGCACAATCATGGCTCATTGTAGCCTTGACCTCTGGGGCTCAAGCGATCCTCCCACCTCAGCTTCCCCTATAGCTGAGACCACAGGCAGGTGCCACCACACCCAGAGAATTATTTTTATTTTTTTTTGTAGAGACAGGGTCTCTCTGTTGCCCAGGTTGTTCTCGAACTCCTGGCCTCAAGTGATCCTCCTGCCTCAGCCTCTCAAAGTGCTGGGATTACAGGCATGAGCCACCGCGCCCGGCTAGGTGTCATTTTGGCATTTATCTGGCTTGATGTTTTCTGACCTTTCTAAATATGTGGTTTGGTTTCTGACATTAATTTTGAAAAATTACAGTCATTGTTGTTTCAAATATGTCTTTTCTTTTGTTACTTTCTCTTTTTCTTCTCCTTCTGCTATTCTCAGTACACGTTGTTACAGCTTTCATAATTTCCCACAGTTCTTGAAGTTCTGTTTCTGTGGGGTTTTTTTAAAGTCTCTTTTCTTTTTGCTTTTTAGTTTTTGAGGTTTCTATTGAAATATCCTCAAGCGCAGAGATTCTTTCCTCGCTGTGTTCAGTGGATTACTGTACCACTAAGTAATCCGCCAAACACATTCTTCATTTCTGTCCTCATGTTTTCCATCTCTAGTATTTCTTTTTGGTTCTTTCGTAGAATTTCCACCTGTCTTACACTGTCCATCTGTTCTTGCATGCTGTTGACTTTATCCATGAAAGCCATCGTATTATTCATCGTTGTTTTAAATTCCTGGTCTAATAATTCTGAATATCTCCCATATCTGAGTCTGCTTATGATGCTTCTTCTGTCTATTCAAACTCTCTTTTTTTGTCTTTTTAGCATGCCTTGTAATTTTCTCTTGATAGCTGGACATAATGTACTGGGTAAAAGAACCTGCTGAAAACAGGCCTTTGTAAAGGGGTGGTAAGGTATGGGGGGAGTGTGGTAAAGGATACTATTGTCCTGTGAATAGGTCGCAGTCTTTCAGTAAGTCTGTGCCTCTGGACTGTGGACTTCACACATGCTGCTAGTCTCCCCACCACCTTTAGGTGGGTCTGGATATGTACAGTGGGTTGGATTGGGGTATTTTCCTCTCCCACAGGGAAGGTTAGAGGGGTCTGGAGTTGGGTACTTCCCTTCTCCCAGCTGAGTTAAGCCCTGATAAAACCCGGAAGCTTAGGCCCTGATTTCTCCTGAGGGCAGACTTTGTTGAGAACAGAATGCTCTGGTGTATTTCAAAATGGTTCCTTTTCCCCTCCCACTGCTGGAAGCATGAAGGAATTTTTCTCCAATATTTACTGTGAAAACCAGGTCAAGCTCCTGGAGGTAAAACTCACAAAGGTGCGGGGGCCTGCCTGTGACTGGGTCATCCTGGAGTTTTTAACTTTCAGGCTTGTCCACACTGAACCTCCTGCACTTTGTCAATTGCAGTTCATGGTTTCCTCTCCAGCACTGGATCCCCCGGAGGTTTCTTGGTCCCCTCCCCTCCCCTCCCTTCCCCTCCCCTCCCCGGCTCACTCTGTAGCCCAGGAGGGAGTGCAGTGGCACGATGTCAGCTCACTGCAACCTCTGCTTCCCGGGTTCAAGTGATTCTCATGCCTTAGCCTCTCAAGTGGCTGGGATTACAGGATTGCGCCACCGCACCTGGCTAATTTTTGTATTTTTAGTAGAGACAGGGTTTTGCCATGTTGGCCAGGCTGGTCTCAAACTCCTGGACTTAAGTGATCCGCCCACCTTGGCCTCCCAAAGTGCTAGGATTATAGGCATGAGCCACCCCGCCTGGCCCCCTCAGAGGCTTCTGCTTGGGTAAATGGTGATTCTCTGTATTCACCTGTCTGTGTCTCCAATTTTGAAGACAGTGGTTTGCCCTGTGACTCCATTTCTCTTATGGATCTAAGAAGCATTGTTGATTTTTCAGCTTGTTTAGCTTTTTACTTATTAACAGGATGGAGTGACAACTTCCAAGCTTCTTACATGCCTGATCCAAAGAACCATTATCTTTCATACAGAAGATTTTATCTTCCACTGGAGAGTGTTCTACTTTTACTCTTTTAGGTTAATAAAGTTAGGAATTGATCACCTCAATACAGTCAGGAACTGAGCTGGATTTAGGATGAGTCTGGCTACCTCTCTTATCCCTGTTCCACAGCCATGATCCTCCTGGGCTTTTGAAGGGGAGCCTGGAAGGTATCTGTCTCTTCAGCTTATAAGCTGTGGGAGATTTTGTTCTGTTGTTTATTTATTTATTTTTATTTATTTATTTGTTTATTTATTTATTTATTTTTGAGATGGAGTCTCACTCTGTCGCCCAGGCTGGAGTGCAGTAGCACAATCTCGGCTCACTGCAACCTCCACCTCCCAGGTTCAAGCGATTCTCCTGTCTTAGCCTCCTATTTTTATTTATTAGAGACAAAGTCTTGTGCTGTGAGCCAGGCTGAAGTGCAGTGGTATGAACATAACTTACTGCAATCTCGAACTCCTGGGCCCCGTTGATCCTCATACCTCAGTCTCCCGAGTAGCCGGGGCTATAGGCGTACACTACCATGCCCAGATAATTTTTTAAAATTGTTTTGTACAGATGGGGTCTTGCTGTGCTGCCCAGGATGGTCTCAGACTCTGGCTTCAAGTGGTTCTCCTGCTTCAGCCTCCCCAAGTGCTGCGACTGCTGGTGTGAGTCACCTCACTCAGCCTCTGCCTTTTAGAGGTTTTGAGCCTCACTCTTTTGCCTCCTGACCATTGTATCTTCAAAATCTGGCAAATGTCCTATGTTTGGGACTTTGTCTACTGAACACTATGAGGCTGCAGAAGATTTCATTCTGCCTTTGAGGAGCTTCTAGGAGCTTCCAGTGCCTCATGACCACCAAAAGCTCTGCTGGTTTCTCTTCTCACCAGGAGAGTCCCTTTGCCTGGACTAGGTTTTTATGCCTAGAATGGGGGAATTGCCTCCAGGAAAAAAATTTGACCAATGATGGTCAGCTCATTCATTCTGGAATTTTTTTTTTTTGAGGGGATTTAAAAAAACATTTTAAAGGTCGGGCACAGTGGCTCACGCCTGTAATCCCAGCACTTTGGAAGGCCGAGTTGGGTGGATCACCTGAGGTCAGGAGTTCGAGACCAGCCTGGCCAACATGGCGAAACCCCATCTCTACTAAAAATACAAAAATTAGCCTAGTGTGGTGGCACACATCTGTAATCCCAGCTACTAGGGAGGCCGAGGCAGGAGAATCGCTTGAACCTGGGAGACGGAGGTTGCAATGAGCCGAGATGATACCACTGCACCCCAACCTGGGTGGCAGAGTGAGACTCTGTCTGAAAAAATTAAAAAAAAATTTTTAATTCATTTCATTCTCGTTGTGTTCACAGCTCTCTGCTGTCTTTAAAAAAGATGATTTTTTTCTGTGGCCAGGTGCGGTGGCTCACGCCTGTAATCCCAGCACTTTGGGAGGCCGAGGCAGGTGGATCATGAGGTCAGGCGTTCCAGACCAGCCTGACCAACATAGTGAAACCCTGTTTCTACTAAAAATACAAAAAATTAGCCAGGCATGATAGCGGGCACTTGTAATCCCAGCTACTCCGGAGGCTGAGGCATGAGAATCGCTTAAACCTGGGAGGTGGAGGCTGCAGTGAGCCTAGATCATACCACTGCACTCCAGCCTGGGCAACAGTGTGAGTCTCTGTCTCAAAAAAAAAAAAAAAGATGATTTTTGCAATTAAAATTTTTTTGTTTTGCAATGGGATCACTGGCCTGCTAAAAACTTCTATATCCTCAAAGGAAACAGAAGTCTTTTTGATCTTTTCCTAAATTTTAATACATTTTATTTTTATTATTTATTCAAAAAAATTTTTTTTTGAGACAGAGTTTCACTCTTGTTGCCCAGGCTGGAGTGCAATGGTGCGATCTCGGCTCACTGCAACCCCTACCTCCTGGGTTCAAGCGATTTTCCTGTCTGAGCCTCCCGAGTAACTGGGATTACAGGCATGCACCACCAGGCCCGGCCAATTTTTGTATTTTTAGGAGACAGGGTTTCACCACGTTGGCCAGGCTTGTCTCGAACTGCCGACTCAGTTGATCCACCTGCCTCTGCCTCCCAAACTGCTGGGATTACAGGTGTGAGCCACCATGCCCAGCCATGTTATTTCTTCAATTTTTTTTTTTTTTTTTTGAGACGGAGTCTTGCTCTGTCACCCAGGTTAGAGTGCAGTAGTGCAATCTCGGCTCACTGCAACCTCCATCTCCCCAGTTCAAGTGATTCTCCCGCCTCAGCTTCCCAAGTAGCTGGGATTACAGGTGTCTGCCACTACGCCTGGCTAATTCTTTTGTATTTTTAGTAGAGACGGGGTTTCGCCATGTTGGTCAGACTGGTCTCAAACTCCTGACCTCAGGTGATCCACCCACGTTGGCCTCCCAAAGTGCTGGGATTACAGGCATGAGCCACCGCGCCCGGCCTTTCTATTTATTTTTATGTGTGTCTTTCTGAAATCTTATTATCTGGGTATTTTTACTTCTACTTGTACCCTCTGCATCTTATAGTTTTTATTTTATATTTTCCTATTTTTTGTATTTTGTTTCTTTCTGGGAAAGTTACTCAAGTTGGTCTGCCAGTTCACTAATGATTTCCTGAGCTGTATTCATTCTATTTATCTCATCTACTTGGACTTGTCAGCACTTCTGGTTGTTGATTTTTTTTTTTTTTGAGACCGAGTCTTGCTCTGTCACCCAGGCTAGAGTAGAGTGGTGCGATCTCGGCTCACTTCAACGTTCGCCTCCCAGGTTCAAGCGATTCTCCTGCCTCAGCCTCCCGAGTAGTGGGACTACAGGCGCGCACCACTGTGCCCAGATAATTTTCATATTTTTAGTGGAGACAGGGTTTCACTATGTTGTCCTGGTTGGTCTCAAACTCCTGACCTCAAATGATCCACCCGCCTCGGCCTCCCAAAGTGCTGGGATTACAGGTTGAGCCACCGTGCCTAGCCAGCACTTCTGGTTTAAATGGCTACCAAGGAATAATCAGACTGTTGTATTCATTTGTTTATGCCTTCATTCATTTATTCATCAAATGTTCAATGAAGACCCATCTTCTGCTTTTGCACGGGGAATTCACTTTCCATCTATACAAAGGAGAATTACCAATTTAAACCTCTAGATTAGACCCACATTTGCATCAGCCAACTTGATGTCTCCACTCTGAGGTATCTCAAATTTACTGCGTGTAAAATTGAACCTGAGATCTTCCCTAATCAGGACTATCTTGGTGGCAAGTGCCAGAACCCCAACCGAAACTGGCTTAAGCCATTATGGAAAGTTATTGGCTCAATTAACCAGTAAGTCCAGGGTCAGGGTGACTTCAGGGTAAAATGATATTGAGAAGACTCGATGTCTGTCTTTCCATCTCTTGCTTCTGGTTTTCTCTCTTCTGACTTCACTCTTAGGCCTACCCTCCTCTCACAGGGGTGAGATATCTGCCAGCAGCTTCAGGCTTACATTCCTCAAGCTCAGCAACTCCCGTGGACAGAGATTTCTCCTGCCCATTAATTCCGTCATCAGCTCCATGGTCAAGTCTTGCTGACTTGGCTTGGGTTGGGTTATATGCCCAGCTATCAGTCAAACATTGTAATTGGGGAAAATAGTATTCTGATGGACCAGATTTGGGTCATGGGCACATATCTGCAGCTGATCATATGTTCTGCTAGCTTTGCAACCCCAGTAGAATGAGACAGGCTCTTTCCAGAGAGCTCCAGCAGATGTCCAAAGGATGACTCTCCTCAGCCTACCTTAGGACTCATGGCCTTTTCCAAATCAATCTAGTGTCCTATTAATAGGCCTGGATGTGGAGTTGCCAGATTTAGCACATAAAAATACAGGACATTTGAATTTCAGATACACAATGAATAAATTTTTTTGGATTAGTATTCCCAAGTATGCATCCTGTGTTTTATCTGGTAACCCTACCTGGGTCATATGTCAACTCAGTGTGGGGGATGAAATCAGCTATACCAAAACCACTTAGTTTGAGTGTGAGAAGAGGTATCATTCCAGAAGGAAAAATGAAGCTGGTGTTTCCAGAAAGAAATGGAGATGATATGCACAAATGATAGTGTACCTATGTATGCTCAGTTCATTGTGACCCACCAGCCTTCCCAGCCTCCTGTATCCTGCCAATATATGTCTGCTTGGTACAGGAAGTAGGTGGAAATCCCTTGATTTTTAGGAATACAGGCTCTCCCCGCAACCCCGGGGGATGAATTATGGTTAAACTACCAATGATAATTGCTTTTCCTGTTGCCAAATACTGAATACAAATATTCCTAGCTTCCTTTGTAGCCAGAGACAACTATGCAACCAGTTCTGGCCAATGAGAGGTAAGGGAAAATTTCCTGGGGAGTTTCTAGGGAAGAGTTTGATTCCCAGATAAAAGACAGAGCCTCTGGAGGAAAGAACTTTTGCCCTTGTCTCTTTCTTCTTCCTTGGAATGCTGGTATGAGCACATATTTGGAGCTGTGGTATACAGCTTTTGATCATGAGATAACAAACAAAAGAGTTAAAAGCCAGCTAAAAATGATGGAGCTGAAGAGTGGGAAGAATTTGAACTAAGTCTGGGACCTCCAACCCCTGGACTTCTTACATAAACAACAAAGAGCTTTATATTTTAGCCTCTGTCCTCTGTTACTTGCAGCCAAATGTAACACATACACCCTATCTGTTACTCAAGCTGATACACCCCTTCCTCCAAGCCCACTTCTCTTCTACTGTCTTTCAGTTCAATGAGTAGCAATACTATCTTTCTTTTCATGCAAACTCAAAACTTCATTCTCATCCTTGGAACCCCCTTTTCTCCCCTAGTCCATCCCCTATTCTGTTAAACTTCCTTCCTCCGTAACTCTGAAATCTGCTCCTTTCTGCATTTCCTTCTCCACTGTCTATTCCTGGCAGCCTCTCTTTCTCTGATAGTCCAATTCGATAGCCTTCTAATCAGTCTTCCTGCCTCTACTCTTTGTCCCCTTGAAATATATTTCCACAGTTATTCTATCAAAATAAAAATCTGGTAATCTCTACATACACACACACATGCACCCGCGCGCGCGCACACACACACACACACACACACACACACACACACTCTTCAGTTACCTCCCATTTCTCTTAGTATAAAGACCAAAGCCTTTTTTTTTTTTTTTTTTTTGAGACAGAGTCTCGCTCTGTCGCCCAGGCTGGAGTGCAGTGGCGCAATATCAACTCACTGCAAGCTCCGCCTCCCGGGTTCACGCCATTCTCCTGCCTCAGCCTCCCCAGCAGCTGGGACTACAGGAGCCCACCACCACACCCAGCTAATTTTTTTGTATTTTTAGTAGAGACGGGGTTTCATCGTGTTAGCCAGGATGGTCTTGATCTCCTGACCTTGTAATCCACCCGCCTCTGCCTCCCAAAGTGCTGGGATTACACCACGCCCGGCCTCTTGCTTCTATTCTTCATGATAGATTTGTGCAGTTTCAAGTCAATCTCAGAGATCATTTGGCTGTCTATGAAATCCCCAAAAAGAATGTCAGGAGAGAGATCTGACTGGTCTTTCATGGGTCAGAGTGACCACTCTTACTGGGTAGGCAACTATAGGCTTTTGGGCTGGAAAGTTTGGAGGAAAGGTGACTGCTGTGGGCCCCATTCTGGGTCGGAAGGGATTGATCTTGGGGACAGCCCTTGGAGAGCTGGCCAGAGAGCAGAGGAGAGCCATTTCCTACAGGGCTGTGAAGGGATAGAATGGAAGGGCCAACCCCTAAGATGTGCCTCACTCCTGTTACTGTGTCTTGCTATTAATTGGAATGGCAATATGTTCTCAACATGAGTGACTAGACTTCTGTTGTTTCTGCTGTTCAGCATTACTTCTTGTGTTAACTCCATCCAGTTTTTCTTTATAGAGAGCACCCTTAGTCCACATAGTTGGGAGTGCTGACTCCTCCAGGAGCGGGCCTCTGACCCAGGCTTAAGTGAATGGCATATCCCGTGAGTTTAGTTTCAGTAACTCGTTGAAGGACAGGCTCATGATCCAATGTGATCCAGTGAGATTTAGACCTGGGACTTTGTTCACATTGTTGGAGGAGAGAAGATCTCTTTCTTTTCTGTGAGCCTTCCAGTTGTCAGGCTGTGAGTCTGGAGGTGCTGGGGTCATCCTGTAGAAAGACCTTTCCAAAAGGACAGCCAACAAACAGGGGAGCAGGGTAGAGATGGAGAGAGACAGACAGACAGACATTAAGATCACCGGGACACTGCTTGAACCTTGCATCGAGCCACATCTGAAGATCATTTTTTAATTTTCAGTCCCATGAACCAATACACCCTCTCCTGCTTTAAACTTTTAAGCCAGTTTTATTTTTATTTTTATTTTTAATCATTTATTATCAAAAGTGTGCTGATTTGGCTGGGTACAGTGGCTCATGCTGTAATCCCAGCACTTTGGGAGGCCGAGGCAGGCGGATCACTTGAGGTCAGGAGTTCAAGACCAGCCTGGCTAACGTGGTGAAACCCCAACTCTACTAAAAATTCAAAAAATTAGCCAGGCGTGGTGGCACATGCCTGTAGTCCCACCTACTCGGGAAGCTGAGGCAGGAGAATTGCTTGAACCCAGGAGGTAAAGGTTGCAGTGAGCTGAGATTGTGCCACTGCACTCTAGTAGCCTGGGCGACAGAGTGAGACCCTGTCTCCAAAAAAAAAAAAAAGGTGCTGACTCAGTCTGAGGGGATTGATAAAACAGTAAGCAGCCACTGGAATACTCTGAGGTTATGGAAAGGAGACAGAAATACAAAATTTACACTTTTGACACATTTAAAGAGGGACAGGCTGGGTGTGGTGGCTCATACCTGTAGTCCCAGCACTTTGGGAGGCTGTATTAGTCCGTTCTCATGCTGTTCATAAAGACATACCCAAGACTGGGTAATTTATAAAGGAAAGAAGTTTAATTGACTCGCAGTTCCACATGGCTGGGGATGCCTCAAAATCATGGCAGAAGGGGAATAAGGAGCAAAGTCATGTCTTACATGGTGGCAGACAAGAGAGCTTGTGCAGAGTAACTCCCATTTATAAAACCATCAGATCTTGTGAGACTTATTCACTACCACGAGAACAATACTGGGGAAACTGCCCCCATGATTCAATTATCTCCACCTGGCCTCACCCTCCACATGTGGGAATTATTATAATTCAAGGTGAGATTTGGGTGGGGACGCAGCCAAACCATATCAGAGGCCAAGGCTGGAGAATCACTTGAGCCCAGGAGTTCGAGACCAGCCTCGACAACATAGGGAGACTCTGTGTCTATGTTTTTTTTTTTTTTAATAAAGAGGGACAGGAATGAAGGCCTTGTTGGTCAACTACCCCTTGTTCTTCATCCTTGCTCATGGTCTTGTCAAAGAGTTGGACCATTATGGGACTGTCCCTCTTTAGTGGGGTGGACGGGTTAGGACATTGGGGCCATCTTAGAGGTCCCTAAAACCAGGAATTGGGGAGCCAGCAGCAGCCAGCATCCAAGGCTGGCTCTGAGGAGCACCGTCCAGTGCATCTGTGGTTTTCCACACTGGCAGGGGGAACTCAGGACACTTGTGCCCTGGCCCTAAGAATTATCCTTCCATTGGCACCAACAGGTAGGGCCAAGAAGACTATCCTGTGTTTTTGTTTGTTTGTTTGTTTTTTTTGAGATGGAGTCTCGCTCCGTAGCCCAGGTTGGAGTGCAATGATGTGATCTCGGTTCATTGCAACCTCCGCCTCCCAGGTTCAAGCCATTCTCCTGCCTCAGCTTCCTGAGTAGCTGGGATTACAGGTGCCAGCCACCATGCCCAGCTAATTTTTAGTAGAGACGGGGTTTCACCATGTTGGTCAGGCTGGTCTCAAACTCCTGACCTCAGGTGATCCACCTGCCTCAGCATCCCAAAGTGCTGGGATTACAGGCATGAGCTACCACTCCCAGCCGGCTATCCTGTATTTTCTCATTGATCAAGTCACCCCAGTAAATGGTTTGCATAGCTGAGGCATTCAGAGTGCTTCGCTGTACAGGGCAATCACTGTTCATACGGATGTGGGGAAATCGGAACCCTTGCACACTGTTGGTTAGGAATGAGAAATGGTATAGCCACTGTAAATCTCACTTCTGGGCATTTATCCAGAAGACTTCAAATAAGATCTCAGAGATATATTAGCACTTCTATGTTTATTCATAATAGTCAAGATGTGGAGACAGACTAAATGTCCACCAACAGATGAATGAAGAAAATGCTTTGTATACATACAATGGAATCTTATCCAGCCTTAAAATAGAAGGAAATTCTTCAACATGTGACAACATGGATGAACTTTGAGGAAATTATGCTAAGTGAACTAAGCCAGTCACAGAAAGACAAACACTGCATGATTTCAGTGACATGAAGTTTCTAAAATAGTCAAATTTGACTGGGCATGTGGCTCACAACTGTAATCCCAACACTTTGGGAGGCTGAGGCAGGAGGATTGCTTGAGGCAGGGGGTTCGAAACCAGCCTGGGCAAGATAGTGAGGAGACACCCATCTCAACAAAAAAATTAAAAAATTAGTCAGGTGTGGTAGTGGGTGCCTGTAGTCCTAGTTATTTGGGAGGCTGAGGCGGAAGAATCCCTTGAGACCAGGAATTCGAGGTTACAGAGAGCTATGATTGTGCCATGGCACTCCAGCCTGGATAACACAGCAAGATCCTGAATCTAAAAAAAAATTTTTTTAAAAATTCAAATTCATAGAATCAAACTGTGGAAGGGTGGTTGATAGGAGCTGGGGAAAGGAGGAAAGAGGGGTTACTAATCAATGAGCATAGAGTTTTTTTTGTTTTTGAGATGGAGTCTGGCTCTGTCGCCCAGGCTGGAGTGCAGTGGCACGATCTCGGCTCACTGCAAGCTCTGCCTCCCAGGTTCACGCCATTCTCCTGCCTCAGCCTCCCGAGTAGCTGGGACTACAGGCGCCCGCCACCACGCCCAGCTAATTTTTTGTATTTTTAGTAGAGATGGGGTTTCATCATGTTAGCCAGGATGGTCTCGATCTCCTGACCTTGTGATCCGCCCACCTCGGCCTCCCAAAATGCTGGGATTACAGGCGTGAGCCACTGCGCCCGGCCTAGTTTTTTTTTTTTTTTTGAGACGGAGTCTCATTCTGTTACCTAGGCTGGAGTGCAGTGGCACAATCTTGGCTCACTGTAACCTCTGCCTCCCGGGTTCAAGCAATTCTCCTGCCTCAGCTTCCTGGGTAGCTGGGACTACAGGCGTGTGCCACCATGCCTGGCTAATTTTTGTATTTTTAGTAGAGATGGGGGTTTCACCATGTTGGTCAGCCTCGTCTCAAACTCCTGATCTCAGTTGATCCGCCC
Source organism: Homo sapiens (assembly GCF_000001405.40). NCBI lineage: Eukaryota > Metazoa > Chordata > Mammalia > Primates > Hominidae > Homo > Homo sapiens. The sequence goes on along the minus strand of NC_000011.10, from coordinate 63,774,186 downwards.
TTTTTAGCCTCCCAAAGTGCTGGGATTATGGGCGTGATCTACTGCGCCTGGCCAATGAGCATAAAGTTTTAGTTAAATAAGATGAATAGGCTGTAGAGATCTGCTGTAGAACCTAGTGCCTATGGTCAACAATAGTGCACTGTACATTTAAAAGCTTGTTTAGAGGATAGATTTCATGTTAAGTGTTCTTACAATTTTAAAAAGAAAGAAGCCGGGCGTAGTGGCTCATGCTTGTAATCCCAGAACTTTGGGAGGTCGAGGTGGGAGGATCGCCTGAGCTCAGGAATTTGAGACCAGCATGGGCAACATGGTGACACCTCATGTCTGCAAAAATACAAACATTAGGTCAGGGGCAGTGGCTCACGCCTGTAATTCCAGCACTTTGGGAGGCCAAGACAGGTGGATCACGAGGTCAGGAATTCAATATCAGCCTGGCCAAGATGGTGAAACCCCGTCTCTATTAAAAATACAAAAATTAGGCCAGGCGCGGTTGCTCACGCCTGTAATCCCAGCACTTTGGGGGGCCAAGGAGGGCAGATCACCTGAAGTCAGGAGTTCGAGACCAGCCTGGCCAACATGGTGAAACCCCGTCTCTACTAAAAATACAAAAATTAGCTGGGTGTGGTAGCGGGCGCCTGTAATCCCAGCTACTCGGGAGGCTGAGGCGGGAGAATCGCTTGAACCCGGGAGGCAGAGGTTGCAGTGAGCCATTGAACTCCAGCCTGAGCGACAAGACCAAAACTCCATCTCAAAAAAATAAATAAATTAATTAAATTAAATAAAATTCCACACTCTCTCCCCTCAACACACACATTCAAAGCTCAAGGTTTTGGCTTAGACCTGGATATAATCCTTAAGTTTGAAATTCCTTTGGGATTTTACAAGGGATGATTTAATTTACAATCTACATAGAAAGTTCCTTTAACATTACAGCCTATATGACCGATCTTAGTTTTTTGAAGGAGTTTGGGTCTGCTCTCTGGAGAATGTTGAAGGCTACTTTTAGAACCAGGATTTGTTTTTTTTTAGTTCTGAGATATCCTGAAAAGTAGAATCCAGAATTTGTCACAAAGTTGGGTCTAGGGAGGTTAATGTTTTACCTCCTTAAAAACCTTCCTTTGGGAACACAATTCACAGTTCCTCTGTTTTTGTTGTCAGTGGCCCTCCTTTTAACGGGACCTGCCCAAGGAGCCACTGAAGCACTAGGAGAAGGCTGCCCCACTGGGGGACGCTGGCCCTTGAAGGCTGGGACCAACAACCTTAGAAGTTCTAGGGCTGGCTGGAGACACCACACAGGGGACTAAGTGAATCTGAGTTAGAGAATGGAAGAGGTAAGGTGTAAAAATCAGGAGTTCTGGGTTTGAAATGGGCTCCAAAGTTCTCAGGTTGTGACCTCATTTTCTTTTCTTTTTTTTTGAGACGGAGTTTCACTCTTGTTGCCCAGGCTAATGGCACAATCGCAGCTCACTGCAACCTCCACCTCCCAGGTTCGAGTGATTCTCCTGCCTCAGCCTCCCGAGTAGCTGGGATTACAGGCCCGCGCCACCACGCCCAGCTAATTTTTGTATTTTTAGTAGTGATGGGGTTTCACTATGTTGGTCAGGCTGGTCTCGAACTCCCAACCTCAGGTGATCCACCCACCTCAGCCTCCCAAAGTGCTGTAATAGGTGTGAACCACTGCGCCCAGCCTGTAACCTCATTTTCTACTTCCAAATCTACTTTTCTTTTTATAGCCCCATCCTCTCAATCCAGATACTTGGGAGTTAGCAGGGCCTTTCCCGGATCATCACATTCAAGCAGACACCATGTCCTGTAATTCTATCTTCTTGATATGCTCAAGCTAGAACCACTACTAGCCCTCAACACTCCTGACCCCTGCCCCAGGCATAAGCAACTTTTAGGTATATCACTTAGGTAAGAAATAGCCCCTTGGTGAGAAGAGGTATCCTTTTTCCTGGCTTTGCTGGTATTCATCCTCCGGTCGCCTCCCCTTCCTCCTCCTCCTTCTTGCCCTCCTCCTTCTCCTTCTTCCCCTCCTCCTCCTCCTCCTTCTCTTCACTCAGCTGGTATTCATCCTCCAGTTGCCTCCTCCTCCTCCTTCTCTTCACTCAGCTGGTATTCATCCTCCAGTTGCCTCCTCCTCCTCCTTCTCTTCACTCAGCTGGTATTCATCCTCCAGTTGCCTCCTCCTCCTCCTCCTCCTTCTCCTCCTCCTCACTCAGCTGGTATTCATCCTCCAGTTGCCACCTCCTCCTCCTCCTCCTTCTCCTCCTCCTCCTCCTCCTTCTCCTCCTCCTCCTCACTCAGCTGGTATTCATCCTCCAGTTGCCACCACCTCTTCCTTCTCTTCCTCCTCAATGCAGTGAAGTTTACACCATGATGTGCTGTGGCCCTGCTCAAATCTTTTGCCTCCTCTCCATTGGCCCTGGGGCTGCTGCCTTGACATGGGTCTTTGTTGCTGTCCCTCTCCCCAGCGTTCTCCCAGCTGCCTCCATAATTGTCCACAATTCCCAGCATTCCCAGTGCCTTCAGGACAAACTGAGACTCTCCATGTGGCACCTAAGGCTCTAGTCCCTGCCAATTTCTATTTCCTCTTCTCCCTCTCCCACCTGAAACCCTCCTTCATCCAGAATTTTCCCAGCCTCTGCCAGGAAACCCTTGTTCCCTTTCTCCTTCTGGCAATACCCTGGTCTTTCTAGTTTTGGTTTAAACAATGCCCTCTTTAGGAAGTCTTCCCCAGTTGGGTGACCCTTCCTGGGGCTTCCCTTTTCCTTGGTGCTTATCACCCTCTACTGCAATCAGTGCCAGGGACCCAGGGCACCGAGGCACTGGTGCCTAGAGTGCAAGGTACTTTTAGGGGCTCATGAAAATGTTTTATTTTAAAATTAGATGAAAAAAATGTAAGGGTCAAAGACAATTTTTTTTCTCACATCAAAAAAATAAATGCGTAGGGCCCATGAAAATCTACTGAATTATTTAAATTTTTATTTTTTTTTTAAATAGAGGAAGATACCTCATGAAGACAAAAGCACCTAAGGCCTGAGAAAGTGAGAATGTGGCCCTGACTCACTGCCATTGGTTTCCCCTTCCCCCAGTGGGGTTGGGGGGTACCCCCCCACTGCATTATGTTATTCTTAAGTCTCTGCACCCCCAGCCCTGTTCTCATCACTTATGACTGCTTTCTGAACAAGAAAAGAAGTGCAGAAATAAATGAATGGCCTTGCGCAAGGCTCTTGACTCTCTGAGTCTCCATTTCTTCATCCCGACAACAAAGTTCCAGCTTCACGGGGCTGCTGCGGGGATCAAGTAGTGAGTGGGAAACTTTTAGAACTGTCAAGCGTGCAGCCGTTCCTGAGGTCGTGCAGAATGTGGGTGGGAAGGGGAGGGCAGAGGTTGTTGAAGGTGGCTCCAGGTGGCTTTGATACCTTTCTTCTGGTAATAAAATTACCCTTTTTATACACACAGAGCACTGGCAGGACAGACACCAGAGTCTCACAGGGGCTGGCCCTCAGCATTGGTTCTCTGTGGAGTGAGCAACTAAACTAGAATAAAGCACAAGGGCCCTTGGCCCCAGAAGAACAGGCTTCTTTCATTTTAGGACATTAGGCTCTTTTAGCTTCTTTTCCTTTCTTTTCTTTCTTTCTTTTTCTTTTTTTTTTTTTTTTAAACCATACTACTTAGAAGTGCGTGAAGCCCAGGTCTCTGTCTCACTTTCCCTTTGTGTTCCCGGGCCTGGCACAGATGAGGGACATAATGAATTAAGGAATCTCCCATCTCAGGGCCTGCGTGGCACCCATCAGCATCAGGGCCTCTGACCCCAGTGGGTGAGAGGAAGTGCAACCCCCCCCCGCCCCCCTGAGCGCAGGGCCTGCCGCGAAGAGAGCAGAGCTGTGAAAGGAGACTCAGTTTACCCAAGGTGGAGTCTCAAGCACGTCAACATGGGGGCTGAGGAAGAGACGGGACATCTCCGCGGCGACAGAGCCCAGAGGCACTTAAGAAATCTTAGTTCTTGTCCCCTCCTCATAAGCACTTCGGGGACAGGTTTCCTGTGTTCCAAGTAATTTAATTCCCATGGCTCCCGAAAGGCTGGAGCGGTTTCCTTTTCAGAGGCTGTGGGTGCCTCTGAGAAGGAAAGTCACAGGCAGTATCGGTCTTGCCCATGTTTTTCAGTGCTGTGTGTCCAGCGTCTGAAAGCATGCGGGCACACAGTAGGTGGTGACAAGCGGACGAACTGCCATCGGCGACAGCTGGGTAACTCGCCAGTGCAGGGAACAAAACCCGCCTCCAGATAAGAAGACCCTGCAGGCCTCCCGCACCCTGTAATTTGGATCTCCAGGAATCGCCTTTGTTGTGGGCGCCCAACCTCAGGCAAAGCGAGCACCTGCTCCTCCCGCCGGTCCTCGCAGGAGGACCCCAGGCTGCTGCGCCCCGGCTGCCTCTCCGGGTCCCTGCGCTCCGCTTCTCCGGAGCTGGGGGACCGGGGGCGCCCCGGGACCCGCAGCCAGGGTCCGCCCAGCGCTTCCGAGCCGTGGTAACGCGCCTCCCCAGGTGCCCGACACCCCGCCCGGGGCCAGCATTTTTCGCTTCCTAGGGCCGGGCCGGGGGTCTGGGGCTGCGTCAAGGGCCTCGTCAGGCACCCCCAGGCCTGCGGGGGCAGGATCCTGAGTCACCGCCGCGCACGCCCTCTCCTCCCGGCTTCCATCCTGGGGCCACCTCCAGCCCGCAGGGTCGGGCCCCGGCGCAGCCGGCTCTCTGCGGGTCTGCTGTGCGCCCCTCTCCCCAGCCCGAGTCACTGCGGCCGCCGCCCCCACCCCTGGCTGGCTCGGGGGAGCCTCGCTTGTCCGCCCCTCCCATGAGAAGCCCGAGCTCTCAGCGCTCCCGGGCGGCTCCCGCGGGAGGGGGCGCGGCCGCCCCCACGGCTCCACCCTCTCGGCGGGGCCGCAGCCATCTGGGGCCCCTGCCAGTAGCGGCCGCTCCGGGGCCCGCACGGAGCTCGCGACCCGCTTGCGCGGCGGGAGGCAGCCCCGGGCAGGGACCCCGGCCTCCTCAGCGGGCGCTCCCGGCGCTGAGATGCCCCGAGGGGGCGGTGGCCGCGAGCCGAGCCCGGGTGGAAGCGCGTCGCAGCGGACGCGGGCGCCCCTCGCCACCTCAGTGACCCTTTGGGAGCCGGGACCGGAGCCCCGCAGGCGGCGGTGCGGGCCCGCGGGGGCGGCGAGGTCCGTGCCCCTAGCGTCCGGAGCGGGCGCAGGCTGCTGAGCCTCGGCTGGGCTCGTTGCCTCCCGCCTTTCCCCCCAGCCCCCCGCGAGCTGGCAGGAGGAAATAGCGCGCGGCCCCTTTAAATTTACCCAGGAGCCCTTAAAGGAGCCCCAGGGGCCCCAGACAGGAATCCCCACCCCGGTCCAGCCCGCGCCGCCGAGCGAGCAGCCTGCCGTCCGTGCGGCCGGCCGCCCCGTGCATGCGCCCCGCGCCCCGGGGCCCCGCGCAGCGAGCGCTCCGCGCGGGCTGCCGCCGGCCCCGCGGCCCCGCGCCCCGCCGCCCCGGGGCCCCGCTCCGCAGCGCAGCGCATGGAGCCCGGCGGGGACCACCGGAGCCGGAGCAGCGGCGGCAGGGGCGGCCCCGGGCCAGCAGTGGCCTCGGCACGGGGCCGACGGCTGCCGCCCGCCGGATCGAGCGGCAGCGCGGAGCCAGAGGAAGACGAAGGCGGTAAGAGCTGGGGCCGGCGGCCCGGGCGGGGGCCCCGGCGTGGGGGAAGGGAGGGCTGCGGCTCGGGGCCCCTCTCCGCCGCCGAACAAAGCGGGGGACGCGGGCAGGGCGGCCGGGGGCGCCACCTGGTGGGCGCGGAGCGCGGCTGCAGGGCTGGCGGGGGAGCCCCCCGCCCAGCTCCCGGGGTCGGCTCGCGGGGCTCGGGCGGCTCGCCTCCCCCTTAAAGGGCCCCGCTGCCGCCCGCAGCGCCCCGCCTTGGGGGCCAGGCCCGAGGGGCCCCACGGGGCAGGGCGCCACGGAGCGAGGCTGGACTTTGGCCCCCGCCCCTTTCTCTTTCAGACTCCCAGGTGGTCTCCCTAATCGGGCTTTCTCTCAAAAGTCCGCCCAGACCCTGGGTCCCCTTCGGGGGCTTTTCCCCAGCGGAGCTGAGCTCAGCTCCGAACTCTGCTGTTTTAAATCGGGCTGCTCCTCTCGTCTCGTGGCCTTGTGAGAGACATGCACCCTTTTTCTTTTCTCCCACATTCTCCCTAGGAAAGTGCATCGCTTGCGCCCCGGGGGCCCACACCATCTTTTCCCACCGCGGGCAGTTTTTAAAGCGATGGGTTCGCCCACAAAGGCAGGCACCCCTCCGGCCGGTGCATTCTCCCTTCCCTTCTTTTCAGAATTTTTTTTTGCCCTAATTTGTCAGCTCTAGCGGAACCAACCAGTCCTCCTCGTTCGCTCTCAAAGGAGACTGTTGACTCATTTCCCGGCTGCAGGGTCACGCCTTAAGACCCTTGAGGGTTTCCTCCAGGCCAGGGAGACTCTGCCCGAATCTCCAGGCTCCCCTCCCGGTCTCTCCCCTCCCAGAAACGCCCCATCCCCTTTTGTTTTTAAAGAACCTCGGCTCCTCCCCCTTTTTCGGCTCTTAAAGGGCCAATCCACCTTAGACTAGCCTGGATCCAGCGCTGGAAGGATGCTTAGAGACCAGCCAGCTAGCCAGTGTCGTTGCAGACAAAGAAGCTCAGGCCCAGAGTGCGGACATGACCTATCAAAGGTCACAGAGCAAGTTACCAGTGAAGCCAGGACTTGAACCCAGGCCTATGACTCCGAAGCCAGTGGATTCTATGGATCTACTTAAATAAAAACTAAAACAAAAAAACTTCCACAAGGGTGACAGGAGCCCTTTCTGATCCTGTCTTTTGTTTTCCCAACCCTGTGATTCTCCACTGGGAGAATGACCAGAACCTGCCTGTGTGCCCAGGAGACCATTTTTCTAAATCAAGAGGGGTGGGAACTGTAGGGAGGGTAGGGGACTGCTCTGGGTGGGTGTCTGGCACAGGGAACACCATTGGGTTAGTGGGGCCTCTCCAGTGCCCGCCCTTCTGACTGCTGGGCAGTGGCCGGCTCCCTGCCAGAGCAGCAAATAAAGCCCCAGAAAGACTTAATGGGCTTCAGTGGATGGTGGCCACTCCCTGCCGCAGTGTCATTAGTTGTCACTCTGGTGGCCCTCCTGCCATCCCTTTACAGGGTCATTGGCTCCTCCAGAATCTGGAGAAGTTTCAGTCTCAGAAACTCCTTTCCCTGGAGATGTTGGCAGCTTTGTCTTGGGGATCCCTCCCATGTGGGGGCCTAGATTTGGGGAACTGACAATGCCTAGCCCATCCCCAAAATGGGAGTCTCAGGAAGCTATATTTGAAGCATTACTGGAAAAAGGGAGAAGACCTGTGGGTGGGGCCCTCCTGGCGGGGGCCCCAGGTGGGTGGGTCCCGTGTGCAGCCCTGGCTGTAGACAGATGCCCCCTTTGTTTGTCTGGCCCCACTGCCTGCTCTGCTCCAGCTGGAACCGCCCTGGCCTGCTGCTCTCCTGGCTTTCTCCCTACGGCTCTTGTCCAGAAAGGGCACCTTACAGAGCTGGTTGGCTCCTTGGCCCTCACCTTATTTTTTAAAAAGTCAGAGCTATTTCCACAGTGCCCTGCGTCCTTTTGTTCTTGATCTCCTCTTAAAGGGTCCTTGCCCTTTGTAAAGGGCTAATGTTTTGGCTCCCACTTCTACCATCCCTTTTATTGCTGTTGCCGTCCCTTTCCTGCCCCGGAACACCCCCTCCCCCAGCTCCCTTTCTCAGGGCTCACCATCAAAGCCCTCGCCTCTTTCCCTGGAAATCAGAGATTGAAAAACTGTCTCCCTTTCCCCTTCTTCAGGGCAAGATCTTCAGCTGGAAGGGGGTGCCTTGGGGTCCTGGGGGAGTGCCCCCCTGCCCTCCTCCAGGGCCAGGGGACCAGCATCTTCAGGCAGGAAATATTCAGACCACTGTGAGGCCCGGGCCTCGAGGCCTGGAAAGAGCCGCATCCCTGGCCGTGACCACCGGCGCTACTACCACGACCACTGGCGGCTGGAGTACCTGATGGACTTCAACCCTGCCCGGCACGGCATGGTGTGCATGGTGTGCGGCAGCTCCCTGGCCACCCTCAAGCTCAGCACCATCAAGCGCCACATCCGCCAAAAGCACCCCTACTCCTTGCATTGGAGTCCCCGGGAGAAGGAAGTCATCAGCAACAGCTGGGATGCACACCTGGGGCTGGGGGCCTGCGGAGAGGCCGAGGGCCTGGGGGTCCAGGGGGCTGAGGAGGAGGAGGAGGAGGAAGAAGAGGAGGAGGAGGAGGGGGCCGGTGTCCCAGCTTGCCCGCCCAAGGGCCCAGGTAATGCAAATGCAGATTCTGTACAGGCAGGGGCCTGGGTGGCCAGTGGGGCACAGTGGGCCAGCTGCTCTGCCAAGGAGCTGGTGTTCTTGAGCAAGGCACTGCTCCTCCTCTGGGTGGGGTCTGTTTATTGCCCTTATTATACAAAGGTGGGGGAAGGACAGTGGGGTGAGAGGGTCTCCGATGTCCATGACAGCTTGTACATTCTGTGGTTTTTGAAGTATCAAGGAGAGAAGTTGGGTGACAGGCAGTGGAAAGGCTTGGAGCAGGGAGGCCTGGCTGGGGTGGGTGAGGGAAGGGGAGGGTGCTGGAGAGGTGTGGCTGACGGTGAAGGCCAGGGACAGGGCTAGATTCCAGTCTGGGGGAGGTGTGGGTGGTGCTTGAAATGCTAGCAGAGGAGGGTTTAGGGAGTTAGGATTTCAGGAGAGAGGAAGAGAAGGGCAAAGGTTAGGCCTGGGGCCCAAGTGAGTGAGAGGCTTGTGGGAGACCTGGCTGTAGTGGGTATGCTCCCGTGGGGCCAGCGTCTCAGTTCCTTCCCTCCAACCCTTTCAGGCAAAGCCCCAGCTGGTGGGGGCTGCCGGCGCCAGCGGCGAGGGGGCCCAGTGGCACCCCGGGCTCGGCGTCTGCGCCTCTCAGCCTCCCGGAGGGCCGGGGGCAGCAGGGGGCTGGGGGCCCGGCGCCTGGAGAGGAGGCTGAAGGAGTCCCTGCAGAACTGGTTCCGGGCCGAGTGTCTCATGGACTATGACCCGCGGGGGAACCGGCTGGTGTGCATGGCCTGTGGCCGGGCACTGCCCAGCCTGCACCTGGACGACATCCGTGCCCACGTGCTGGAGGTGCACCCTGGCTCCCTGGGGCTCAGCGGCCCCCAGCGCAGTGCCCTGCTGCAGGCCTGGGGGGGCCAGCCCGAGGCGCTGTCTGAGCTCACCCAGTCCCCACCAGGTGCGAGGCCCATCCCAGGCTGAGACCCCCTCATACTGGGGCTCTGAAGTGGGGTCTGTGGCCAAAACTGGGAGGCAGGGACTTAGGGCTGAGGGCTGAAGGCCAGGAGCTGGTGCTCCACACACATACTTTCCCCCTGCCCCCAGACAGAGACAGACTGGGGCCTCTAGCTTGGGGCTGGGGTGAGGAGCCAGGATGGACCCCTCTGAGTGGGCAAGGGCAACCCAGCCAGCAGGCTGAGCCCCTCTCCCTCACCCCTTCCCCAACAGGCGATGACCTCGCCCCCCAGGACCTGACCGGAAAGAGCCGGGACTCGGCCTCCGCTGCTGGAGCCCCCTCCTCTCAGGATCTCAGCCCCCCAGACGTAAAGGAAGAGGCTGGCTGGGTCCCTGAGAGGCCCGGGCCCGCAGAGGAGGAGGAGGAGCTGGAGGAGGGCGAGGGCGAGAGGGCGGGGGTCCCGGGCCGGTCGCCGCGGGGCCGCGCCCACCGCCGCCACCCCCAGGAGCGCTGGCGGCTGGAGTACCTCATGGAGTTGGACGGCGGCCGGCGCGGCCTGGTGTGCGGGGTGTGCGGGGGCGCGCTGGCCTCGCTCAAGATGAGCACCATCGAGCGCCACATCCGCCGGCGCCACCCGGGCTCCACGCGCCTCGGCGGGCCTGTCCAGGCCCTCATCGCCCGGGAGTGGAGCGAGAAGGCCGCCCACCTGCTGGCCCTGGGGCCGCCCCGCCCCGAGTCCCCCCAGGGCCCCATCCCCCCCGGCACTGCCGCAGCCTCCGACGAGGGGGGAGGGGACGAGGAGGAGGAGCCAGAGGAGGAGGAGGAGGAGTGGGGTGAGCGGTGGGGCCAGAGCAGGCGGAGAGGGAGAGCCGGGCAGTTGCTGGGGCAGAAGGGACTGGAGGATGGGATAGAAGGGCAAAGATGGGGTGACTGGAGATGAGACGCGGGGCCCAGCCCGCTGCCCCCCGCCGTCGCCAATGCGGTCCTTTGTCCCTCCTTAGGCGACGTTCCGCTGTCCCCTGGAGCTCCCTTGGAGCGGCCCGCCGAAGAAGAGGAGGACGAAGAGGACGGCCAGGAGCCTGGGGGACTCGCCTTGCCGCCGCCGCCTCCTCCCCCGCCTCCGCCCCCGCCCCGCAGCCGGGAGCAGCGGCGGAACTACCAGCCGCGGTGGCGGGGCGAGTACCTGATGGACTACGACGGCAGCCGGCGCGGCCTGGTGTGTATGGTGTGCGGGGGCGCGCTGGCCACGCTCAAGGTGAGCACCATCAAGCGCCACATCCTGCAGGTGCACCCCTTCTCCATGGACTTCACGCCTGAGGAGCGCCAGACTATCCTGGAGGCCTACGAGGAGGCGGCGCTGCGCTGCTACGGCCACGAGGGCTTCGGGCCGCCCGCCCCGGCGCCGCGTGACGGCGGCGCGGACCTCAAGTCTGGCGCTGTGTGTCGGGCGTAGCGGCCTAGCGGGCCCCCGGGTCAGGTCGGGTCGGGTCGGATCGGCCCCGCCCCGCCCTGTGCTCGCCCGGCCCTTCGGCTGGGAGACCCTCGCGTCCGGTGTTAGCGCTTCCCGCGGCCGCGCCCCCCGCTGGCCGGGCCGGGCGGAGACGGGGGATCGGGTGGGGCCACCGGCGTCTGCGCGGTGCCACTTGGGTCCCTGAGCCAGTCGGTGCGCTGCGGGAAGCGCACTCTCCCATCGGCCCGGAGCCCTGCCCTCCCCGCGCAGGGCCCACGTTTTCCGAGAATCCTCAGTGGCCTCCACGTGTTAGCGCCGAGCGCTCCCGGCCGCACCCCGCGAGGGGGTTCTCCGCAGGCCGGGACTGGGGGCGCCGTCAGTCAGTATTAGGGCCGAAGGGGGGCCGTGCGGGCTCTGGCTCTGGCCCTGGCTGGGGGCCCAGTTCCCTGCAGCCTTGCACGCTGGCAGGCACGGCTCCCGGCTTGGGGGCTGCTGGCTGCCCTTCCCTAATTGGGATTCTCGGCCTCTCGGAGGCCCCGGCTGCGGACTGGGGCTTCCAGCGGGAGGCTGGGCCGCAGGGCTCGGGAGCCTTCCCGGGGTGGGAAGGCGCGTTGGACCGAGGGCGGGGCTACGCGCCCGGGGCCCGGGCTGGACCAGCTGCGCTTACCTCCCCGGCAGGCTCAGTGAGAACCGTGCGCCCGGCGGCCCCACTCTCCTCCCAGGCCGCTGCCACGCCCTCCAGGAAAGCTCTTGTAAAGGGATTAGCACTTTTTTCCTTTGCTCCTCTTGCCCCGAGGGTCTCTGCTTACCCCTAAACCAAGTCCGTGGGAGCCCGGGGCACAGGCGGTCCCGGCAGTCAGCCTTCGATTCCCGCCCCATCCCCATCCCCCTTTGTCCGCGGTGGATGCGGCGTCCGTTCTCAACCCGCAGGGCCTGGGGCCGGGCCTCGGCCTCTTTTCCCCGTGGCAGCCGCAGGCCCTGTGTGGCAGGGATGGGGCCCCGCGATCTCCCAGGCAGGTCCGAGAGGGATGTGTAGATTCATTCTCCTGTGGAGAACAGGTGGCCCCGAGATCAGGCCCTTTTTTGCTCTTTGTATTTTATTTTGAAACTGTATTTAATGCTTTTATATGAAAGGGGGAGGGGCGGGGACAGAGCTGACCCAGTCACCCTTATGTGCAAATGTCTTATTTATTATGCGTGTATCAGAGATAAGCTGTGAGGTGGTGGAGGGAGGACCTGAAGGAAGGAGGAGCGAGGGCAGAGGCGGGGACGGGAGGACCCCAACTAGCTGTGCTGATGTTAATCCCGCTGGGAGACTCCGGGCCCTACTGTCTGCTCTTCACAAAGCCAGGCTGCTGCAGGAACAGTTCCCGCGGTCCTAAAGCCGGGGCGGGGAGGCTAGTGGGTGGAACTTGAGGGTTGGGTCTGGAGGAAGAGATGCCTGGGCAGCGTGGTCCAGCCCCTGCCTCGGGGTGGAAAGGCAGAGAGCAAAGAGGAGGCCCCTCTTATTCCGGACCCCCAGGCCAGAGCCCAGGAGTGGGAAAGCAGAGGGCAAAGAGGAGGCCCCTCCTCTCATCCCTGACCCCCAGGCCAGAGCCTAAGGTTCAAGTGCCTCAGGCCCAGTCCCCTTGACGCTTCCTGTTTGGGAGTTGGATTTTATACCACGGATTTTATAGCATTTTTATATAATTGAGGATTGTCAGAATTGGAAAGGGCCCTGGAGATCACTAGTACTACCCTCCTCACCTTCACAGATAGGTAAATTGGAGCCCAGGAACCGAGATGATCACACAGCCAGGTAGGGACAGTACAAGAACTAGAATGAAAATCCTAGCTCCTGACTCAGTGTTCTTTGCACGATGCCACACTGCTTCCCAATTCGCTGGTCAGTTATTAAAATTTGTCAGGCCTGCCGAAGGATTGACATGCTGGGCAATGCAGGCCACCACGGTGGATCTGTGACTCCTGAAGGTGGCAAAGCCCTGCACACTGCCTTGGGATGAGCACACTGAGCTCTGCAGGGCCTCAGCTGGAAGGCGCCATCCAATCGTCCTTCCCCTCCCCAGCAGAACTCCAGAGGTGGGGCGGCTGCCGCAGGGCCCAAGGCTGCCTCGGCAGGGGGCTTTGTGCTTTTTGTTGTGGAGGCCACCAGGGATTCAGGAAGATCCTGAATGGGTTGTCAATTGACTGAAAAGTAAATTCCCAGTGAGTTTGAACCTCCACGGTTTTTGAGACAGTATTAAAAGCTTGAGAACGGAGATTATGGATGGCACCAGGCTGGGCACTGCCATTCTTTTACTTTCCTTCATGCATTTTTTCGGATCCAGAGTATTAACACCACTTTTTTTACTCTGCCCATTCAAAAACAGTAGGCAAATTGGGGGAACCAATTTATAATCACTCAAGCCCACTGCCAAAGTTCGGATAAGCCAGGGCAGAGGGGTTAGATTCCCCCCCCTCCGTAGGCAGAGAGAGGCCTCAGGAGAGTGGACATCTTTACTGAGACAGCCCCAAACACACCAGTGGCTCTCAAAGTGTGTCCCTGAGACCAGCAGCATCACCTTAGGAATCTGCTAGAAATAAAAATTCTTGGGCCATACCCCAGGGTTACTGAATCAGAAACTTGGTTGGGGCCTAGCAGTGTTTTCATGAGCCCTCCATTGATCTTGATGCAGCTGAAGTGCCGGGCACCAGTGAAAGGGAAGGGCTGCGGTAGTGATTCCATTGATTCCTGCTTTGATGGAAGTTATGGCCTCACAGGTTAGACGTTGCAAGTTGAGTTGGCCCTCTTGCCTAGGTGTGCCTCCTTGCCTTGGGATTCTGACATGAACAGGTGAAGTCTCTTCATGATTTTTTTTGTTGTTGTTGTTAATGGTATGCTTGCTATTATGGCCAATATGTAAATGTTACTCTGAATACATATTTATATACCATGTTACTTAGTGACATTATTCAAACATTTGTATGCGTATTTGTGAAATTGTTTGCATCAGTCATTTAAAAAATATTTCAGCCTAAGTTTTCTAAGAGGTATGTTGAATACATTTTTAAAAGCCAGCTTAAGGGTCACAGCAGCCTTAGTTTAGGAGAAGAGCTAATCACAGGTGACCACTCAAGTTCTTTCAATGAAGACCTGATGATGTATTTAGTTCCCATTTTCCACGGTGATTGACTCAATTTAAGTGTATTGTGGCTATATGTAATTTACAGGCTGCTTTGCGTTGCAGGTGGGAAAATCTCCCAGGCTGGTGTGAGGCTGAACTGGGGTAAAAGACCCCCTGACCCCTCCTCATTCTTCTAAGGTCACCACCTCTTAGAGGGTCTCTTATTTTCTTTCAGAGATCAAATGCACAGTTATGCTGTACAACTAAATTCTGCAGTCTTGGGAATCCTTACGAGTACCAACTATTAGTCACTTTTTAAAGTCCCCAAAGTGGAGTGAGGATAGGGGGAGTGGAAGCAGTGTTTGGTTCTTACTTTACCCAAACTGTGTATAAAGAATAAAGTTAGCAGAATGATGCCACAGTCATTGTTTGTGTTTTTTTTTTTTTTATTAATACCACATCAATTTGAAATTTTACAGGAACCAAGATTCAAGCTCCTTAGGTGCTACTGTATTTTTATGTTGCACGCACAGACACGTACACACAGTTTCATTAGTAATTTTTCATCTATAGGTTTTTCTTAAAAAAAAAAAAAAATCCTGTGTGGCACAAAGATCTCTTCAATTATCTAAACACAGCAGCAACAAAAGAAAAGAACTGGATGTGGCACTTCCACTGCAGAAGGTCCTTTGGAGGGGAAGCCCAAAAAGACAATCACTGACTTCCTGGGAGGGCAGAGGATGAGGATGGAGAATGCACTTCCTACTAGGACATGAAACCAGTTAAAACACTCAAAGGGGGCTAAGAAAATAAGATGGAGTAAGGCAAGGGTACCTTTTACCCATCCAAATTCCTAACTAATTTTTCCAAGACACGTAGACAATTTCCTTCCACTACTTTTTGCAGCTGCCGTACTTTGGGACCATCAAATATCATAGCCCTTACTTTAAACTCGCCAGTGCATATTCCCTCTGAAGGATCATGACTATGAGTGAGAACCTGAAGGAACTCACAGATGATTTTTCTTTCAAGTTCGCTGAATTCTCATATTGAAGGTGAAGAAAAAAACTTGCCCCCAAATGGGAATCGGAGATTTGAATCTCGGGAAAAGATCAAGAAAAAAAGGCTTTCTGTATTTCACCTCTTGAGAATGTTCCCCCCCAGACTGAGATAGGATCACAAAAACTCAATAACTGAGGAGCCCACATGCAGGTTATTTTTTTCTCTAACAAGTTTACAGCAGTGCACAGCAGTTACAGACATTTATTTTATAGTAAGAAAAGTACAACCTTATTTATTAAACTTGAGGTGGGCAGGGGAGAGGGAGGAAAGCACATTCGGGAACGAGTTCTCAAACTAATGCTCAGAACCGGTGTCCAGTGACGTAGAAACCACTTTCCCAAATGGCGGAGCCTTTCCTTCCCTGGGGATAGTGGCAGAGGGAGTGACCGCCACCGCAGCATGCCTGCTGACTCCCTCTCAGTCCCACTTTCCATTTCTATTCTTTTTTATCAGATGGCATTCTTGGAATCAGGAATTATCACTATCACCTATAAGTTATTTATCAAGTTGATAGTTAAATCATTAAAGAAAAGGAGTATCAGGGGTAGCTGCTCACATTGTGGGGCAGGAAGATAGGATTTGAGGGCTGCAAAAAAAAACCAAGGAAGGTATCACACTCCTGTCCCCAAATAATTTTTTCATAAGTTAATCATGACTTCTTAAGGGCAAAACTATAATGGATAGCTGAGTAAGACTAGTGCTGAAAACTGGACAGAAGGACCCAGAGGTGTTCTTTCATTTTCTCTCTTACCTCCAATCTTTCCCCTTTCAAGCTACAGGTAAAGGCTCTACCACCATTAAGGTATTGACTTATCCTATGAATTTGATTCTTTCTTCTTCTGAGTTCTAAGATAGTTCTTTTATCAGTCCATCAATTTTTGTGCTTGATACTGAGGGTTAAAGGGAAAGGATGGGAGAAAACACCAAATTAAAAAAAAAGCTTGGAATGCAGGCTCAAGCTGACACTGAGTATTTTCCTTCATAGTACAAGTAACGACGTTATAACTATTAAATGGTGTTTTAGTAACTGTTGCATTTCTGGTTTCCATGTACTTATTCTGCCTTTTTTTTGGCGATTCCAGGGAGTTTTGCTTGGATCCTATTGAGAAAAGGAGGGGAAAAAGAAAGAAAGTGAAAACATTAGCATTTGCTCTAGGTTTTTATTTTAACTGTGATGCTAGAGGACAGTCCTGGACTTGCATAAGCAATGTGAAATGCATTCTCCCGGCTGGGTATGGTGGCTCACGCGTGTAATCCCAGCACTTTGGGAGTCCGAGGCAGGCAGATCATGAGGTCAGGAGTTGAAGACCAGCCTGGCCAATGTGGTGAAACCCTGTCTCTACTAAAAAATGCAAAAATTAGCCAGGCGTGTTGGTGTGCACCTGTAATCCCAGCTACTCAGGAGGCTGAGGCAGGTGAATGAAGGATAATCGCTTGAACCCGGGAGGTGGAGGCTGCAGTGAGCAGACATCGCACCACTGCACTCCAGCCTGGGTGACAGCGAGACTCCATCTCAAAAAAAAAAAAAAAAAGAAAAAAAGAAAAATGTTAACAAATTCAAAGCGTTAGGTTCACAGTATTTGCTATGAATAATTCAAAATAAAAGCAGGGCTCATGCCTGTAATCTCAGCACTTTGTGAGGCCAAGGTGGGAGGATCACTTGAAGCCAGAAGTTAAAGCCTGGCCTGGGCAACATAGTGAGACCCCCATCTCTATAAAAAATAAAAAATTTGCCAGGGCATGGCACATGCCTGTAGTGTCAGCTACTCAGGAGGCTGGGGTGGGAGGATCACTTGGAGCAAGGGAGGTCAGAGGTCAAGGCTGCAGTGAGCTTTCAGCTTGTGCCACTGCACTTCAACCTGGGTGACAGAGTGAGACCCTGTCTCTAGAAAGCAAAACAAAAAAGAAAGAAAAAAGAAAAAAGAAAAAAAATACTGTCCTCTAGGTATGGGGAAAAAAAGTAAAAAGAAGAAAACAACTCTTTGATATAGGGAGTCATAAAGATGTTTGTCAATATTTTATTTCCTGATTTATTAATTGGTTTAAAAAAATGGGAACAGAGATTTGGCAATCTTAGAAAAGACAACTTTGATCCTTAAGTTACTTATTTACTAGAACTTTTGTTTCTGAGAGGGATACGTTTGGCTTAAATGAATACATGTGAAAATAAATGAAGGTGGGGAAGCAACCAATAACTTTTTGGTTTTTTTTTGAGACGGAGTCTCACTGTCACCCAGGCTGGAGTGCAATGGCATGGTCTCTGCTCACTGCAACCTCGCCTCCCAGGTTCAAGCAATTCTCCCTCCTCAGCCTCCTGAGTAGCTGGGACTAAAGTTGCATGCCACCACACCTGGCTAATTTTTGTATTTTTAGTAGAGATGGGGTTTCACTATGTTGGCCAGGCTGGTCTCGAACTCCTGACCTCGTGATCCACCGGCCTTGGCCTCCCAAAGTGTTGGGATTACAGGTGTGAGCCACCGTGCCCAGCCTGTAATGAAGAACATTTAAAAGCCAGTTCAAAAAGGCAGAGTAGCCTATGGTCCTTGCTACTGGAGAAGCTGAGGTGGGAGGATCACCTGAGCCCAGGAGGTCGAGACTGCACTTCAGCCTGGGTGACAAAGCAAGACCCTGTCTCCAAAAAATTCCACTGATCTTTTTTTTCCCATTGATCCTCTTGTCTCAGCCTCTCCAGTAGCTGGGACTAAAGGCACGTGTTACCATGCACAGCTAATTTTTTATTCTTAGTAGAGACAAGGCCTAGCTATGTTGCCCAGGCTGGTCTTGAACTCCTGGGATCAAGCAATCCTCCTGTCTCGGCCTCCCAAAGCACTGGCATTACAGATGTGAGTCAAAATGCCTGGCCTACAAAGGTCCAGAAGGCAGGGCCAGAAAAAGATATAAAGGATTTTTTTTCCTTTTTATAGAAGCAGCTATAATAATTTTTAGTAAAATGAAACTATTAACTAAGGTTTTTATCAAAATGAAAATTACTTTCCTTGGCATCTGCATTTTGTACAAGGGACTAAAGATAATTGGGGGGAAGGAAGCATACCTCATGATGATGTGGTCTCTAAATGTACTTACTTTTCAACAATTGACTTGGTCTGATCTCGGGCGATGCCAACATAGTGATCAATCTGGGTCTTTAAGGAAGGAAAATAAATTCAGTTGTGGTAACATACAGATCACCAATTTTCCTGAAGGCACGGCTCTTTTGTCTAGTTTAACCATTTTTTAAACACGACTGACCAGTGTAGAAAATGAAAACACCCAGTTTTTAAAAGTTTTTTTTTTTTTTGAGACGGAGCCTCGCTCTCGCCCAGGGTGGAGTGCAGTGGCGCTATCTTGGCTCACTGCAAGCTCCACCTCCCGGGTTCACGCCATTCTCCTGCCTCAGCCTCCCGAGTAGCTGGGACTACGGGCGCCCGCCACCACGCCTGGCTAATTTTTTATATTTTTAGTAGAGACGGGGTTTCACCGTGTTAGCCAGGATGGTCTCGACCTCCTGACCTCGTGATCCACCCACCTCGGCCTCCCAAAGTGCTGGGATTACAGGCATGAGCCACTGTGCCCAGCCTTTTTTTTTTTTTTTTTTTTTTTTTTGAGATGGAATTTTGTTCTTGTTGTCCAGGCTGGAGTGCAATGGTGTGATCTCGGCTCACCGAAACCTCCACCTCCCGGGTTTAAGCAATTCTCCTGCCTCAGCCTCCTAAGTAGCTGGGATTACAGGCATGCGCCACCATGCCTGGCTAATTTTGTATTTTTAATAGAGACAGAGACAGGGTTTCTTCATGTTGGTCAGGCTGGTCTTGAACTCCCATCCTCAGGCAATCCACCTGCCTCCGCCTCCCAAAGTGCTGGGATTACAGACATGAGCCACCACACCTAGCCTTAAAAGTATTTTTAAAACCTCTGGTTTTAGAATCCAAATTACACCATAAACACCCCACACTTTGTTAAAGTGAAAAAATCACTCATCTTTTGCAGAGGTTAAGTCTTACTTGGTAAGTATTTTCTTTAGAGACACTGGAGTATATAACAGTTTCCAATGACTAGAAACTGTGTGTCTAATCTATTTTCTGTCATCATAAATATGTTATGGCTCTTGTGTAACACTAATTCACTTAATACCAAAAAGCCAAAAAGTCTCTTGATGGATGACTTAATCCATAAAGAATAATCTCATGGCATCTAGTATACTTGGTACACATCATCCAACAATGCAAACACCTCATCACACTGATGGATTACCTGAATAACCTAGAGTTTAAAGTTTCCTTTTAGACACCCGGCTTTTATTCATCTAAGCATTTTTTTTTTTTTTTTTTTGAGACAGAGTCTCCCTGTCGCCCAGGCTGGAATGCAGTGGCGCGATCTCGGCTCACTGCAAGCTCCACCTCCCAGGTTCATGCCATTCTCCTGCCTCAGCCTCTCTGAGTAGCTGGGACTACAGGCGCCCGCCACCATGCCTGGCTAATTTTTTGTATTTTTAGTAGAGACGGGGTTTCACCGTGGTCTCAATCTCCCATCTAAGCGTTTTTTTTTTTTTTTTTTTGAGATGGAGTCTTGCTCTGTCATCCAGGTTGGAGTGCAGTGGTGCAATCTCGGCTCACTGCAACCTCCACCTCCCAGGTTCAAGCAATTCTCCTGCCTCAGCCTCCTGAGCAACTGGGACCACAGGCGCCTGCCACCACACCCGACTAATTTTTTGTATTTTTAGTAGAGATGGGGTTTCACCGTGTTAGCCAGGATGGTCTCGATCTCCTGACCTCGTGATCTGCCCGCCTCGGCCTCCCAAAGTGCTGGGATTACAGGCGTGAGCCACCGTGCCTGGCCCCACACTGGGCTAATTTTTATATTTTTAGTAGAGATGAAGTTTTACCATGTTGGCCAGGCTGGTCTCGAACTCCTGACCTCAAGTGATCTGCCTGCCTCGGCCCCCCAAAGTGTTAGGATTATAGGCATGAGCCACTGCTCCTGGCCTTTTTGAGAGAGGGTTTCACTCCCATCACCCAGGCTGGAGTGCAATGACATGATCTCGGCTCACTGCAACCTCTGTCTCCCAGGCTCAAGTAGATTCTCCTATCTTAGACTACAGGTGCAGGCCACTGCATCCGGCTATTTTTTTTTAGAGACAAGGTTTTGCCAGGTTGCCCAGGCTGGTCTTGAGCTCCTGGGCTCAAGGGATTCTCCCGCTTCAGCATCCCAAAGTGCTGGGATTACAGGCACAAGCCACCACCCCTGGCCTAAGCATTTTTTCAACTTATTACTTTTGCATAGAAAATACATCTACATGATTAAAAACTCGAAAGGCACACAAGTATAAAAAGGAAGTTTCTCTTTCCTAGTCATCTCTCTCCTAAATATCCAGTTTCTCTCCTTGGAGGAAACTACTGCCACCAGTTTCTTATAGGCACTTGACTCACAAAATTAGATTGTAGAAATAGTTATAAAAAGACTGCTCTGAACATTCAATGTCTCAGAAATGAACTACAACTAGTCATACATCAACTGGCACATTTGATTTGGAACAGATAAATGCTTACCTTGTACTTCTCATAGACAATCGGGACACTGAAAATGAGCAGTTCAGCTGTAAGACAGAATCATGGGACATGGCAAGTGTATATGAGAGACAGTCACATCTTAAGACTCAGAGTAACATATACATTTTTCCTCAAAAAATACAGGAAAACACAGGCATTCCTCAAAATGAGAAATCCTGGTTAGCACTCCCAATTAAGACAGCTAATTTAAGGTAGTGTTAAAACAAAACAAAAAAAACCTCTTCAGGTATACAGGCTACCTTCTTTGTACCACAAATAACAATTTCCAAATTACCAAAATGGTTTCTGTAAATAAGATCCCCATACGTAAACCAAATCTAGACAACTGTCCTTTACTTCCAGCTGTTTTGATATTTCTTAATTTATAACTGAGACCATTTCATAAACCTGTGACCACAAACTCCGGTTCCTCCAGTGCCTCTACTCCCAGGTCTCTATGGGTCAAGACTGGGCAATGAAGAATGAGTAGAGCCATGCTGGGCTTTCTCTTCACTCTTATTCTTACAAACTACTTCAAAGAGCATGGGCACATTCTCCTTGCCACCTTACCAAGAATTAGAAGGGTGATTCCGTTAAAAACAGCACCAACATAGGTCATCAGCCACATGAAGACAGCCAGCTGTGAAGGCCATATCAAAAGTTAAGCAGGAATAACCGTAAGGCAAAATTCACATTAACTGATGTCATTCTCCTCCAGCTAATTAAGTCTGCATAAATTTAGTGATGTGTGACATGGACAATTTCCAAATGAAGGTTCCCTACTTGTGTTATACATTTGAAGGTATGTGAGTGAAGTCTGTAGTTTTCTGAGGTCCAAAGACTGAAACTGCACTGCTTCCAATTATATCACCTCTCTTCTGATATTTGTTCCCCAGCAGAAGGCTATACCTTTCTCTAGTGACACCTATCCCATTATAGAATGACTGAGCTAAGCATACGTTCATTTTTGTCTGATAAAATCCTATGTACTGTTTTTCCTCCAAATTATAACCCAGTCCCTGCTTTTTCTGTTTTACCACCAAGAGCTGCAGAAACAACTAACCTTCAAGGAGTCAACCAGATCTTCTACCAGAAAGAGACGAATAATGAGTTTCAGGGCCCTGTTGATGTGCACCATGGCAGCATTCATGTAATTATGGAAAGCTTCTGAGGACAGAGTAATGTCTACGTCCAGGTAGGCTCTTCCAGAAGAAGAAATAACAGTCATACATTTGACATGGAAGAAGATTTTGTTAGCACAGTAGTTACTGAGAATGTAAAATTGGTTCCCAGGGTGCATGTTAGAACCTGTAGGAGCATTTTTTTGTTGTCATCAGGTGGGGTGGAGACACACTGTCATTTAGTGGGCAGAGGCAAATATGCCAGATGTCTGCAAAGCATGGGACAGTCAAGCACAGTAAAGAACTGACCTATGTTCTGTGTCACTTTTACTACCTCATTGGATATTCATGAAGGTAAATCCATTTATAAATAAGAGCCCAGAACACATAAAAACAAGGTACTTTTTTTTTTTTTTTTAGCAGTTTTAACATTAACATATCCTGGAGTTTCTAAAACTATATTTTGTTTATGCTAAAATTTTGCTGTTTTTGTTTTTTAAAAAAAACATTTTGGAAAACCACATTTGTATTTGTAATTAACAGCCCAGAACACATAAAAACAGGGTACTGGGGGTTTTTTTTAGCAGTTTTTTTATGAGATGGTGTTTTGCTCAGTTGCCCAGGTTGGAGTGCAATGGCACAATCTCAGCTCACTGCAAACTCCACCTCCTGGGTTCAAGATATTCTCCTGCCTCAGCCTCCTGAATAGCTGGGATTACAGGCACCTGCCACCTTGCCCGGCTAATTTTCATATTTTTAGTAAAGACGAGGTTTCACCATGTTGGCCAGGCTAGTCTTGAACTCCTGACCTCAAGCGATCTGCCTGCCTCAGCTTCCCAAAGTGCTGAGACTACATGCGTAAGTCACCGCACCTGAACTGCAATAAAATTTTTAATGCCACATAAAGTTGTAAGTTATTCCTTCTATTTCCACCAAGAGAAAATACAAGGAGCACAGGTGTGGCCAGAAACCTATTCTGTTGTAGTCCTGAGAGGTCACAGCAGGGTCTCCTTCTCTATGAAAAAAGAGCCTTCAAAAAACTGTCATTTGCTCACGTTAAAGTCAACATTGTTTATGGGGTAAGATTTTCAAGAGGAAAGTGTGAAGAAAACATTAGTTAAAGTTACAGCACAATCAAAAAAGCTAGAAATTGTATACTAGAAATGTAGTCAGAAGATTACTGACTTCATTAAGACCTCCAGCGTTAAGAAAACTAGTAAGAGATACGGAGGAAATCAGTAATAAACCAAGAATGAAAACACTGAGTTCTGGTATTACCAAAGCACAGACACAACAAGGTTTGAAAGTCATGTCAAGTCTTACCTATGTGGGGGATTAAACATGCACTTGGAACCCCATCTAACCGAGCGCTGCTCTAGGTGCTCTGCTTTCCCTGCCCTGCTCAAGAATTTAGAGTTGCCGGGCACGGTGGCTCATGCATAGTAATCCCATGCATGATTTGGGAGGCCGAGGCGGGTGGATCACGAGGTCAGGAGTTCAAGACCAGCCTGACCAATATGGTAAAACCCTGTCTCTACTAAAAATACAAACATTATGGTCGGGAGCGGTGGCTCACGCCTGTAATCCCAGCACTTTGGGAGGCAGAGGCGGGTGGATCACAAGGTCAGGAGTTCGAGACCATCCTGCCGAACATGGTGAAACCTTGTCTCTACTAAAAATACAAAAAAATTAGCCGGGCGTGATGGTGGGTGCCTGTAGTCCCAGCTACTCGGGAGGCTGAGGCAGGAGAATGGCATGAACCCAGGAGGAGGAGCTTGCAGTGAGCCGAGATTGCACCGCTGCACTCCAGCCTGGGCGACAGAGTGAGACTCTGTCTCAAAAACACACAAACAAAAAACAAAAAAAACAGCACTTTGGGAGGCTGAGGCGGGCGGATCACCCAAGGTCAGAAGTTTGAGACCAGCCTGACCAACATAGAGAAACCCCGTATCTAGTAAAAATACAAAATTAGCTGGGCATAGTGGCGCATGCCTGTAATCCCAGCTACTCAGGAGGCTGAGGCAGGAGAATCGCTTTCACCTGGGAGGCAGAGGTTGCGATAAGCTGAGATCGCGCCACTGTACTCCAGCCTGGGCAACAAGAGCAATATCCGTCTCAAAAAAAAAAAAAAAGAATTTAGAGTCTTCTTTGAAGGACTCCCTCTTTGAACTTCAAGTATGAGCCTCTAATTTGTCAAAAAGTTCTTGGCTTCTAACTTGGCCACTTCTTAAGGTGATTTCAAGGTCTCTAGGGGATGCTTCATGCCACCAATCAGCTGCATTAGGCCCCATAATTCTTGATTTTTAGTCAGGTCTGAGTTTTAGACCTATCAGCTTCAGTGAACCCTTCCACTAAAATGTAGAATGTTGCTTTTAAGACTTCAACTCACTTGAATGGATGGCCTTCTTCTGACTTCTGTACAGCTTGGATGACGGACTTGTAGATCCTGAAGCTGATGGTGACAGAGAGAAGAGCCAGGATGAGGTAAGAAACCACACTGATGACACTGAAAGCTGCCAGGGAAAGCAGCATGATCAGCGTGGTGCCAAAGACAAACCCAGTCTTCTTCACATCTCTCCAGAAAATCAGATCGTGCACTGACAAAAGAAAAGGGAATATAAGTTATAAGAAACATCCACAGCTACTATGTCTTGCATACCTGTGGAGCCTCACATTAGCACACAAATACAGGTATGCCCCACTTTAAGATAATCTGGTTTTGTTTTTTTAAAGAGATGGGGTCTCACTATGTTGCCCAGGCTGGCCTGGAACTCTTGGCTCAAGTGATCCTCCTGCCTTCACTTCCTGAGTAGCCAGACTACAGGTGTGTGCCACTGTACTTGGTTCTAAGAGAATCTTATAAATGAAAATCAAATTATGTCAGGGGTGATAACTCACGAGGCAAAACGTTCTTCTGCTACACCGATTAGGTTTCAGGATAGGATTATAAAAATTTAAGAGCTTATTTCAGCTATGGAAATACACCGGGGTAAAGTGCCATTTACCTTAAATAGTTTGGCAGAAAGGATGATAAAGCAGGTGTGGCAAAATCTTGCTGTTAACTAAATTATGCAAACCAGGCCTATAAATTAGTTAGGTGAACAGACTATAAAACCAAAGCTAATTTTGCCCCAGTGTATAAATTGGGGCAGGGGCAAAGAAAGTGGTAAATAAAAATAGACCAAGCACTATTAGTGCTAGTTATAAAGAAACACCAGTCTCAATGTTAATCTGAAAAGAATTCAGGAAGGATTATGTATAGGGGACCATATAATTATCCAAGCCACAATACTACCTCCTCCCTTTTTTGAGACAGCGTCTCACTCTGTCACCTGGGCTGGAGAGCAGTGGCACTATCATTACTCACTGCAGCCTTTAACTCCTGGGTTCAAGCAAGCCTCCTACCTCAGCCTCTGAGTAGCTAGGACTACAGGTATGTGCCACCATGTCCAGGTACTTTTTTCTTTTTTGTAGAGACAGGGTCTCAATATGCTGCCAGGCTAGTCTCGAACTCCTGGCTTCAAGCAATCTTCCTGCTGTGGCCTCCCACAGTGCTGTGATTACAGGCATGAGCCACCATGCCTGGCCAAGCTGCAGTACTCTTAAAAAAAGTGAGTGGGGGCCGGGCATGGTGGCTCACGCCTGTAATCCTGGCACTTTGGGAGACCAAGGCGGGCGGATCACCTGAGGTCAGGAGTTCGAGACCAACCTGGCCAACATGGTGAAAAGCCAGTCTCTACTAAAATATAAAAATTAGCTGGGCATGGTGGTATGTGCCTGTAGTCCCAGCTACTCAGGAGGCTGAGGTAGGAGAATCGCTTGAACCCGGGAAGCGGAGGCTGCAGTGAGCCGAGATCGCGCCATTGCATTCCAGTCTGGGTGACAGAGCGAAACTCCGTCTAAAAAAAAAAAAAAAAAAAAAAAAAGTGAGTGGGGCTGGCAGGGTGCAGGGGCTCACGCCTGTAATCTCTGCACTTTGGGAGTCCGAGGCTGGTGGATCACTTGAGGCCAGGAGCTCAAGACCAGACTGGCCAACATGGTGAGACCCCTGTCTCTACTAAAAATACAAAAAATACCTGGGCATGGTGGTGCACACTTGTAATCTCAGCTACTCGGGAGGCTGAGGCACGAGAAATCACTTGAACCTGGGAGGCGGAGGTTGCAGTGAGCCAACATCGTGCCACTGCACTCCAGCCTGGGTGACAGAATGAGACTGTTTAAAAAAAAAAAAAAAAGTGAGTGGGGCACTATTAATAATTATGTCAGGAAATGAGTTTAAGTAGAAGTATTTCGATTTTCCCAGTTTGTAAGTCCCCAACTGTAAGATCTAGTTGCCCAGGATGGTCCTGGTTTAAAGACACCTCCAACTCTCTGAGTGGCAGGTGCCGGCAATCACCTCCAATCTAGCAGTGACATTACTTTTATTTTTTTTTTTGAGACACAGTCAGGGTTTCACCATATTGGCCAGGCTGGTCTCGAACTCCTGACCTCTAGTGATCTGCCCGCCTCGGCATCCCAAAGTGCTGGGATTACAGGCATAAGCCTCTGCACGTGGCTGCCATTACCTTTTGTATTTCTGTCTATGAAGGCTAATTTCACCATGAATAGCTAGAGGACTTTCCTCCCAGCCACTCTCTGCTCTCAAAAAAGAGCAAGGGCTTTGGAGTTGGAGAGACATGAGTTTAAGTCCTGGTAATTTCTCACTATATTACTTTAACCTTTCCAAGCCTCCATTTCCTCACATCTGAAAAATGAAGAAAATGAAATCTACCTCCTAGAGTTTAAGGAATAAAGAGGCTAAGACAGTGTAAATGACATGCAGTAATTCAAATAAGGTTAGCGGAAAAGACTTATTTGCGATAAAATGAACTGGGTGTGATTCAAGTTGTCTTGAGGGTACCTAGTTCTTCCCCACATTCAGCTATACAGCTCTCTTCTGAAACCATTTCTTTGAAGACTAACCTTCCTAGAGCCAAAGAACCTTAACTTGATTCAATAAAACACTAAAAATATGCTGATTGTATATAAGAAGTAATCACTGGTTCAAAGAGTCTGGCTAAGGGATGCAACTTACTAGGAGAAAGAGAAGGTATTATGACTCCTGATGGGAACCCGAGAGTCCCAGATAGTGATGCTGCAAAGGAGAGAAAGAATTGGGAGGGAACTCAGGCTCACTTGATGAACTAAGAGATTGAACAGAAGAACTTAATAGAATACTGCCTACTTAAGAGTGAATTCCTGTAAGTAGGAGAATTCCTATAGTCAGAGTTCAAGCATATACATGTTAGAATTCATATAACTACAAGGAACAGTTTCAACACAGAAGGCTTAGAGGGCCGACGTCATCAGTAGTAGAACAAACAGATACCATATGCCTCCAGACATAGTGCATGCACTGAGAAAGACACAACATCACTTCTATGGTATTCCCGCCCAAAACATGTAACCTGCATCTAATCAGAAAACACCAGACCAACCCAGATTGAGAAATATTCTACAAAACAACTGGCCTATAGTCTTCAAAAATGTCAGTGGTGTGAAAGAGAAAGGCTGAGGAACTTACTTCTTTTAATCTTAATTCTCAGATTAAAGGAGAGTAAGGAGACAGGATGAGGCACAAAGTGTGATCCTAGACTGGACTCTGGAAAAGGGGTAAACACAGCTATAAAGACATCATTGGTACAACTGACAAAATTTAAATGTGTACTATATAATTGACAAAAGTACTGTTTATCAATGTTTAATTTCCTAAATTACTGTTAAATTTCCTTAACAGCCGGGTGCGGTGGCTCACGCCTGTAATCCCAGCACTTTGGGAGGTTGAGGCAGGCAGATCACGAGGTCAGGAGACCGAGACCATCCTGGCTAACATCGTGAAACCCCGTCTCTACTAAAAATACAAAACACTAGCTGGGCGTGGTGGCGGGTGCCCATAGTCCCAGCTACTCAGGAGGCTGAGGCAGGAGAATGGCGTGGACCTGGGAGGCAGAGCTTGCAGTGAGCCAAGATTGCGCCACTTCACTCTAGCTTGGGCAACAGAGCGAGACTCCGTCTCAAAAAAAAAAAACAAAAAACAAAAAGCAAAATTTCCTTAACAATAACTTTCGTTGGTTACGTAAAACAAAGATGTTTTGTTCAATGGAAACACACTCCAAAGTAGGGGTAAAGAGGCAGAATGTTTGCAATCAGCTCTCAAATGGTTCAGGAAAAAAACATCTATCTATACTGAGAGGGAGGGGATGATAACGCACATGTGGCCAAATGATAACAACTGGTGAACTAGAGTGCAGATTATACGGGACTTCCTTGTAGCACAACTGTAATTCTTCTATACATTCAAAATATTTGAAAGACAGGAAGAGGAAACTTAGAGAATGAGGCTAGGACCCAGAGAGAAAAGGACCTTGATGTATCAGAGAAGGAAAAGGGATAAAGACGACATGTGCCTAGATGCAAATCAGAGTGTCTACACCTTTAGGCCAGGTGCGGTGGGTCACTCCTGTAATCCCAGCACTTTGGGAGGCCAAGGTGGGTGGATCACTTGCGGTTAGGAGTTCGAAACTAGCCTGGCCAACATGGCGAAACCCTGTCTCTACTAAAAATACAAAAATTAGCCAGGCATGGTGGTGCGTGCCTGTACTCCCAGCTACTCGGAAGGTTGAGGCAGGAGAATCACTTGAACCTGGGAGGCGGAGGTGGCAGTGAGCCGAGATCGCACCTTTGCATTCCAGCCTGGGTGAAAGAGTGAGACTCCGTCTCAAAAAAGACCTTTGTGCAAACTAGAAAAAGTCACCCTGTCTTCATGCGTGTTACTGCCATCTGCTGGAAAACTCATAAGAAATAGAAATATTCAAACCTACAAAGATAACAAGTGTAAACAGTGCCCCTAGATGTGTGCAGTAAACAACCTGCATAATAATATAGGCCCTGGGCTCAGCCTTAAGATAAATGGTGGAATTATGGTCTGGGATAGAAAGGGGACATAGTGACTAAAGAGAAGGTAACAGAGGAAGAGCTTGGAAAAGATGGTTCAACACATCAAGCCTCTGTCTGGAATGCTCCTCCCCAACTCCCCATGGCTTGCTTCTTTACTTTTCAGGTCTCAGTGCAGGGCTACTTCCTCAGACACTGACCAGCCTGTCTAACAGCCCCTGCCTTCATCACTTTCTATTCCCTTTAACAGCTTTATTTTTCTTCAGAGCACCTACCACTTTATTTGTAGCAGGCTCTTCACAGTTGTTACCGAATGCTTAAACATGGGGCCAAGCTAATGACCAAAAGACAGCAAAACCATTTGTTTCCTAATAATTCCCCTTAAACTAGTCAAGTTTTTGCACATGACTCTATTGACCACAGAAGACTAAGGATTCCAAGTATAGAACACCAAAGGAAGGAAACTGGCATGGTTTTTGGAAACTTTTCCCTCTCTAATACCTTGGGGGAGAAGAGGATGAAAAATATGAAGAAAAAGTGAGAAATGAGGCAGTTGCCAATAGTTTAAAATGAAGCCACTAGACTTACACTAGTTCTAGTGTGTATTTCATAACCAGCAAGAGGCTGCATGGTTTGCGTCCATGAAATTTTCTTTTCTTTTTTTAGACAAGGTCTGGTTGTATCGCCCAGGTTGGAGTGCAGTGGCACAATCTTGACCCATTGCAACCTCTGCCTCCTGGGCTCAAGCCATCCTCCCATCTCAGCATCCCAAGTAGCTAGGACTATAGGCGTGCACCACCATTCCCGGTTGATTTTTCTATTTTTTGTAGAGGCAGGGTTTTGTCATGTTGCCCATGTTGGTCTCAAACTCATGGGCTCAAGCAATCCACTGGCCTTGGCTTCCCAAAGTACTGGGATTACAGGTGTGAACCACAGCGACCAGCAGAAACTTTCTTTTCATTCTCTTTTATTTTCATGTACCTGTTCTGGCTGAGTATAGTACAGTTATGTACTAAATGACATGTGGACAACAAAGCACCACATATATGACTGTAGTCCCATAAGATTAGAATATTGTATTTTTACTGTATTTTTTTAATGTTTAGATGTACAAATACTAAGCACTGTACCACACTGCCTACAGTATCCAATATAGTGTAACATGCTGTATGGATTTGTGGCCTAGGAGCGATAGATGATACCATATTGCATAGGTATGTAGTAGTATACCTTCTAGGTTTATGTAAGTTAACTATGGTATTTGCCCAATGATGAAATCACCTAATGACGTTTCTCAGAATGTATCCCACTGGTAATCAATGCATAACTACTTTTTAAAACAGGAAATTATTTATTTTTTAATGTGTTATCTTTCCTTCCTTTCCCACTTTTTTTTTTTTTTTTTTTTTTTTTTGAGACAGAGTCTTGCTCTGTCGCCAGGCTCGAGTGCAATGGTGTGGTCTCGGCTCACTGCAATCTCTGCCTCCCAGGTTCAAGCGATTCTCCCACCTCAGCCTTCGAGTAGCTGACATTACAGGTGCCTGCCACCACTCCCGGCTAATTTTTTGTATGTTTATTAGAGACAGGGTTTTGCCATATTGGCCAGGCTGGTCTCGAACTCCTGACCTCGTGATCTGCCTGCCTCGGCCTCCCAAAGCACTGGAATTACAGGCGTGAGCCACTGTGCCTGGCCCCTTTCCCACCTTTATCTTCCTTCATCAAGTTTTTGTTTGTGTTTTGAGACGGAGTCTCAGTGTGTTGCCCACGCTGAAGTGCAATGGCGAGATCTCGGCTCACTGCAACCTCTGGCTCCCGGGTTCAAGCAATTCTCCTGCCTCAGCTTCCTGAGTAGCTGGGATTACAAGCGCGCACCACCACGCCCAGCTGATTTTTTGTATCTTTAGTAGAGACAGGGTTTCACCATGTTGGCCAGGCTGGTCTCCAACTCCTGACCTCAGATGATCCGCCCGCCTCAGCCTCCCAAAGTGCTGGGATTGTAGGCATGAGCCACTTGACATTTGTGCCCAGCTTGTGAAAATTCTTAACAAAAATTTAGCAAACCAAACACAACAATAAATAAACGCAATACTACATCATGACTGAGGTGTTTCTTTTGAAAAAATACAGGATTGGCTTAACATTCAATAATCAAAATAATTCTCCATTTTAAAGAATTCCACCAAGGAAGAATTCCATAATTCACCATATTAACAACTAAAAAAGAAAAACCATATGATACAGAAAAAAGCATTTGAGAAAATCCAACATTCATTCCTGATTTTAAAATCTCAGGAAACTAGGGAAGGGAAATCCCTCAACTTGATAAAGGTAATCTACCAGTAACTTACAGCAAACATCGTACTTACTGAAAGAAGGCAAGAAGTTCTCTCTGCCTCTACTCCTGTTTAACACTGTATTAAAGGTTCTAGCCAGCTCACTAAGTCAAGAAAAACAGGCTGGGCGCGGTGGCTCATGCCTGTAATCCCAGCACTTTGGGAGGCCAAGGCAGGCGGATCACCAGAGGTCAGGAGTTTGAGACCAGCCTGGTCAACATGGCAAAACCCCGTCTCTACTAAATATACAAAAAATAAAATAAAATAAAATAAATTAGCCAGACATGGTGGCAGTCACCTGTAGTCCCAGCTACTCGGGAAGCCGAGGCAGAAGAATCGCTTGAACCCAGGAGTTGGAGGTTGCAGCGAGCTGAGATCGCGCCACTGCACTCCAACCTGAGTGACAAGAGTGGGACTCAATCTCAAAACAAACAAACAAACAAACAAACAAAAATATATATATATAAACTTAGGTATAAATCTCACAAAAGATATATAAGACCAGTACAGTGAAATCTATAAAACATTGCTGAGAGAAACCAACAAAGATCTAAATTAATGGAGAGCTATCTGTTTTCAAAGGTTGGAAGACTCAAAATTGCCAAGACATTAATTATCCCCAAATTGACCTATAATTCTTCACGACTTTAATCACAATCCTTTCTTTTTTTTGTGTGTGATGGAGTTTTGTTCTTGTTGCCCAGGCTGGAGTGCAGTGGCATGATCTCGGCTCAATGCAACCTCCGCATCCAGGTTCAAGCGACTCTCCTGCCTGAGCCTCCCAAAGTAGCTGGGATTACAGGCGTGTGCCACCATGCCCAGCTAATTTTGTATTTTTAGTAGAGACGGGGTTTCACCATGTTGGTCAGGCTGGTCTCGAACTCCTGACCTCTAGTGATCCACCAGCCTTGGCCTCTCAAAGTGCTGGGATTACAGGCATGAGCCACTGCGCTGGCCTACAATCCTAGTAGGTTTTTGTAAAAATGGACAAGCTAATCTAAAATTCCTATGCAAATTCAAATGTAAAGAACCTAGAAGAGCCAGGCAAGGCGCGGTGGCTCATGCCTGTAATCCCAGCACTTTGGGAGGCCGAGGCAGGTGGATCACAAGGTCAGGAGATCGAGATCATCCTGGCTAACACGGTGAAACCCCATCTCTACTAAAAATACAAAAAATTAGCCGGGTGTGGTGGCAGGTGCCTGTAGTCTCAGCTACTTGGGAGGCTGAGGCAGGAGAATGGCGTGAACCCAGGAGGTGGAGCTTGCAGTGAGCTGAGATCGCGCCACTGCACTCCAGCCTGGGCAACAGAGCGAGACTCCATCTCAAAAAAAAAAAAAACCTAGAAGAGCCAAAACAACTTTGAAAAATAAAGTTAGAAGATTAACATGACCTGATTTTAAATATAAAGCTACCATTATCAAGATGCTATAGTACTGGTCGAAAGATAATAGAGCAATAGAATGGTATAGAAAATCCAGAAACAGACAATTGTGCATTAAGAGATGTTTAAAGATTATTTCAGGCCAGGCGCAGTGGCTCATGCCTGTAATCCCAGCCCTTTGGGAGGCTGAGGCGGGAAGATCACCTGAGGTCACAAATTCGAGACCAGCCTGGCCAACACGGCAGAACCCCATCTCTACTAAAAACACATAAGTTAGCTGGGCATGGTGGTACATACCTGTAAGTTTCAGCTACTGGGGAGGCTGAGGCAGTAGAATCACTTGAACCCGGGAGGCAGAGGTTGCAGTGAGCCAAGATCATGCCACTGCATTCCAGCCTGGGCAATAGAATGAGACGCTGTCTCAAAAAAAAAAAATAAATGCTGGGCACGGTGGCTCATGCCTGTAATCCCAGCACTCTGGGAAGCTGAAGCGGGTGGATCACTTAAGGTCAGGAATTTGGGAACAGCCTGGCCAACATGGTGAAACCCCCTCTCTACTAAAAATACAAAATTAGCCAGGCGTGGTGGCACACGCCTGTAGCCCCAGCTACTCAGGAGGCTGAGGCACAAGAATTGATTGAACCCAGGAGGCGGAGGTTGCAGTGAGCCAAGATCAAGCCACAGCACTGCAGCCTGGGCGACAAGAGCGAAACTCCATCTCAAAAAATAAATAAATAAATAAATAAATAAATAACTATAATAAAATAAAGATTATTTCACCCCTTAATGCTTCCTGGCTTCCACTTGGCCATGGATCCCTACCTAGTAAAATACTTTATCCCCAGCTTTAGAGTTAGTACAGCACAGAAATGACTCTGGCTCCAGAATGCCTGAGTTTGTATCCTCTTCCATTTGCCAGCTCTGTGATTTTGGACAAGACACTCAATCTCTCTGTGCATCGGGTCCCTCATTTGTAAAATAGGATAATACAAGATCAACTTCATAGGGATGTTGCCAGGATTAAGTGGATTAATGTGTAGAAGTGCTCAGAATACTATTGATTAGATAGTAACACAATATCAGCTATTATTATTCATTTGACTGCCAACCTCTGCTACAATTGTAACAGAAAATTTAAGAATTGAAGTTAAAGTTAGCTATAGAGCAACAAGATTTTTTCCTTTCCTCTTTGTTGCCAGTAAGATACAAAGAAATTAAAGGTGGCTCATGACTGTAATCCCAGCACTTTGGGAAGTGGAGGCTGGAGGATCGCTTGAATTCCAAGAGTTTGAAACCAGCCTGGGCAACATAGTGAGACCCTATCTCTATTAAAAGAAAAAAAAAGGCCAGGCGCGGTGGCTCATGCCTGTTATCCCAGCACTTTAGGAGGCCGAGGCAGATGGATCACGAGGTCAGGAGTTTGAGATCAGCCAGGCCAACATAGTGAAATCCTGTCTGTACTAAAAATACAAAAAAAAAAAAAAAAAAAAAATTAGCCAGGCATGGTGGCAGGCACCTGTAGTCCCAGCTACTTGGGAGGCTGAGGCAGGAGAATCACTTGAACCTGGGGAGTGAAGGCTGCAGTGAGCCAAGATCACACTGCTGCACTCTAGCCTGGGTGACAGAGTGAGACTCCGTCTCAAAAAAAAAAAAGAAACTAAGATGGGGAGGTTAGAAGGGGCCTTATTAACCAAATCTATTTTATGTATCAAACTTCCATATAAACTTTTCTATGAAAAAGTGTTGCGCTATCAGAACTATGATTAAATAGATTGGTGTGTAAATGATATACGGAGACAGAGGACCAGGAGATAGAGGCAGTATGATACATCACCTATGGGGCAGACCAGACCAACATAGAGTATAGATTTGGGAGTTATCAACATGTAGGTAGTAATTTGAAGCTACGGAAACAGAAGGGATCACTTTGAGGCATCTCAGCCCCTCAAATTCCACACATCAAAGAAAACATCATTTCTGACTGACATTCTTCCCTGATCAGAAAATAGTTCTACCATCCACCCAGAAACCCAAGACAAATACAGAAATAGGGTTCACTCTTCTTTCTCCCTCATCATCTACACTCAAACATCAGGGCTGGTTAAAGTCTATCTTTTTGAATTTATCAGAAAAAATTAAAGTCTTTTGATTAAGAGTCTTAAACATTTTTATGTCTTAAATTTACCTTCTATGAGCAGACTCTTTAGAGAAGACTGTCCAAGTCAGTGACTCTCAGCTGCATGTGAGATGGGATAAAGGACGTGGGATGGGGAGTAGATCCTGACTCCTGATGGTGCATGTCACCTTTTTAAAGCTATGGACAAATTATTGCTTGATTCTGGTTATGTGTCAGGTAGAGAATCACTACTGGAGAGAGCCACTGATACAGACAGGGAATGTCCTTTTCTTTGGGTGTGCTATGTGTTATCTTGGGTGTTCTAAAACAGAAGAGAATTGTGAGGCAATGGGCTAACGAACTGCCACACTAGTACACAACCTTATAGAGAAAGAATGAAGCCTTGGCTAGTCTCTTCCTAAAGTCCTACAGGGAAGTGACCCAAGCTAGTTCAAAAGGTACTGGAAAAATAAAAAGCCAAAAATTCTCAAAAGAACGAAGTCAATGTTCCCTTACTTTTCAGGTTACAACTTTATCTTTAATATCATATCACTTAATTTTTTTTCATTTAAAGGACCTTACTTTTTTCTCTTTTCGTGATTCATTACATAAGTAAAATCACTAATTTTTCAGTTATATTATTTTGCTAATGACAGATGAAACATCTGACAAGGAATGTCTGCACCAAGAGTTTACGTTGCTGGTGGAATTACGACTGATTCCTTCTTTTTATTTTCCAAATCTTTTGTAATGTGGCCATATTACTTTTATTTTAAAAACTTTAAGGTATTTATTTTAAAGTTTTATTTTATTAAAGTATCTATTTCTTGTCCCTGTTATTTAAGGACGCCGGCTGCAGTACCCAAGTTACACCTGAAGAGGGCACTAACACATCCAATGGTAATCTCAGGCTAAGGAAAAAGGAAATCAGTCTTGTGCCATTTCCAGGAGGAACAGCAGTAAACCTTACTGATTCCTCACCCGTTAATTTTATTACCGAATTTGGGGAAAGCTCTTGTTTTGATTCTAACTAGCCATTTCCAAAAGTCAATTGACTTTATTCTCCCAAGTATACACCTCAAAGGTAGAAAAGAAGAGCTGTTCAAATACTTATTCTGAAAAGGAACAAATGTGAAAGAAATTTCAAGGTTTAGTAGTCTGTCAGCTTTACCTTCTTTTTTTTTTTTTTTTTAAAGACAGGGTCTCACTCTGTCACCCAGGCTGGTGTGACTACAGCTCACTGTAGCCTCGACTTCCCGAGCTCAGGTGATCCTCCTGCCTCAGCCTCCCAAGTAGATGGGACTACAGGTACATGCCACCATGCCTGGCTAATTTTTTAAATTTTTTGTACAGATGGGGGTCTCAGTTTGATGCCCACGCTGGTCTTAAACTCTTGGGCTCAAGCAATCTGCCCTCCTTGGCCTCCCAAAGTGCTGGAATTACAGGCGTGAATCACTGAACCCAGCCACTTCATTTTTTAAGAACAAATAAATCTCCAATTCATTCCACCTTCCTTGCAACAGTTTCTTAAAACTTGTCTATAACACATCCCTAAGAACACTCAAACATGCCTGAAATAACTAAAAGGAAAAAAAAGGCCATGTTTTATAACCTCAAAAAGGAAACTGTTAATAAAGGGGAAACAGTTAAGCTTTTTAATATGAACAATTTATGTAAAGACAAAGATGCAGACATTTTTACACAGATTATTTCTTTTCTTTGGTTACTTTCACATTAATAGTTATAATAAATGAAGCCACTTTTGAGTTGCAAAAGAGACGTCAGGTGATGTGTTTGTAAACTCAGGCCCAAATTTTGTGGCTGCTGAAATGGGTTAAGACTCTGCTCTGCTACAGATTTATCCTTAACCAAGGAAATCCACCCCCTCAAAAGGCACAGAAAGATCACTGACAGAATACAAAGCTGTCACTGTCAAAGACAGACACACATACTTTTGGCCATAGATAAGTCTGGCAGCAGGCCAGAGAAATATGTAGGAACCCCTTTCAAACTAATGTTCATCTCACACTCTCAGAAAAAATAGTTGTTTGTTCATTAAAATAACCTACCATCCCCTTTGCCCTCAATTTCAGATTTATAAAACAGAAAACAAAATGGCATTGTCTACCCCTCTCCAGGTGAATAGTATGGATCTAAAAATGTGAACTTTTGACCTTAGTTACCTAAAAAGTATTTTCCTTTTTTTTCTTTTGTTGAGACAGAGTCTCATTCTGTTGAGCAGGCTGGAGTGCAGTAGCATGATCTCAGCTCACTGCAACCTCTGCCTCCTGGGTTCAAGTGATTCTCTTCCCTCAGTCTCCTTAACAGCTGGGGCTACGGGTGCCCGTCACCACATCTGGCTAATTTTTGTATTTTTAGTAGAGATGGGGTTTCACCATGTTGGCCAGGCTGGTCTCAAACTCCTGGCCTCAAGTGATCCACCCACCCTGGCCTCCCAAAGTGCTGGGATTACAGGCATGAGACACCGGCATGCCTGGCCATCAATCTTTAATTTTATGGTTAGTGTATTTTACCTAAGAAATCTTTGCCTACCCTATGTCATGAAGATGTTTTCCTATGCATTCTTGGAAAAGTTTTTTGGTTTTAGTTTTTATGTTCAGAGATCTAATTCATTTTAATTTCTGCACATCATGTGAAGTTAGAATTGTGGCAGGCGGAATTCTAAGATGGAGCTGGGCATGGCGGCGTATACCCGTAGTCCCAGCTACTCAGGAGGCTGAGGTGGGAGGATCCCTTGAGCCCAGGAGGCAGCAGTGAGCTAGGATTGCAAAACTGCACTCTGGCTTAGGAACAGAGCAAGACCCTATCACAGGGAAAAAAAAAAAAAAAAGGATTCTATGATAGCTTCCAAGACTCTTGCCCCTTGTTGTACATGCCTTGTATAACACTTTCCCCTGCCCCTAACTGTGGACAGAACCTGTGAATATGATGGGATAGTCATTCTAGTTTTTGCATTTGAGTTATATAAACAGTCATTTCTCAGTATCTGAATGAGATTCGTTCCAGGATCCCCAAGGATATAAAAATCCATGGAAGCCCAAGTCCCTTATATAAAATAGCATGGTATTTGCATATAACCTAGACATATCCATTTGGATACTTATTTTTTAAAATTTTTTTGAGACGGAGTCTCTGTCATCCAGGCTGGAGTGCAGTGGTGCAATCTTGGCTCACTGCAACCTCCGCCTCCCGGGTTCAAGCGATTCTACTGCCTCAGCCTCCCGAGTAGCTGGGACTACAGGTGTGTGCCACCACATCCAGCTAATTTTTTGTATTTTTAGTAGAGATGGGGTTTCACCATGTTGGCCAGACTGGTCTTGAACTCCTACCTCAGGTGATCCACCTGCCTCAGCCTCCTAAAGTGCTGGGATTACAGGCATGAGCCACCACGCCTGGCCTTTATATTATTTTTTATTGTTTTTTCTTTTGTATTTTCAATCCGAGGTTGGTTGAACCCAAGGATGCAGAACCTGCGGATGCAGAGGACTGACTGTATAAGATTCTCTTGATAGCTTCGAAGAAGCAAGCTACCATGTTGTGAGAGGGCCATGAGGTTAGCACCCGCAGGCAGCTTCTAGGAGCTGAGCATGATTTCCCCAGCTGACATCCAGGGAGAAAGAAAGTGGGTATCTCATTCCACAACTTCCAGGAACTGAATTCTGTCAACAACCAGCCAGCTTGGAAAGAAAGAGGTCCCTGAGTCTCAGATGGTATCACAACCCCAGTGAGGCCCTGAGCAGGAGGATCAGCTAGCCCATGCCTAGAATGCTGATCCATGAAAACTGTGAGATAATAAATTTAAGTTGCTAAATTTGTGCTAATTTGTTATTTCTGGGTTCTCTGTTTCTTTACTTGTAGACTCGTCAGTACCATACTGTCTTTATTACTGGAGTTTTATAATGTCTTTAAATAAATGTTCCAAGTTCTCCAATTTTGTTCTTTGCTCTGTGTATTTCCACAGAAATGTTAGAATTGGTGAGGCGCTTTAGCTCACACTGGTAATCCCAACACTTTGGGAAGCCAAATTGGGCAGAATGCTTGGGCTGATGAGTTCAAGACCAACCTGGGCAACATGGCAAAACTCCATCTTTACTAAAAATACAAAAATTAGCTCGGTGTGGTGGCATATGCCTGCAATCCTAGCCACTCAGGAGGCTGAGGTGGGAGGATGGCTTGAGCCCAGGAAACAGGGGTTGAAAGAAAGAGAGAGAGAGAGAGAGAGAGAGAGAGAGAGAGAGAGAGAGAGAGAGAGAAA
Organism: Homo sapiens; assembly: GCF_000001405.40. NCBI lineage: Eukaryota > Metazoa > Chordata > Mammalia > Primates > Hominidae > Homo > Homo sapiens. Next base: position 63,735,548 of record NC_000011.10, on the reverse strand, counting down.
TGTTAGAATCTGGGACTTTGAATTGTCTTGAATCCATAGATCAGTGTGAGTAGGACTGACATCTTAACAACACTGAGTCTTCCAATTCATGAACATAGCACCTCTCTCCTCTTAGTCATTCTTTAGCTTCTCTCTGCAGTGTTTGGTAGCTTTTAGTACTGCGGTCTTAAGTACTTTTTTAGCTAAATTTATTCCAAGTATTTTATGCTTTTGGTGCTATTGTAAATGGAACTACTTATTTAAAAAAATAATTTTCTAGGTCGGGCATTGTGGCTCACACCTTGTAATCCCAGCACTTTGGGAGGCTGAGGTGGGCAGATCACTTGAGGTTGGGAGTTCGAGACCAGCCTGGGCAACAAGATGAAACCCTGTCTCTACTACAATTACAAAAATTAGCCAAGTATGGTGGTGCACACTTGCAGTCTCAGCTAGAGGCGGAGGTTACAATGAGCAGAGATTGCGCCACTGCACTCCAGCCTGGGCGACAGAGAAAGGCTGTCTCAAAAAAAGTTTTTTTTTTATTGTCAAATTTTGCTATTAATATATAACAACAAAATTGAGTTTTGTTTATCAACCTAATATCTATCCCGCAATCCTGCTAAGTTCACTTATTAATCCTAATAGTTGTTTTGTGGATTTCTTAGGATTTTCTATGTAAACAATCATGTCATCTGCAAATGAAGAAAGTTTAACTTCTTCCTTTCTAATCCTGATTCCTTCTATTTCCATTTATTGCCATAATTCAGTGGCTAGGACCTCCAGTATGGTGTGTGTGTGTGTGTGTGTGTGTGTGTGTGTGTGTGTGTGTGTGTGTTTTGAGACAGAGTCTCCCTCTATCACCCAGGCTGGAGTGCAGTAGCGTGAACTCGGCTCATTGCAACCTCCGCCTCCTGGGTTTAAGCAATTCTCCTGCCTCAGCCTCCTGAGTAGCTGGGATTACAGGTGTGTGCCACCATGCCTGGCTAATTTTTCTATTTTTAGTAGAGGTTTCACCATGTTGGCCAGGCTGGTCTCAAACTCCTGACCTCAAGTGATCCGCTCACCTCGGCCTCCCAAAGTACTGGGATTACAGGCATGAGCCACTGTGCCTGGCTATTTTTGTTTGAGACAGTCTTGATTTGTTACCCATGCTGGAGTGCAGTGGTGTGATCTCGGCTCACTGCAACCTTTGCCTGTTGAGTTCAAGGGATTCTCCTGCCTCAGCCTCCTGAGTACTGGGATTACAAGTGTGCACCACCACACCTGGCTAATTTTTGTATTTTTAGTAGAGATGGGGGTTTCACCATGTTGGTGAGGCAGATCTCAAACTCTGACCTCAAATGAACTGCCCACCTCGGCCTCCCAAAGTGACCTCCAGTATGTTGTATACAAATGGTGAGAGTGAACATTGTACCCAATCTTCAGGAGAAAGTGTTCAGCATTTCAGTATTAAGGATGACATCAGCTGTAGTTTTCAACAGATGCTGTTTATTAGACTGAGGGAATTACCTTCTATTCCTTGTTTGTAGAAAATTCTATCAGAAAAGGATATCGAACTTTTTTTATTTAAAAATTTTAGAAACAGGATCTCACTGAATGTGTGTGTGTATATATATATGTGTGTCTGTGTGTATATACATATATACATACGTATGTATGTGGTGTTTTTTTTTCTTTTTGAGGCAAGGTCTTGTTCTGTCACCCAGGCTGGAGTGCAGTTGTACAATCATGGCTCACTCCAGCCTCGACTTCCTGGGCCCAAGCAATCCTCCTGCCTCAGCCTCCCGAGTAGCTGGGACTACAGACACACACCACCACCGCCACCACGCCCAGCTAATTTTTCTTTTCCTTTTTTTTTTGTTGGTAGAGACAGGGTCTCACTTTGTTGTCCAGGCTGGTCTTGAACTCCTAGGCTCAAGCAAGTCTCCCACCTCAGCCTCCCAGAGTGTTGAGATTACAGGAATGAGCCACTGCACTCAGCCAAACATTTTCAAACACTTTTTATGAACTGAACTTATGCCATAGTTTTTCTTCATTGTTAATGTGGTGAATTATATTGATTATCCAATCTTTTTTTTTTTTATTCTGAGACAGTCTCTGTCGCCCAGGCTGGAGTGCAGTGGTGCAATCTTGGCTTACTGCAACCTCCACCTCCTGAGTTCAAGCGATTCTCCTGCCTCAGCCTCCCAAGTAGCTGGGACTACAGGCGCGTGCCACCACGCCCGGGTAATTTTTTGTGTTTTTAGTAGAGACGGGGTTTCACCGTGTAAGCCAGGATGGTCTCGATCTCCTGACCTCATGATGTGCCTGCCTCGGTCCTCCCTCCTGACCTCATGATGTGCCTGCCTCGGTCCTCCCAAAGTGCTGGGATTACAGGCGTGAGCCACTGTGCCCAGCCTTTTTTTTTTTGTATTTTTAGTAGAGATAGGGTTTCACCATGTTGGCCAGGCTGGTTTTGAACTCTTGACCTCAAGTGATCCACCTGCCTCGGCCTCCCAAAGTGCTAGGATTATAGGCGTGAGCCACTGAGCCCAGCCCTGATTATTTAATCTTAAAACAACCTTGTATCCTGTATATCCTGTAACAAACCCTAATTAGCCTTGATGCATTCATTATCTTATTATGTTGCTGGTATGATCTGCTAATATCTTCTGAAGGATTTTTCATTTACGTTCATGAATAATATTAGTCTATAATTGTATTTGCCATGTCTTTGTCCAGTTTTGGTATTACTCTATACATATGTATTATATATGACATATATACTAGTTTATAAATTGGGAAGTATTCTCCTCTCCTTTTTCCTTATATGCTTCGAAGAATTCTCCAGTGAAAACTCTGGGCCTGGAATTTTCTTTGTGGAAAGAGTTTTGATACTGAATTTAATTTCTTTAATATAAATTGTGTTAGCATTAAGTAGCATTTTTCAAGGATTTTGTCCATTTCTCTAAGTTGATAAATCTGTTGGCATAAAATTGTTCATAATAATCTACTGTTCTTTTAATATCTGTAGGATCTGAATGGAAAACCCTTTTTTCATGCTTGATATTGGTAATCTGTGCTTTTTTTTTTTTCTTGTCCAGTCAAGAAATAATTTTGGCCAAAAGTGGCTCACACCTATAACCTCAGCGCTTTAGGAGGCCAAGGTGGGAGGATCACTTGAGGCCAGGAGTTCGAGACCAGCCCGAGCAACATGAGACCCCATTTCTACAAAAAATTTTTAAAAATTAATAAAGTATGATAGTGCGTGCCTGTAGTCCCTAGATGCCTGCCTGTAGTCCTAGCTACTTGGCTGAGGCAGGAGGATCGCTGAAGCCCAGGAGTTTGAGATTACAATGAACTATGATCATGCTACTGCACTTCAGTCTGGGTGACTGAGCAAGACCCTGTTTCCAAAAAAATAAAAAATAATTTTGTTGAACTTTCCAGGAACCAAATTTTGGCTTTGTTAATTTTTTCTATTGTTTGTTTTTTTATTCCATTGATTTCAGCTCTTTTTTTTTCTTTCTACTTACTGGGTTTACTTTGCTCTTCTTTTTCTAGATTTTCAAGTTCGAACCTTAGATCACTGTTTTAGATTTTTGTCTTTTCCAATATAAGCATTTAAAGCTATATACATGGCTGGGCGCAGTGGCTCAAGCCTGTAATCCCAGCACTTTGGGAGGCCAACGTGGACGGATCACAAGGTCAAGAGATCGAGACCATCCTGGCCAACATGATGAAACCCCATCTCTATTAAAAGTACAAAAATTAGCTGGGTGTAGTGGCGCACGCCTGTAATCCCAGCTACTCAGGAGGCTGAGGCAGGAGAATCGTTTGAACCCGGGAGGCAGAGGTTGCAGTGAGCCGGGATTGTGCCACTGCACTCCAGCCTGGTGACAGAGCGAGAGTTCATCTCAAAAAAATAAAAAATAAAAAATAAATAAAGCTATATAATTTCCCTCTCAGCACTGTATTCCACAAGTTTGATTTATTTTCATTGTTCAGTTTAAGTGATTCAGTTTAAATCACTTAATATTTTTCTTGTGATTTCTTCTTTTATCTATAGATTAGGTAAAACTGTCTTAATTTCCAAATATTTGGGAATTTTCCTAGATGTTGTCTTCATCATAGATATCTTCATTAATTTAAAGCTTAAATTCATTATGGCCTTAGAACATATTTTGTATGATTTAAATCCTTTGAAATTTGGCCAGGCACAGTGGCTCACATCTATAATCCCAGTACTTTGGGAGGCCAAGGTGGGCAGATCACTTGAGGTTGGGAGTTCGAGACCAACCTGGCAAACATGGTGAAACCCTGTCTCTACTTAAAATACAAAAATTAGTGGGCGTGGTGGTACGCGCCTGTGATCACAGCTACTCGGGAGGTTGAGGCACAATAATCATTTGAACCCGGGAGGCAGAGGTTGCAGTGAGCTGAGATCACACCACTGCACTCCAGCCTGGGAGGCAGAGTGAAACTGTGTCTCCAATAAATAAATAAAAAAAAAAATCCTTTGAAATTTGCTGAGTTGTTTTGTGGGCCTAGTAGTATATTATCGATACCAATGAATGCATACCTTATACACTTGTAAAATAATGTGTATTCTGCTATTGTAGGGAGTAGTGTTCTATAACCACCATCTAAGTCAAATTCATTGATTGTACTGTTCAGATACCTGGGTGTGTCTAGTTAATTGCTGAGAAAGAGGTATTAAATTTTCCAATTATTACAGATTGCCAATATATCTCCTTAATTCTGCCTTTTTGGGAGACAGGGTCTCACTCTGTCACCAGGCTGGAGTGCAGTGGTGTGATCATGGTTCACTGCAGCCTCCACCTCCTGGGCTCAAGCAATCCTCCGCCTCAGCCTCCTGAGTAGCTGGGACTACAGATGCATGCCACCAAACCAGTTAATTTTTGAATTTTTGTAGAGATGGGGGTCTCTACAAAAAAACTCCAGGGTAGGGTTATGTTGGGTTAAGGGTTATGTTGCCCAGGCTGGTCTCAAACTAGTCTCAAGTGATCTTCTCACCTTGGCCTCCCAAAATGTTGGGGTTACAGGCATGGGCCATTGCCCAGCCAATTCTGTCAATTTTTGCTTTGTGTATTTTGAAGCCATTATTAGGCACATACACACTTATAACTGTCAAGACTTCCTGGTATCTTTTATCATGATAAGATGTCCCTTATTTATTTCTGATAAAAGCTTTCATCTTCTTATGCTTACTGTTTGCATGGCATACATTTATAAATTTTTTGGGATATCTTTTCCATCCATTTACTTTCAACCTGTGTCTTTATATTTAAATAACATCTTTTGGCCGAGCACGGTGGCTCACGCCTATGATCCCAGCACTTTGGGAGGCCGAGGAGGGTGGATCACTAGAGGTCAGGAGTTTGAGATCAGCCTGACAAACATGGTGAAACCTCATCTCTACTAAAAATACAAAAATAAGCCAGGCGTGGTGGTGAGTGCCTGTAATCCCAGCTACTTGGGAGGCTGAGGGAGGAGAATCCCTTGAACCCGGAAGGCAGAGGTTGCAGTGAGCTGAGATCACGCCACTGCACTCCAGCCTGGGTGACAGAGTGAGACTCTGTCTCAAAAAATAAATAAAAATAAAATTAATTTAAAAACTAGTTGGGCATCGTGGCATATACCTATAGTCCCAAAAAGGTGAAGTGGGAGGATTGCTTGAGCCTGGGAGGTTGAGGTACAGTGAGCTGTGTTCATGCCACTCACTGCACTACAGCCTGGGTGACAGAGCGAGACCCTGTCTCCAAATATATATATATTTATAGTACCATTACATTAAAAATGTAGAAACAGGCTGGGCATAGTGGCTCATGCCTATAATCCCAGCACTTTGGGAGACCAAGGTGGGAGGATTACTTGAGCCCAGGAGATCAATGCCAGTGTTGGCAACATAATGAGACTCTGTCTCTACTAAAAAAATAAAAAAATTAGCTAGGTGTGGTGGCATGCACCTGTGGTCCCAGGTACATGGGAGGCTGAGGCACGAGGATTGCTTGAGCCCAGGAGGTCTAGGTTGCAGTGAGTCATGATTGCACCACTGCACTCCAGACTGGGATACAGAGCCACAGAGCCAGATCCTGTCTCAAACAAACAAAAAAAAAAAAAAAAAAAAAAAGCAGAAACCTTTGCTATAGTACAGTCCATATACTCGTTTTTTTCTGTTATAATTGTCCTAAGAAATAAACATCATAACCTCTATACACGTTATTACAATTTTTGCTTTAAGCAATCCTATATATTTTAAGAAATTAAGAGGAAAAAAATAAGCCTTTCATATTCACCCAGGTGTTTACCACTTCCAATTCTCTTCATTCCTTCCTAAAGGTCTGAGTTTTTATTTGGTATCACTTTCCTTTAATCTGAAAAACTTCCTTTAGCATTTCTTGTAGTGCAGGTCTTCTGGTAGAATTCTTTTAGTTTTCTTTTATCTAAAAATGTCTTTTAATCTTGCAGTTTTTTTGTTTTTTTTGTTGTTTTTTTCCTGAATACAGAAACCTGGGTTGACAGGTTTTTTTTCCCTGTTGGGCACTTTATAAGATGTTACTCTACTGCCTTTTAAACATCTGTGGTTTCTAGTAAGAAGTAAGCTCTAATTATAATTGTCATTTCCCTGTGTCATTCTTCTCTAGCTACTTTCTTTTCTTTTTTCTTTTTTTTTTTTTTTTGAGACGGAGTCTCGCTCTGTCGCCCAGGCTGGAGTGCAGTGGCGCAATCCCGGCTCACTGCAACCTCCGCCTCCTGGGTTCAAGTGATTCTCTTGCCTCAGCCTCCTGGGTAGCTGGGATTACAGGTGTGCACTGCCACCCCGGCTAATTTTTGTATTTTTAGTAGAGATGGGGTTTTACCATGTTGGTCAGGCTGGTCTCGAACTCCTGACCTTGTGACCCACCTGTCTCGGCCTTCCAACGTGTGGGGATTACAGGCGTGAGCCACCGCGCCCAGCCTCTTCTCTAGCTACTTTCAAGATTTTCTCCTTATTTTTGGTTTTCAGCAACTTGACTACGATACACTGTATAGGAAAGGGTGAAAACTCAGCAGGCCTAGAATGCCAAGCCCTGCACATGCCAAAGAAAGGTCTGTCTTCAGGACTAGCCCTTTGCTGGCTCCTTGGAGATGGCCTCTGAGCCCTTTGAATATTCTGCTTCATAAGTATTTTTGCATGCCTGAGGTCTTAGGCCATGCTGTATCAGATAAATTTATCCTAACAATATGATTTATTGCCAGTACATGTTTTTGCTCTGGGGGTCTGGGGTCTGAGTAGCTGAGTTCAGTCATATGGGCACTGCATGCCGTGCTAGACACCAAAGATTGAAAGAGCTTCCTTGGTTGGGAATCCTTTGCACATGTTATCACGCATCACTGTAAAAGAATTAAGTACATCCCTGTATGACTCCATTCAATACCTGGAAGCTTGCATCTGATCTCTCCTAGATTTTATCCCGTGTGTCTTTTCCTCTGGCCAATTCTAACCTATGTCCTTTTGCTGTAATAAACCATTAACTGCTAGTTTACAGTTTATGAGTCCTATGGGTCCTTCTAGCAAATCACTGGCCCTGATGGTTATCTTGGGGACCCCGACACATACACCAAGGTATGGTTTTCTTTGTAATTATCCTAGTAGGTGGTGTTTGATGAGCGTCTTTCATCAGTAAATGTGCCTTTCATAAAATTTAAGAAAATTTCAGCCATTTTATCTTTAAATATGTCCTTCTCCAGTCTCTCTCTCACTTTCCTCTCCTGCTAGGACTCCAATTATAAAAAATAGGTTTTGCAGGTCTCGCACTCCTGGGCTCAAGTGATCCTCCTGCCTCGGCCTCCCTAAGTGCTGAAGTGGTGGGATTACAGACGTGAGCCACTGTGCCTGGCCAAAGTTAGGTCTTTTGATATTGTCCCACAGGGTTCTGAAGCTCTGGTGACACTTTTAAAAAATATGTGTTCTTTCTGTTCTTTAGTATGCTATCAAGTTCACCAGCTTCTTCCCCTGTCATCTCCATTTTGCTGTTAAGGTCACCTGCTGAATTTTAATTTCAGTGGTTATATTTTACAGTTCTAGAATCCCCACCTGACTCTTTTTTGTTTCGATTTCTAGGTTGAGATTTTCTTTTTTATTCAATACAAGAATATTTCCCTTTACTTCTTTGAGTGATTAAAATGAAAACCCTTAAAATCCTGACTCCTAATTCCAACACATGCAGTTAGTTTCTATCGATTGTCTCTTTTTCTTCAGACTGAGTTATAATTTCTTGGTTCTTAAAACATGTAGTTTTGGATTATATCCTGGACATTGTGAATATTATGCTGTACAAATTCCAGACTGTGTTCTATTCCTCTGGAGAGTATCATTACTTTTGTTTTAACATGTAATAAATTTGGTTAGATTCAAACTGCAAACTTTTTTTTTCAAGATAGAGTCTTACTCTGTCACCCAGGCTGGAGTGCAGTGGTGCGATCTGCACCCCTGACCTCCCTGGGCTCAGGGACTACAGGCACAGGCCACCATGCCTGGCTTAATTTTGTATTTTTTAGTGGAGATGGGGTTTCACCATGCTGCCCAGGCTGGCCTTGAACTCTTGGGCTCAAGTGATCCACCTGCTTCAGCCTCCTGAAGTACTGGGATTACAGGCATGAGCCACTGTGCCTGGCCTTCAAACTACAAACTCGGCTCACTTCTTCTTTTTTTTTTTTTTTTTCAGACGGAGTCTTACTCTGTCACCCAGGCTGTAGTGCAATGGCATGATCTTGGCTCACTGCAACCTCCACCCCCAGGGGTTCAAGCGATTCTCCTGCCTCAGCCACCTGAGTAGGTGGGATTACAGGCGCCTGCCAATGTGCCCGGCTAATTTTTGTATTTTTAGTAGAGATGGGGTTTCACCAGCTTGACCAGGCTGGTCTTGAACTCCTGATCTCGTGATCCACCCGCCTTGGCCTCCCAAAGTGCTGGGATTACAGGCGTGGGCCATTGCACCCGGCCCAGTTCACTTCTTTCATCTCTAGTTGTGCTGCTTATAATCTTTTGTGTTAAGTGTGGTTTACAATTAAACAGAGGCTTAAACACAGTTTATTTTATCTACAGAATTTTAGGCTGTCACTCTCTGGATCTCTCCCTTCCAAGATTCCTCCTCCCCTTACATTCCACTGACTCAGTGGTTGTGGCTGACCCAAATGCTGTCCACTGCTTAGGTTTTCTATGAAGGTTTAAGCCAGCCTGTCAGGTGCCCACTTCAGCCTGTCCTCTAGCTAAAAGCAGTAAAAATAAAAAACTAATTTCATGCTGTCTCTTCTTACATGTGTCAACTCTCTTTCAGAATCTGACTGCTCCCGTTCATCCTCCAGTGCCTTCGGGTCTTTGTTTTTTAAAAATTTTGTCCAGTTATATGCAGGAAGGTCAGGTCCAGTAAAAGCCTACTTGGCCATAAGAAAAGAAAACCATTCTGACATTGCTTTTAAAAATTACTTCAGATTCCCTGTATATGTAGGTATATAGATTCATTTTTTTTCTTTATGGAATCTTTCTAGCATAGATTCACTTTAAATGATACCAAGATAGGAATTATTTTGTATTCCTTGTTTGGTAACTCTTTTCATTCCACTTTAGCACCCACCATCTGCTGGGTGCTGAACAATGTAGTTTTTACTAATAAATTACGAACATTTTTACATAACAGAAGACACTAACTTTGACAGTAACTAGAAAAATAAGGCACAGAGCTAGAAGTGAAACTGATAAGCAGTAGCACCCTAACGCTGGGGAAATAGTCACATATGTGTAAAAACAGACAAGTATAACAACGTTAACTTAAGGCCGGGCGCGGTGGCTCATGCCTGTAATTCCAGCACTTTGGGAGGCCGAGGCGGGCGGATCACGAGGCCAGGAGATTGAGACCATCCTGGCTAACACAGTGAAACCCCGACTCTACTAAAAATACAAAAATAAAATTAGCTGGGCGTGGTAGCAGGCGCCTGTAGTCCCAGCTACTCAGGAGGCTGAGGCGGGAGAATGGCATGAACCCGGGAGGCGGAGCTTGCAGTGAGCGGAGATTGCACCACTGCACTCCAGCCTGGGCGACAGAGTGAAACTCCTCCATCTCAAAAAAGAAAAAGAAAAAGGAAAAAAAAAAAGAAGAATGTTAACTTCAGCGCTGTCTATAATAGCAAAAAATAGGAAAGAATCTAAATCCTTACCAAAAGAAAATAATATATTCATATAATGGATTACTACATAGCTGTTAAAATGAATAAATTATATAAATTCCAACATGAAAGAAGTTTAAAAACCTAATGTTGAATGGAAAACGTTATACAACAAACATGATAACATGAATGAATGGTTAAAAAGCATAAAACAATACAAACACATTTATTTAAAATAAACTGGAAGGATGTACCAGGTCCATGACGGTGTTACGTCTGGGGAAGGGGAGATGGAGGGCGTGGCCAGGTGGTAATCAAAGAGTCCTTTAGTTTGGAAGCAAATATGACTACCAATGCTAACAATTAACATAAGTTAATTCTACATATAGAGAAGATATGGGTGTAGGCTGCCTTTGTACTTTTCTATATTTTTCCATTTCTTAAAAAAAAAAAAAACAAAACTTTAACAACTTCAATGACTGTGTAATATTCGATTGCACAGTTATACCATAATATACTCAACCAATCTCTAATTGTTAAGACACCGAGATATCTGCCACTATCATAAACTGTGCTATAATGAACATCTGTGTAGTTATTTTTGCACATTTTTAAAAAAGGATAAATTCCAGCTGGGTTCCGTGGCTCACGCCTGTAATCTCAGTATTTTGGGAAGCCAAGGCGGGCGGATCACGAGGTCAGGAGTTCGAGACCAGCCTGGCCAATATAGTGAAACTCCGTCTTTACTAATAATACAAAAAATTAGCCGGGCGTGGTGGCAGGCACCTGTAATCCCAGCTACTTGGGAGGCTGAGGCAGGAGAATCGCTTGAACCCGGGAGGTGGAGGTTGCAGTGACCCGAGATCGTGCCATTGCACTCCAGCCTGGGCAACACGGTGAGACTCTGTCTTTAAAAAAAAAAAAAAAAAAAAAAAAGGGCCGGGCACGGGTGGCTCACGCCTGTAATCCCAGCACTTTGGGAGGCCGAGGTGGGCAGATCACCAGGTCAGGAGATTGAGGCCATCCTGGCTAACATGGTGAAACCCCGTCTGTACTAAAAAATACAAAAAATTAGCCGGGCGTGGTAGCAGGCGCCCGTAATCCCAGCTACTCGGGAGGCTGAGGCAGGAGAATGGCGTGAACCCGGGAGGCAGAGCTTGCAGTGAGCCGAGATTGCGCCACTGCACTCCAGCCTGGGCGACAGAGCGAGACTCTGTCTCAAAAAAAAAAAAAAAAAAAAAAAAAAAGAATTCCTAAAAACAAGATTGCTAGGGCAGTTCTAGGTCTGTTACATATTGCCAACTGCCTTCCAGAAAGGCTGTAACAATTTACATGTACTTCACCAAACTATATGCTTATTTCCTTGCATCCTGCCAATCTGGATACTAAAACACAAAAAACTATCTTCACTACACTAGGTATGTGAGAGGCAGGGATCTGATTTTCTTCCCCAAACTATGAGAGTCTATCATAACTTAATTACTCAGCAACCAACTATAATATGATAAAGGCTTCATTACAAGCTGTTACATAATATACCATAAAATAGCAAAAACAAACAGAAAACCACTAATTCTTTCATTGTTTCTTTTGCCTATTTTCCCAAACAACTTAAGGCAGAATATAATTAAAGCACTGTTTTTACCTTAGAAAGGAAGAATATGCAGATACACGTATTTAAAACTAGACAATCGGCTGTGTGTGGTGGCTCAGGCCTGTAAATCCCAGCACTTTGAGAGGCCAACGCAGGCGGATCACTTGAAGCCAGGAGTTTGAGAGACCAGCCTGGCCAACATGGTGAAACCCCATCTCTAGTAAAAATACAAAAAATTAGCTGGGCGTGGTGGCACACGCCTGTAATCCCAGCTACTCGGAAGGCTGAGGCAGGAGAGTCGCTTGAACCCTGGAGGTGGAGGTTGCAGTGAGCCGAGATCGCGCCACTGCACTCCAGCCTGGGCAACAGAGTGAGACTCTGTCTCAAAAAATTAAAAAAAAAAAAAAAAAGATAAATAAATAAAACTAGACACTGATGCATTTTACTGAAATGGTTTATGTTTTTATTTATTTATTTCACTGCAATGAAATGGATTATATTTTTAAAGATTTATTCATAAATAAGACAATTTTAAAAGGTTTTCACTTTTGAAAGCTGCAAGAAAGGCCTTTAAACTTCTTGGTCTAACTATACCGGTCTTCTTTAATTACAATCTAAAAACATACACTAATCATAGACTTTGGTCAGTGACAAATATCCTGAACTTCCATAGCCCTTTACATCTCTCACGCTAGATTAAATAATTCAGTTGATAATCACTAATAATTAGCATTTACACAGCACTTTATTTACTGCAACATACAAAGCAGGGCAAAATAATGATCATCACATTAACAAAGGAAGATGCTGAACCAATTAGACTAGTCATCTAAGGTCATGCTAAAACAGGAATTTGCCAGAATTAGACACTGGAGTTCTTGTAGCATAATTCCTATATGCCTTATTGCCCAAAAGTTACTACCTGTAAGAATTATGACAACTGAGGAAGAAATCTAGAATGTACCAGAGCCAGAGAATCATATTATTTAAATGATAATTGAAGACCATCTACTTCACTTTACATCCTCACTTTACAGATATTAAAACTGAGGCCCCCGAAAGGTTATGTAAGTTACTTGTTCAAAGTCATACTTCTAGACACAGCACAGCAAGAATTAGAACCTAGTACTCTTTAATCCAAATTCAGTGAGCTTCAAATGCTAGAGTATAAGAGCTATCCTTAATTGGTAATTCAAAATTTTTGGTTTATCAAAAAGCCTCAATGTCTTTCACTGATAATTGTTAGTGAAATAATTCATATCATTCATTCAACAAATAATTATCCAGTACTACTTATGTGGCAGGCCCTGTATTTGGTGCTAAATCTGACTGCATATTTACTATGTGCTAGGCACTGTATTACCTGCATTTTCATATTTAATCCTCACAATACCATTGTAAGGTTAAGTACAATTTATCTATTTTAAATATTAAAACTTAAAAAGATAAATCTACCTACAGTTTCCAGTAAGAAAATGCCTTTATAAAAAGGCACAAAATCAAACACAAAATACATTTAGCCTAACAAAAATCTAATTTTCTTGTAAATACTACAACTCTGTGTATGATTTCATTTGATAAAAGATCTATAATCAAATAGTTTAAAAACCACAGACCTCTACATAGCACCTAACACTGACCATACAGTAGATGTAAAACTTGGTATTACATTAAAGGATGGGGGTCCCTTGTAGAGGGGCTTGAAAGATCCTTTTTTTTTCTTGTACTTTCCAAGATCCCAGAATAGACAGCATTTGCAGTAATCTAACTGAAAGCCACTTGCTAGAAAAGTGATCATTTGAAATAGATAAAAGACAAGAGAAGGGGTTTCTGGTACCATCTAATAATGAGTTTTGGCCTGAAGAATATTAAATAAGATAGAAAGTAGAAGAATGCATGAGTTCTCCTAAGCATTACTCACAAAATAGTACTACAATACTGGTTACCTACTTTCAGAGCATAAAATCTCTATAGTATACGATCACATTAATTAAAAGTTTCATTTACTATCTTTCCCAGCAGGAATTCCTTTATCTTTGATTGCTAAGATTCCACAAAGCACATATCAAAAAATCCAAGTGCTAAAAAGTATGACAATTATGGAGATTTAAAAACAAGCTTTGTAAATAAGTAAGAACCTGATGATATTAGATTCTCACCTAATATCACCTTAGGGGCAACCTATAAGAAAAGAAGTACCTTGAAATATAACTGGAGCATAGAAAAAAAATTTTCTTTTTTTTTTTTTTTTTGAGACAGAGTCTTGCTCTGTCACCCAGGCTGGAGTGTACTGGCGCGATCTCATCTCACTGCAAGCTCTGCCTCCCGGGTTTACGCCATTCTCCTGCCTCAGCCTCCCAAGCAGCTGGGACTACAGGCGCCCGCCACCACGTCCAGCTAATTTTTCTGTATTTTTAGTAGAGACGGGGTTTCACCGTGTTAGCCAGGATGGTCTCAATCTCCTGACCTTGTGATCCGCCCGTCTCGGCCTCCCAAAGTGCTGGGATTATAGGCGTGAGCCACCGTACCCAGCGAGCATAGAAAAAATATTTAGGGGAAGATTAATGTTACAAAGTGGTCTACTGCTTTGGGAAATATTGATATTAAGGAAACCAAATCAAGCAATCATTTAAAAAAAGACAGGAGAAGAATCTGCCTTTCCCATCATACAGCATATTGTTTTTGTATTTTAGCCATAATTTTGTAGGTATAAATCAGACTAACATAAATGGCACGCTGATAAGTAATCAATCACAGAATTAACCACATGCAGTATTCTAATATAAATGGTTACCTGAGAAGTCTGTCAGAAGTCTTGCTAGGACATGCTTTTTTACCAATTCAGTCTTGCTAAGGCTGGAAACAGCATCTACCCTAGTAGTTTCTCTGATAGTGATGGGCTTCTGGGAAATCCCAAGATCAGATCCATTCTTGACATTACGTTCTAGGATGTCATATGATCTCTGTGGCCAAGATTCTGGAGCAAATGTGAAAGTTTGCTTCAGTACTTCTTCAGAAGGCAATTCTGCGTCACGCTGTGCAGAAGTTGACTTCTCAACCTGTCTTTCACCTAATTCTTTAAGAGCCTTAATTGTGAGCTGTTCTTGTTCTAAGTCAAGAGATGCTACTGGAGTACCTTGGGTAGGGAAAACACCTAGAGGCTCACTTCCATTTGTTTCTTTGCTTTGTTCACTGTATTTGCTTCCAATGTCTTTAATTTCAGAACCACCGGACTCATTTTCATGTAAGACTTCTACAGGAGGAGTTGTTTTAAAGTCTGTCATCTTCTCTGATATTGCTTTAAAAGCATTTCTTTCACTATCTACTATTCCTTTATCTCTGGTTTCTGTAAAGGCTGCTATCAGGTCCTCTGGGGAGGAATCATCTATATGTTTAACATTTTTCCCATGTAATGACTCCAAATAGGCAGATGTTGTCACATTTAATGAGAATTCTGTCTCATTAAAAACATTTGGAGACACTGTTGAAGGAAGTTTGGGGTTCTCAGTAGTAATAGGCTTTTCAGGAGCAACTTCACTCACATCTTCTAAGGAGACATTCGTATCGGGTACTTTTGAACATGCTGCCTCACTAGCTGGACTCCTTCCAAGAATATCAGGCTGATCTTGATGCAGCTCAGAGTCACTGACCAATTCTTCAAAGTTTTTAGATGTTTTTTCTTCTCTCTCACAACTGGGAATCTCTTTGATTTCTCTTTCACCTGTTTTTACAACAGCACTTGGAATGGAAACAGGTTTTTCAGCCTGAATTTTGTTATTTTCAAATGATGTATCTGCTGTGATGTCCTCTATTACTGTGTCATCAGACTCACCAGAACTATCAGCTTCTGTGATTTCTCCCAATGCAGAGCTCTGCCAGTCCATTTCATCTTTCAGGTGGTCATCAGGTAAAACCACTTTCACTGTGGCCACTCCAGAACCCAAAGAGTCACATTTCTCAGGTGGAGATCCAGGTAATTCTGCAAGTGTGTCATCCTGTTTCTGCATATTGCCTTGCACACCTTTGATACTGAATTCTTTTGTGGAATTCAAAGAGTCAGGTACAGGTTTTCCAGTAATAGCATTTTCTTGCTGGAGAGATGCTTCTGCCCAATCACCTGTTGATTTAGTGATGGGAGTGCTCCCATCAATAGAACATACAGGAGTTTTCTGATGAGTGCTAGTTTTAAGATTTACAACTGGAATTTCTGAATTATATTCACTCATGTCAAGTCCTGTAGTTTTTGTGATGCAGTCAGAAGATTTATCGGTCTGTTGTTTCACTTGGGGAACCAGATCCCAAGTCAGTATTTCGTTAGTAAAGTTATGCATATCATTCACGCATCTGGACACCTCTTCCAGTGCTGCATTTGTGTGTGAAAACTGCCTACTGAGCAATGCAGACATTGGGTAACGTCCTGCCTCTTTATTTCTCAGTGGAAAAAGCTTGTCATTAGTCTCTGAAATGTCTTCGGATGATTCTTTATCAGTGTGCACAGACCAGCTACCAAAATCATCTGTGCTCTCCTTATATGAGTCTTTAAATTCTTTGTCAAATGCTGCTTTGTCAATAATTACTTCAAATGGTGATTCAGGGGAATCCTTTTCAATAACATCATCTCCTGAAACTTTGGATGGAGACAAAGAATATGTATAAATGCCTTCTACCTTAGAGTACTCAGTAGGTGGTTTCTGGGCTGTCAGCAAAGTGAATCTGTCATCAGCATCCAATGCAGTTTTAGCCTCCCTACTTGATACCCCATTTGGGTTCTTGGTCTCTTTATCTATTTGCTCTTCCACTTGACCAATTTTCTTTGAGAGAAAAGCAGGATGCTCTGGGAAACTGGCTGGAATAGAAGGACGGTCACAATGAACTCCTGCTGCAAGAGAAACTGAAGAGTCTGATACGTTGTTGCTGGTCCCCTGAGGCTTTTCCATCTTTTTCATATCTAGAAGATCCAAGTGGTCTTTTCCTTCTTTGGCTAAAATAGGCTGGCTCCCTAACACATGGCTTTTTTCTCCATGTAGTATTGTAAGGCCAGTGTTATGTATTTCAGAAGATGAAAGAAAGGAAGAAGTCATAATTTCTGAAGATGGCTCATCAGAGCAAAGAGAGCTCAATCCCTCTATGATCAGAATTTCAAAGAAAAAAATTGTTTACCAGGTACAATTACACATTAGCTAGCCAAGCCAAGCAGCATGCTTTTTATTTTTTAAATTACATAAATATATATATACACACACAGGATGTATATATACACACATAAATATGTAACAAAACGATCAAGTTATCCTACAGGACATGCATAAAACTGCCAACAGTGAAACAGAAAAGCCATATCATGCCACAAACTGCAAATGATAAAAAATTTTCATGACAAATACTTTTGGTCTACTTTTCCATTGTACAGAGAAAGCATAAAGAAGGGCGGTAAGATTGAGAAATCTTGGGAGGTTTTTTATTCTTTGATAGAGCTAATCAACAAAAGCAAAATAATTTATACAAAACAAATAACCTGATACTATAAAGGGTTGATAGACTTCAATCTGTAAGCTGAACAATTCAGAGCACAGACTGCCTCTATAAATCTGTTAGTCTCACAATCTGAAAAGGAAAAAAACTAGTGGCCAGACTTTTTTGATTTTTAGGAGATGCAATGGGCCCTTCCTGAATCTGAAAAATGAGACTAGAATTATTCTATTCTATCCACAGGGAGAATCTGTCCCATGTACAAATAAATAGCTGTGATGTTCTAAACTAAAGGGTACTGAAAAAGGTGGACCCCCTCCAAAATCTTTTTTTTTTTTTTTTGATACGGAGTCTTTTTCTTGTTGCCCAGGCTGAAGTGCAATGGCGCAATCTCAGCTCACTGCAACCTCCACCTCCCAGGTTCAAGCCATTCTCCTGCCTCAGCCTCTCAAGTAGCTGGGATTACAGGCAGGCACCATCAAGCCCAGCTAATTTTTGTATTTTTAGAAGAGATGGGGTTTCACCATGTTGGCCAGGCTGGTCTCTTAACTCCTGACCTCAAGTGATCCACCCGCCTTGGCCTCCCAAAGTGCTGGGATTACAGGTG
Source organism: Homo sapiens (assembly GCF_000001405.40). Taxonomy (NCBI): domain Eukaryota; kingdom Metazoa; phylum Chordata; class Mammalia; order Primates; family Hominidae; genus Homo; species Homo sapiens. The sequence continues at coordinate 63,717,750 of NC_000011.10, read as the reverse complement.
TGAGCCGCTACGCCTGGCCCCTCCAAAATCTCTTGTACTAACTTGTCATTTAAATCAATATTGTACTGTGCAAATTGATTTCTTTGGTTAAGACAGAGTTAACTTGGCTGGGTGCAGTGGCTCACCTGAGGTCAGGAGTTCGAGACCAGCCTGACCAAAATGGTGAAACCTCATCTCTACTAAAGATACAAAAAAATTAGCCGGGCGTGGTGGCAGGCACCTGTAATTCCAGCTACTCGGGAGGCTGAGGCAGGAGAATCCTTTGAACCCAGGAGGCAGACATTGATGGCAGTGAGCTGAGGTCACGCCATCGCACCCCAGCCTGGGCAACAAGAGTGAAACTGTCTCAAAAAAAAAAAAAAAAAAAAAAAAAAAGACAGAGTTAACTCCAGAATTACTTTTAAAATAGAAAATATCCTTCTCAAAGTAATACGTTAAGTCTTATCAGTTAATACCATAGTAGCCATCAATCTACCACACTGTTTTCTAACTTCCCACTCTAACAAATTTTTACTGGGGAAAAGGATCAAAACAAATATCCCAAGGGCTGGTGCTTTCTTACTTCATTTATTTGTTTGTTTGTATTTGAGAGAGGGTCTCCCTCTGTCCTCCAGGCTGGAGTGCCAGTGGTACAATTGTGGCTCACTGCAGCCTTGACCTCCTGGCCTCAAGCTATCCTCCCACCTCAGCCTCCCAAGTAGCTGGGACCACAGGCACATGCCACCACACCTGGCTAATTTTTAAACTTTCTTTTCTTTTTTTTTTTTTTTTGTTTTTTTTTTGAGACGGAGTCTTGCTCTGTCGCCCAGGCTGGAGTGTAGTGGCGCGATCTCTGCTCACTGCAAGCTCCGCCTCCCGGGTTCGCGCCATTCTCCTGCCTCAGTCTCCCAAGCAGTTGGGACTACAGGCACCCGCCGCCACGCCTGGCTAATTTTATTTTTGTATTTTTAGTAGAGACGGGGTTTCACCGTGTTAGCCAGAATGGTCTCGATCTCCTGACCCCGTGATCCGCCTGCCTCGGCCTCCCAAAGAGCTGGGAATACACGCATGAGCCACCGCGCCTGGCCTGATTTTTAAACTTTCTACAGACCTGGTGCCTCACTACATTGCCAGGTTGGTCTCAAACTACTGGGCTCAAGCAACCTGCCCACCTCGGCCTCCTGAAGTGCTGGGATTATAGGCATGAGCCACCACGCCCACCCTGGGCGCTGTCTTTCTTGCATACTGTTGTATCTTTGGAGCTGGGACAAAGTGGGTCTTAAATAAATAGCCCCAAATAAGTGAATCAAAGATTCAGCTTGGTCAGCTGAGACCTAAGTAGGCTCAGGACAGCAATGCCTTGAGCATGAATGAGTAACTGGGAAAATGTGACAGAGAAGTTCTTTTGGGATTACCTTTATTCAGCTTATGTTCCCTTTTTCATGTAAACATCCAAATACCAGATAAAAGCAAAATTATGACTTCATTCAAAATTATTTTATTAAAGACAAAAATATTTTACAATAAATAAAATTCCAGTATTATGAAAATGTTTTGAAATGCCATATAAAGTTCCCCTACTTCAACACATCACTGAAACTTGATGTAATAAGAGCTGAGCTTTAGAAATAGTATAACTGTAATCTGGTTATTAGAATAAAAAGTCTTTGTACATTCAAGGAAAACTGTAAAAGCTTGGTGGCAAAGCTATATTACCAAAACAAAACACTTGAAGTAAACTGTAATTCATATGTAGTTCTAATTTAGTAAACATGGTTTGCATCTACCATTATACAGTATGGATATTCAGCATGACTAGATTAGGGCATAACAGAAATGAAGCCCAGTATTGTAGGTTAAAAGGTTCAAAAATCTGAAGTGTGAAGTACTACAGATTACATTTAAATCAGAAATATTCCACAATCTGAGCCATGCATTGTTACTGAACTTACTAGTCAGTGTTTCTACCACAAAACATTCAGTGAACTAAGGTTATGGTAAAACTGTTTGGGAACCTCTCTCTTCAAACAACTCTGAGGTGAGTCAAACTGACTCCACCCCACAGGGGAGGTTCAGCTTATATGTTTTTTTGTGTGTTTTTTGTGTGTTTTTTTTAGACAGAGTCTAGTTCTGTTGCCCAGGCTGGAGTGCAGTGGTGCAATCTCGGCTCACTGCAACCTCCGCCCCCCAGATTGAAGCGATTTTCCTGACTCAGCCTCCGAAGTAGCTGGGATTACAGGCGTGCACCACCGCACCTGGCTAATTTTTTGTATTTTTAGTAGAGAGCTGGTTTCACCACGTTGCGCAGGCTGGTCTCGAACTCCTGAGCTCAAGCAATCTGCTCGCCTCAGCCTCACAAAGTACTAGGATTACAGGCATGAGCCACTGCACCCAGCCAGCTTATATGTTTTATGGAGATGGAGATTTCAGATGATTCAGATCTGTCATCTTACAGATGAAAGTCTACAAAATGAATTAGTAATAATTCAACAGGTATTTATTGAGTGCCTACCACGTGTCAGACACTGTTTTAGAAACTGGGCTTAAAGCAGTGAATAAAACAGAAAAAATTTCTTGCCTTTATGGAGCTTACAACACAGAGGGGAAGGCAGACAATAAGCAAAATCAATAAGCAAAATGATGACAATAATACAGTGGTGACAGTGCCTGATTAAACAAAAAAGAAAGCAACCAAATTGAATGCTAACCAAAGAATATTCATGTCACTGGGAAGAGCATGGTAAAACTGTCTATGCTTTAGCAGGACACAAACTGGTCAGTTTATCAAGCTTTGCTTTTCTCTTAACTTCTTTGAACCTTTAATACTCCAAAAGTTTCAAGTTAGGTGTAGAATAATCTCAGGTAAAACTAAAGTTAGAAGTCCTATTCTCAGAATACTAACACATCCTCTGCTGAGCACCATGATAGCCTGACAGACTTCAAACATTAAGGATTCTCTAGGCTGGGTGTGGTGGCTCATGCCTGTATCTTAGAACTTTGGGAGGCACAGGAGGGAAAATTGCTTGAGTCCAAGAGGTCAAGATCAGCCTGGGCAACATGCTGAGATCCTGCCCCTACAAAAAATAGAAAAATTAGCCGTGCATGGTGGCACGTGCCTGTAGTCCCAGTCACTTGGGAGGCTGGAGTGGGAGGATTGCTTGAGTCTGGGAGGTCAAGGCTGCAGTGAGCCATGGTCATGCCACTGCACTCCAGCTTGGGTGACAGAGTGAGAAAGAGAAAAGAGAAGAGAAGAGAAGAGAAAAGAGAAAAATGAAAAAAAGGAAAAAAGAAAAAAGATTAATATGACATGGCTACGAGATATATTAAAAAAAAACTCTAATAATGTTCCCTAATAAAAATATTATAACTTACTATTTAGGGTATATCTTGTTTTTTCTGGGGACAAGCTTAGAGGGCAAACAGAGCTCAGTGCTGCATTCATTTCTCAGTGATTGTGAGATGCAGGCGCTAATCATTACTATCAATCAAGCTTTCCCACATGTAGAAAAATAAGGTAGCATCATCATCTGTGCTTTAACTTTAATTATTTTGTTTAGAATTTCAGCAAATGAAAATACCATTTTTGGCTAGCTGAAACCCTAACAAACTTGGACACAGCTGACCTGTACCAAGACAATGGGAAAAATTGGGCTGGAAGTAAAAAGTTTATAAAGGCATGAAAACATTAAATAGAATGAAGACCAAAAACTAATAAGCCTTTTAGAACAGCTCCGATAAGCAAAGACTCTTCCAATTGGTCAGTATGGCACTTGTAGTCACTGCTGTTGCCCAAGTCAGTACCTGGCAAAAGGACAGAAAAGTCCAGTGAATCTGAAGGCAGTTAGCTCTTAAAATACTATACACTGTAAAGCTGTCTGGTGGAATAAATCTGGATTATTTTATGTCTCAGAAAATGTCTACTATCTTTCTTTTCTCAAAAGATTCATCCCTTCACATGCACTCTAAGAGCCTTTCAACACTACTCAAAACAAATCGCCATCAAAACTCTCATTATGAACATTTTCTAAATTAGTTCTTTGCTATAATGGAATTTAGTGTGGATATTCATTTTCAAGAGTTCTAATCACTTAAAAACATGGTGCTACTCTAATTATTAACAAATAAAGTCATAGATCTAGTAGATTTACTAAAAAGGGAATCAGCTGAGTGTGGTGGCTCATGCCTGTAATCCTAGCACTTTGAGAAGCCAAGGCAGGGAGACAGCTTGAGCCCAGGAGTTCGAGACCAGCCTGGGCAACACAGTGCGACCCCATCTCTACAAAAAAATTAAACAATTAGCCAGTCATGGTGGCATACACCTGTGGTCCTGACTACTTGGGAGGCTGAAGTGGGAGGACTGCTTGAGCCCAGGAGGTCGAGGCTGCAGTGAGCCATGCACTCCACCCTGGGTGACAAAGCAAGACCTTGTTTCAAAAAATGGGGGGTGGGTGAGAATCGATATATGGTAAGAGGTAAAAAATGTCATATCCCCACAATGATCATGAACATGTTCTCAAACTTATCAAGTACTCAGCTCCATGATTACTCATCTTCTTAAACTCTAAATACTCCACTGAGATATATTATCTGAAACAAAGACTAAGAAATTAAGTTGGTAGTCATATTCTAAATTCTAAATTTTTAGACCCAAATAAAAAATTCTTTTATATTTTTGAGAGATGGAATTTCACTCTTTTTGCCCAGGCTGGAGTGCAATGGTGTGACCTTGGCTCACCGCAACCTCTGCCTCCTGGGTTCAAGCGATTCTCCTGCCTCAGCCTCCGGAGTAGCTGGGATTACAGGCATGCGCCACCAGGCCTAGCTAATTTTGTATTTTTAGTAGAGACGGAGTTTCTCCACGTTGGTTAGGCTGGTCTGGAACTCCCAACCTCAGGTGATTCGCCTGCCTCGGCCTCTCCAAGTGCTGGGATTACAAGTGTGAGCCATTGCGCCCGGCCAAAAAATTCTTATTAAAAAATTCGAAGTCGGCCAGGCACGGTGGCTCACGCCTGTAATCCCAGCACTTTGGGGGCCGAGCTGGTCCTGATCACGAGGTCAGGAGTTCAAGACCAGCCGGATCAACATGGAGAACCCCATCTCTACTAAAAATACAAAAAAATTAGCCGAGTGTGGTGGCGCATGCCTATAATCCCAGCTACTCGGGAGACTGAGGCAGGAGAATCGCTTGAACCCAGGAGGTGGAAATTGCGGTGAGCCAAGATCACACCACTGCACTCTAGCCCAGGCAACAATGTGAGACTCCATCTCAAAAAAAAAAAAAAAAAAAATCAAAGTCCTTTAATCACAATTACTAATCGTGTGGCCTTGAGTAAACTGCTTAATCCAATCTCATCAAAATGGGAAAATTAAAGCACCTAACTTTAGAACTGCTGTGAGGATTAAATGAGTTAATACATGTTCACAGTAGTAGCTGCCACTTAGTAAATCCCCAATAAATGTCCCCAAACACCACATTCTCAAAAAACTCTCTTGACATAGAGACTCCAGACCACATGCCTTTTTACTAGGGAGAGAAAAGGCATATTGGCAAACTGTAACCACCTTCATCTGGTATATAATACAGAAAATCCTCATGTAGAGCTTTAGACACTTTCCCTCCTACCATTCACATATTAAGGAAGATAATTCAAAGAGCTTTTATCTACTTCAAAATCTTAGGTGATGCAACGTCTGAATACGTTGGTACAAACCAAATGCCTATGGCATCCTAAGAATTGTGCTAGGTTCTATGCAGATAAAGATGCTTGAGAGCCCAGCCTGGCATAGTGGCTCATGCCTGTAATGTCAACACTCTGGGAGGCCCAGGTGGGAGGATTGCTTGAGCCCAGGAGTTAGACGAGCCTGGGCAAAATAATGAGACAGATCCCTTCTCTATAAAAAATTGTAGGGCCCAGCGCGGTGGCTCACGCCTGTAATCCCAGCACTTTGGGATGCTGAGGCAGGTGGATCACCTGAGGTTGGGATCTCGAGACCAGCCTGACCAACATGGAGAAACCCTGTCTCTACTAAAAATACAAAACTAGCTGGGAGTAGTGGTGCATGCCTGTAATTCCAGCTACTCAGGAGGCTGAGGCAGGAGAATCACTTGAACCTGGGAGGCAGAGGTTGTGGTGAGCTGAGATCGCGCCATTGCATTCCAGCCTGGGCAACAAGAACGAAAACTCCGTCTCAAAAATAAAATTTTTTGTTTTAAATTAGCTTGGTGTGGTGGCACACGCCTGTGGTTCCAGCTACTCAGGAAGCTAAGGTGGGAGGATTGCTTGAGCCTGGAAAGTTGAGGCTGCAGTGAGCCCTAATTGACCCACTGCACTCCAGCCTGGGCAACAGAGTGAGACCCTGTCTCAAAAAAAAATAACAAAAAAAAAATAAAAAACCCAAAAAACAAAACCAAAAACCCCACAAGAGAACTTAACATATAAGAAATTCTAAGCCAACACTGAAAGATAAATAACTTTTCCTTTTTTTTTGAGACAGTCTCAGTCTCACTCTGTCGACCAGGCTGGAGTGCAGTGGCCTGATGTCAGCTCACTGCAACCTCCACCTCCCCGGTTCAAGTGATTCTCATGCCCCAGCCTCCTGAGTAGCTGGGACTAGAAGCGTGCACCACCATACCCAGCTAATTTTTGTATTTTTAGCGGAGATGGGGTTTTGCCATGTCAGCCAGGCTTGTCTCAAATTCCCGACCTCAAGTGATCCACCCGCCTCGGCCTCCCACAAGTGCTGGGATTACAGATGTGAGCCACCACACCCAGCCAGTAAATTTTCCTCAACAAAATGTTTCACAAATGATCTTTACCACCAGCAGGGTCAAAGCATATTTTAGTTCAATGTACAACCAGCTGAACAATTTAATAACCGAGCACAAAGACAGCCTTTGGCACAATTTTTCACAATCCCTCTCAAACTTAAGAGCAACTACTAGTTCTTCATGGGCTTTATCTCTGATTTACTGCCTCAGAACTTCCTAAGGAGGACAGAGCTCAGGAATCTGTATTACAAGTTTCCCAGGCAACGAAACTGGTTTCAGAACCACAGCCTTAATACATTTGGTATGTGTTGGAGAGCAGAAAGATAAGGGCCATACTTCAGAGCTCTAGTCCCATAAAAATCCCACAGGAGGAGCCACTGTCACGGCTTCTCCTCACATAGATGGGCTTGCACAACTTAAGAGTACCAAGGCATACAGCAGGAGCGGTCTTCCCGTGCCTACTTTAAACACTTCCATATACTAATTCTAAAGTACAGTAATTCTGCATTTTTATTGGAATAAGGAAAAAAACACATCTGACTAGAAAATCTGGTATGGGAATTGAGGAAGAAATTTCTCTCTTTTATGCCTAGAGTATTTTATCTTTCAGAGCAAGATGGGGAGTTTAAAGTAACATGATAAAAAAAAAAACAAAAAAACTACAATGTCTAAGACTGGGCACAGTGGTGCCCGCCTGTAGTCCCAGCTACTCAGGAGGCTGAGGCGGGAAGATTGCTTGAGTCCAGGAGTTTGAGATCATCCTGGGAAACACAGTGAGACCACATCTCTTAAAAAACAAAGAAACAACCAACAAAAAATACTTATGAGTAAATACATTTGAATTGAAAACCCTTCATATACTGTTTATTCTGCTTCTTTTTCCCCAAAGTGTCTCTTAGATAAAGATTTAGTACTCATCTATTCAAGTACGTATAACTTAATTACTAAAAACAAAATGTGATCTATAATTAAGGAATAAGGAATGTTATATCCTATATCAAAGAGTTCTTCCTAAAAAGAGTAAATAGTTTAAAACTAGGTTATAGTTACCATGTGATTAATTACCTGCTCACCTAAGAAATTCATTACTTTTTACTAAAAGGATATCTATAACATGGAATAACTATATACATCAGTGAAGAATGGGTGCCAGCCTGTAGTAGCCACTAACTTACTTTTTCATATCCATACTATGCATATTCATTTGAGGGAGGTTTGAAATATTCAGGTATAGGTTTTCCTACACTTGAATTTTCTCATGTTCACAAAACAAGACAAATTCGTGCAAAACAGTATCAACAACTTGCAGCCACAGCATCAAAATAGGAAGTTAGCCAGCAGACATTCTGCAGCCAAGCTAGATCCTAAACAAAACGTCTCTTTTGTACAAAGAAAAATGTTTTTCTTTTTTTTTTTTTAAAAAAAGGCTGTAACTGGCAAATTTATTTTTTCCTCAATGCTTGCCCCCAAAGTTCAGGGTTGTAACTTCCTATTCCAGATGCCTACTGCATTAGTCAAATTGAATGCAAGCATTCATTAATGCAATGCTTCCAATGCGGCATGGTGGATGGATCCTCTTTCCAATCTCATTTTCACCTACTTTTCTTCCAATGTTTTCTAAAGAAACAGTATTTTCTAGCTTCCACTCTCAAGGGTTTTGAAAAGTAAAACAAAATTTCAGTTTGATTTTGATTTTGTTGGAGGGAGCATATACCCCAGATGATACTAAATTATATCACTAATAGTGATAATATGGTCAAAACAATGGTATCTGCCTCTTCTGCTGTCATGATTTTAATATTAACTTCAAAATGCCATCTCTAAAAAGAAGTCTAAACCCTAAAATACAGCTAGTTTATTTGATCATCTTTATTATAGGTACAGCAGTTATGACCACGGCTTTGGCATCCTCCCTCTATCACTTACTTGCTGTGTTACCTTGAGCAAGTGATTTCACCATTTTCAAGTCATTTCAATTGGTAAAAGAGCTAGTCCCTTCCCTTCATAGAACTGCTTATGAAGATTAAATGAGATGATTCATGTGAAGTTTACTGGGCATAGTAAAAGTTCAATAAAAATTAGCCACATACTACATCTATACTTCTGTCAATATCTTTGTATGTTTTATGAAGTACAGGAAAACATCATTAAAATGTAATCCACTATTTTGAAACTCTCAGGGATTAGGCTGAAATATAATTGTTGCTTGATGGAAAAAGGAAACCATAAGCAAAAGACTGCAAGGACAAGGACTACTCAGGGGTACAACTTATTGAAGAAGGAACTGATTATTCCACTGACATTCTAACTAGAAATCTATTCATATCAGAAGTTTAACTTCCTAGCTTATGTAGCTGTATTCTCAAAGCAGTACAACTTAGTAAATATCACAAAATTTACTTTTAAAAACTTTAACTGCCTTTAACTCAGTCTGAATCAATGACATTTTTTATACATGCATCTACCTGAAACCCAATAATGATAAATATGTATTTCAGGATAAAAAAAAAGTCACTTAAATCTTAACATGTCCTATTTAGGCCAGGTATGGTGGCTCATGCCTGTAATCCCAGCACTTTGGGAAGCCAAGGTAGGAGGACCGCTTGTGCTCAGGAGTTCAGCCTGGGCAATCTAGTGAGACCTTGTCTCTATTTTTTTTTTAAGTCCTATTATTACTACATATTGCTTAATATGATTGGGGTATATAAAAATAGACACAATTTCCCTAAGGCTAGATAGCTAAGGTATATGAAGCCAAAGAAATTAGTTGGGTTAGTGTCAGTGACGGACTCAAAGTGCATGCAGGTGGCAGCAGTCACTTTCAAAGGCCTGTGTGGAAGTGGACTGTTCCCAGAGCCCTCATCTCCATTCAGGGTTTTAATACAGTTAACCAACTATGTATCAACAGCTTCCTCTTCCCTTATTTTTACTAAGGCAGACTGGAAGCTACCAGTCTTGGCTACCCTAGAAAACAACTAATCATCTGCCAAGGTGTTCCTTCAAACAACTGAACAGGCTAACCTCTAGACTGCCAATGACGTAGGGCCCCACTGGGCTACTTTTCCATCATGTGTTTTGTTTATTTGTTTGTTGCAGGAGAAAATGCTACTAATATAGGTTAAATGAAACCCATTCGAGGATAGGGCATTCTTTTGTTTTGTTTTTGAGACGGAGTTTTGCTCTTTCGCCCAAGCTGGAGTGCAATGAATAGCGTGATCTCGGCTCACTGCAACCTCTGTCCCCCGGGTTCAAGTGATTCTCCTGCCTCAGCCTCCCGAGTAGCTGGGATTACAGGTGCCTGCCACCACACCTGGCTAATTTTTGTATTTTTAGTAGAGACGGGATTTTGCCATGTTGGCTAGGCTGGTCTCGAACTCCTGACGTCAGGTGATCCGCCTGCCTCAGCCTCCTAAAGTGCTAGGATTACAGGTGTGAGCCACCGCGCACAGTCGGATAGGGCATTCTTAATTACCTTTCTACAATAAGACTATTCTCAATCTACATTGGTCAAAAAATTTTTTTTGTAGGCAAAAAGGAAGAATAAGTGTATGCTGTCTTGCAAATTCTAATACACACTGTGAAACTGAAGCCTATTAAAACATTCATTTTTAATTTAAATCATTTTTATTTACCTCCCTTCTACTTGAGTGTACATGTAAGTGTTGTTAACCAGGGATTAAAATAATTTTTAAAGCTATGACAGTTATCTTTTCAACGTTATACATTAGGTATGTAAGCCATGGGTTACACCGTTACACCGTTTAGAGTATCAACTATCCCTTTTCTATATGAAAAAAGTGACTTGGCCTGGCGACGTGACTCATGCCTGTAATGCCAGCACTTTGGGAGGCCAAGGCAGGCGAATCACTTGAGTTTAGGAGTTTGAGTCCAGCCTGGTCAACATGGTGAAACCCCGTTTCTACTAAAAATGCAAAAATTAGCTGGGCGTGGTGGTGCACGCCTGTAATCCCAGCTACTCAGGAGGCTGAGGCGAGAGAACTGCTTGAGCGATTCTTGGGTGGAGGTTGCACTGAGCTGAGATCACACCAATGCACTCCAGCCTGGGTGACAGAGTAAGACTCCATCTCAAAAAAAAAAAAAGAAAAAAGAAAAGAAAAAAAATAGTGACTTAAGGTTAGAACGTATTCTTAAAGATCTGAAATACTTACAAGAGAGGAAATAATTATTTGTTCTATTTATACCATATTTTTCTTCCACAGTAGAATAATTTAATACCTATTTGCTTAAATTATTTTCTCATGAGAAAAAAAAATCCTTAAAAATAAAAATATTGTCAAGTTCCAAATGTCAAGAACAATATAACTACTTCATACGTTTGAGTTACTTTCTAACATTAACAAAATTTCTATCTTTTAATGTAAACATGTTAATTTCAGAGGTCATTATTTGGCCCACAAGATACCCAAATTCACACAATGAGACACATTATAAAGGAATTGGGGGTTCTAATGTCATCAGTTTAAATTAAAACAAATTGTTGGCCAGGTGTGGTGGTGGCTCATGCTTATAATCCCAGCACTGTGGATGGCTAAGGTGGAAGGACTGGCTGAGCCAGACTGGCTGAGGAGTTCGAGACCAGCCTGGGCAACATAGCAAAATGTCTCTACGAAATAAAAATTAAAAAATTAGCAGGGCATGGTGGCATGTGCCTGTAGTCCCAGCTACTCAGAAAGCTGAGGTGGGGGGATCGCTTGAACCCAGGAGATTGAGGCTGCAGTGAACTATGAATTCAATGAAGTGCCATTGCCCTTCAGCCAGGGTGACAGAGTGAGACCCTATCTCAAAACAACAACAACAACAAATTAAAAAAAAAATTCCCTACCATGTTTCCTAAGAAGCAGATTTAACCAGGCAAAAGTTTTACTAATTTTTTTAAATCCCATTATGTTTTTATTCTTATAAAAGTCTTTTGCAGCTAGAGAACTCCACCTGTAACAACAAACTGTTTGCACAAGACTTCTTAAATCTATCAATCTGTCTAGTGATTTTAATTACTTTTTCCTCTTTTAAAATAAAGGTTCTCAATTGACATATATTTGGGTCTAGTAAAAACAGCACGAATGAAATAATACTTTATTATTAGTATAAATTGATGAAGCACATAGTACCCTCTCTTTCAGCTTCTTGGCAATGTTGCCTCCACAAACTGATTCCCTTCCCTACAGACTGACAGATTAAAAACAAAACAAAACAAAACAAAGCCACAACTCAATCTCTAGGACAAGAAGCCTTGCTTGCCAAAAGTCACATAACTGACTTGTTCAATGTTTGTAGGCAATTTGGAACTAGCCTAGCTTTTATGACGTGTCTCAGATAAATTCACATTAAAATACCCTAGCTAGGCTGGTATTTTTCTAGTTCAGTGGAAGCACACTTTTATACTGTTTTTCCAATCTGCTACCTCTGTAAACCAGTTTCATAGCTCCAAAACAATATATTAAATGCATTCTAGGGGTTGGGTGTTTCCTGAGCCACAATTTTGTTGCTGTTGGTGGTGATGGTGACACAGGGTCTTGCTCTCTCACCCAGCGGGGAGTGCAGTGGCACGATCATCGCTCACTGCAACCTCCAGCCCCTGGGCTCAAGCAATCCTCCCACCTCAGCCTCCTGAGTAGCTGGGACTACAGGCATGCACCACCTATGCCCGGATATTTTCTGTAGACACAGGGTTTCACCATGTTGCCCAGACTGGTCTCAAACTCATGAGTTCAAGTGATCTGCCCGCCTTTGCCTCCCAAAGTGCTGAGATTACAGGTGTGAGCAACTGCACCTGGCCTCTGAGCCACAATTCTATCTGCTCCAAATTCTGGTGGGCAAGTTTTTAATTTTAAAGAAATACTCAAAACTACTCCTGAAGTTTATGCTATGTTACAGGGTCCACCCAGCCTCATTTTACTTTATTAACCATTACACGAAACCCACTGGAAACTGCTAAATAGAAAGAATCAGCTTGTAATTAGTTTTTATTTTAGGGGATTTGGGGCAATAGAAGACTTGTGCCTCGTATCCCCAGTTACAGCCTCTTTCTCAACATTTTTCTTTTACCAATGCACACAAAAAAATTACAGACTTGCCTTGTGAGGTCGAAAATAGAGATACAGGCTGAGAGGAAGAGGAAGAAACAAAGGAATCTGAAAGAAAATATACAGCATGAGAATATGACAACCTCACACAGGAATTTTAACTTTAACTTTCTTTTTGATGGGGAGGAAGAGCCAAGCATCATAATTTCATTGGGTTTAACAAGGAGGAAAACTCAAATCTTTATTTCCAATTATTGTTTTCACTCACCTGGTAGCAAAACCTTATTTTATTTTCAAGATGCATTTCTAAAAGTTAATCCATTCATTTTTTTTTTTTTAGTCAAACATTCTCACCTTCAAAAAAAGAAAAGAGGAACCCCTAGCATTTTACATTAAGCACAACCTCAAGAACAGATGCTGCTGCTCTGCTACTCTGTGTGGGAAGGGGAAAATAAGTATCTGAATACTAATTAATATTTGCTTTTAACCATTCCTGGATGCATTTTGAGGAGGTAAGTCACTAATATAAGCATTTGAAAATATCTAATTGGCAAATATGCAAAGTTGACCCTAAATATTTTTTTAAAAATCACAATTAATCCATGGGGAAGACAGGACTACATGAGAAATCTATCTTCTAAAATTATACTCCTCTAGGCTGGGCATGGTGGCTCACATCTGTAATACCAGCACTTTGGGAAGCTGAGGCAGGTGGATCACCTGAGGTCAGGAGTTCGAAACCAGCCTGGCCAACATGGTGAAACCCCGTCTCTACTAAAAATACAAAAATTAGCCAGGCGTGGCAGTGCACGCCTGTAATCCCAGCTACTCAAGAAGCTGAGGCAGGAGAATCACTTGAACCCAGGAGGCAGAGTTTGCAGTGAGCCAAGATTGTGCCACTGCACTCCAGCCTGGGCAATAGAGTGAGACTCCTTCTCAAAAAAAAAATAAATTAATTAATTAAATAAAATTATACTCCTCTAATTCAGCAACATGTATCAAAATTTAAAATGCACATATTCTCCTCCCAGTCCCCCTGCACAATACTAACTCTACAGTTACACTTCTAAGAATATATACTATGGACATATTTGCATACATGTACAAAGATATGTGTTGCCAGGCGTGGTGGCTCATGCCTGTAATCCCAGCACTTTGGGAGGCTGAGGCAGGCGGATCACGAGGTCAGGAGATCAAGACCATCCTGGCTAACACGGTGAAACCCCGTCTCTATGAAAAATACAAAAAATTAGCCAGGCGTGGTGGCGGGCGCCTGTAGTCCCAGCTACTCGGGAGGCTGAGGCAGGAGAATGGCGTGAACCTGGGAGGTGGAGCTTGCAGTGAGCCGAGATCGCGCCACTGCACTCCAGCCTGGGAGACAGAGTGAGACGTCTCAAAAAAAAAAAAAAGAAAAAAAATATGTGTATGAAGATATTCATAAAAGCTCTGGTTATAAATATTAGGAATACTCTAAAGTTACACCTATCACTTGCTTTGGCAACACATATACTAAAACTGGAGGGATACACAGAAGACTAGCACGGCCCCTAAAGTTATTTTTTTTTAAAGTTACATGCAAACTATGAAACACTTGCTGCCATGAAAAAGAATGAGGTACAGCTATACCTTGGTATCTGAGGGGGATTGGTTCTAAAACCACCACCCCCCACCACCAAAATCTGAAGATGCTCAAGTCCTGTGTATAAAATGGCATAGTATTTGCATATAACCTACACACATCATCCCTTATACTTTAAGTATTCTTTAGACACCTAATACAACGTAAATGCTATGTAAATAGTTGTTACACTGTATTGTTTTTAAAAATTGTGTTTTTTTTTATTGTTGTTTTTTAAAAAAATATTTTTGGTCCACAATTGGTTGAATCCACAGATGTAGAACCTGAGATAAGGTAGGCTAAGTGTATACGTAGACATAGTCCATCTACGAATTAAACTCAAAAAGCAAAGTGCAGGCCAGGCGCAGTGGCTCACACCTGTAATCCCAGCACTTTGGGAGGCCGAGGCAGGCAGATCACGAGGTCAGGAGGTTGAGACCATCCTGGCTAACACGGTGAAACCCCGTCTCTACTAAAAATACAAAAAATTAGCTGGGCGTGGTGGCGGGCACCTGTAGTCCCAGCTACTCAGGAAGCTGAGGCAGGAGAATGGCGTGAACCCAGGAGGCGGAGTTTGCAGTGAGCCGAGATCACGCCATTGCACTCCAGCCTGGGCAACAGAGCAAGACTCCGTCTCAAAAAAAAAAACAAAAAAACAAAAAAACAAAAACAAAGTGCAGTGTGCTTAAAAAGCAGTGTGCTCCCATTTGTTAAGTAACAAAGGGACGGCCGGGCGCAGTGGCTCATGCCTGTAATCCCAGCACTTTGGGAGGTGGAGGCAGATGGATCATGAGGTCAGGAGTTCAAGACCAGCCTGGCCAACATGGTGAAACTCTGTCTCTACTAAAGATACAAAAAATTAGCCAGGCGTGGTGGCACGTGCCTGTAATCCCAGCTACTCCGAAGGCTGAGGCAGGAGAATCACTTGAACCCGGGTGGCAGAGGTTACAGTGAGCTGAGATCACGCCATTGCACTCCAGCCTGGGCGACAGGGCGAGACTCTGTCTCAAAAAAAAAACAAAAAAACAAAAAAACAAAAAAAACCAAAACCAAAAACACAAAAAAACCACACACTAAGAACATAAAATGACTTTTTCAATAAAAATGATGAAAAAAGAATAAAAAAGCCATGTGAAAAACAAAACCCTCCAAAATTGTCCCTAAATACTGAACTTTACATATTAACTCCCTTTTATCTTGCAATTATAAAAATATTTTCACAAATATTAGAAATATATTTAAGCTAGAAGATTGCTTTAAAGGACAGGGCTATAGCTATAAGTACTAATTCATGAAAACTATTTAGTTTCAAATATAAAGCTGCTTTTTAATTATATGAAAATGAAGTACCACATCTACTCCTACAAATTAAAAAATTGTCCTTTCCTTATTTATTTATTTTTGAGACAAAGTTTCACTCTGCTGCCCAGTGCACTGACATGATCACAGCTTACTGCATCCTTGACCTCCTGGGCTCAAGTGATCTTCCTGCCTCAGCCTCCCGAGTAGCACTGACTACAGGTGTGCACCACTACGCCCAGATAATTTTTTATTTTTTTCTGGAGACAGGTGTCGCCATGTTGCTTAGGCTGGTCTTGAACTCCTGGGCTCAAGCAGTCCTCCCACTCAGCCTCCCAAAGTGCTGCGATTACAAGCATGAGCCACCACACCCAGGTCTAAGTGATACTTTAATCAAGGGTAGCTC
Source organism: Homo sapiens (assembly GCF_000001405.40). NCBI lineage: Eukaryota > Metazoa > Chordata > Mammalia > Primates > Hominidae > Homo > Homo sapiens. The sequence goes on along the minus strand of NC_000011.10, from coordinate 63,701,635 downwards.
TCTTGCTCCTGTTTTTGCCATGTGACATGCCTGTGCCCCCTGTGTCTTCTGCATGATTGGAAGCTTCCTGAAGCCTCCCCAGAAACTGAGGAGCCTCCGGCACTTTGCTCCCTATAAAGCCTGTAGAACTGTTCACAAATAGAGAGAAATTTTACTCTCTGGCTCATACCCTGAGTTTCATTATACTTTATGTAGATGATTTAAATAAAATATGGGACTTTTTAGCTGATTAAATTTAGAAATTGAGATGTTAAAAGATATTCTAGAATGAGCTATCAAGACACAGAAAGACATGAAGGAACCTTAAATGCTTATTGGTCTGTGAAAGAAACCAGTATGAAAGGGCAACATACTGGCCCAGTCCAACTATATGACATTCTGGAAAAGAGCTGTACATTTGATATCAGGAAAAAAACAGAAACAACAAAATGATATCAATACTTCAAACAGCAAGGGTTTAGAAAGTATAAAAATTTGGAAGAGAAGTACTGTAAGAAACAAATTATATATGAGCACTAAAAGCTGAAAATTCTTTTTTTTTTTTTTTGAGAAGGAGTCTCGCTCTGTCACCAGGATGGAGGGCAGTGGCGCAATCTCGGATCACTGCAACCTCTGCCTCCTGGGTTCATGCGATTCTCCTGCCTCAGCCTCCCGAGTAGCTGGGACTACAGGCGCGCACCACCACACCTGGCTAATTTTTTGTATTTCAGTAGAGACAGGGTTTCACCATGTTGGCCAGGATGGTCTCGATGTCCTGACCTCGTGATCCGCACGCCTCAGCCTCCCAAAGTGCTGGGATTACAGGTGTGAGCCACCAAGCCTGGCCTGAAAATTCTTATCAGGATACACAGTGACCAATGAAGAAGATCAAATAAAAAATAACATTTCAATTAATCCTTTACTTCTCAGGAGGCTGAGGTGGAAGGACCATTTGAGCCTAGGAGAGGGCAGTTGCAGTGAGCTGAGATCATGCCACTGCACTCCAGCCTGGGTGACAAAGTGAGACTCCATCTCAAAAAAAAAAAAATAAAAAGGATGGGGGCAGGGAAACAGGTCAGGTGAGGTGGCTCACGCCTGTAATCCCCACACTTTGGGAGGCTGAGGCAGGTGGACCGCTTGCGCCCAGGAGCTCAAGACCAGCCTGGGCAACATGGTGAGATCCTGTCTCCACAAAAAATTAAAAAAAAAAAAAATTAGCTGGGTGTGGTGGCATGAGCCTATAGTCCCAGCTACTTGGAAGGCTGAGGTAAGAGGATTATTTGAGGCCAGGAAGCTGAGGCTGCAGTGAACCGTGATCACACCACTGTACTCCAGCCTGGGCAACAGAGTGAGACCTTACCTTAAAAAAAAAAAGTAAAAGAATCATGTTTTCCTATCTCTATGTTTCCAGATGGATCCATTTCTACATGCATTTACTATCAACATTAAATCTCTGCCAATGATGCGTTTAAATCCCAACAAACCTGAAAAACCAAATACTTCAAGCCCAATGCCAAAGAAGAGCCTATGAGCATGCCAGCTGTTTGCCTTTTCACCTTCACCTAACACCACTCCCTCCTAATGGAAAATTTCAACATGCAAATTGTTATGCAGATGCAGAACACAGATAACTGGTAATGGCTGGTACAATATTCCATGAGGTTTCTAACTTACAAAACCACATTGTATTCATATTCTGTATTTGTGTCACAGGGAACTGAACCCCAGAATGATCTTAATCCTCAAATGCCATTAATGAAACCATTTTCATTAAGTAGCGAAGTCCAGGACCTGTGTTAGTACTGGTAATACAGTGCCCACAAGTAGCTGAAAATCAAATATGCACCAGTAAAACTGTATGAGTTGTGGGAATGCAGCAGAGACAGCCACTATGGTAAATTAAGAATGTTTCAGAAGAGGTGGTAAGCTTGGTTTTAAAGATTTAAGTTCATGAGGTGAACAAGGAAGGGAAAGGCATTCTGGGGAGAAGGAACAATTGGCCAGATTCCAAATGGCTTTAAATGCCATGTAATCTGGATTATATCCTTTGTGTAATAAGGAATCACTGAAGGTTTTTAAGTAAGGGTGTGACAATATCACGTGTTTTAGAAAGAACTCTGGCAGCAGGGTAGAGCATGGACGGAACTGAAAAGCTACTGCATAATCTTGGCAAGAGATAAGGGCTCGCACTAAGGCAGTGAGGATGGGAATGAGAGGACTGCTGACAAGAGAGAAGACAGGTCTTGAGACCATCTGCCTGGATGTTAAAGACTGGAGAAGTAAAAGATCACTGAGGGACTAAATGAAATGCCATGGTTGGGAACACAGAAGGAATTCTTTTTTTTTTTTTTGAGAAGGAGTCTCAGCTCTGTCGCCCGCCCAGGCTGGAGTACAGTGGTGTGATTTCAGCTCACTGCAACCTCCGCCTCCCAGGTTCAAGTGATTCTCATGCCTCAGCCTGCTGAGTAGCTGGGATTACAGGTGCATGCTACCACACACGGCTAATTTTTGTATTTTTAGTAGGGGTTTTGTATTTTTAGTGGGGTTTCACCATGCTGGCAGGCTGGTCTCAAACTCCTGACCTAAAGTGACCCGCCCACCTTGGCCTCCCAAAGTGTTCGGATTACAGGCGTGAGCCACTGTGCCCGGCCAGGAATCCCTTATATTATTAACTTTCAATATAAAAAAGTTGCCTAAGGCATATATAAGTGGCAACTGTTGAACAGGCAGTGCAGTAATAGGGACAGGCTCAGGAGAGAGGTAAATGCTGTAGATAAATATCTGGGAATTAACATTTGGGTGAGAACTGACACCACTGCAGTGAATACCTTCATCCAGGAAGAAATACAGAAGTTTTACAAAAGAATCTTGAGGTATCTCAATATTTAAAGGGGCCAGTGGTAGGAGCTCGGGAGCAGGTGCTGGCAGTCAGTCGGAACAACCTCTCCCAGCCTTGCCTCATGTACAAGACAGTATCTGGAGTCAATGGTTCCTCAGTGATCTTAGATCATGTTAAGTTTCCCAGGTATGCTGAGATTGGCCACTTGATCTTACCAGATGGCATGAAGAGAAATTTTAAAATATGTGTATTTAAAGGGGATCAAGAAAGAAAGACCAGTGAAGAAAACAGAAAGAAGTCAAGAAAGGAAAAAATGGTGCCATTTGGAGAATGCTTTAGAGAATGGTTAAGAGTCAAAGCCATTGAATGGCTAAATTAAGACTATGAAAAACAATCAGACGCAGTAGCTGATGCCTGTAATCCCAGCACTTTGGGAGGCCAAAGCAGGTGGATGGCTTGACCTCAGCAGTTTGAGACCAGCCTGGGCAACATGGTGAAATCCCATCTCTACAAAAAAATACAAAAATTAACCAGGCATGCTGGCTTGCTCCTGTAGTCCCAGCTACTTGGGGGGACTGAGCTGAAAGGATCACTTGAGCCCAGGAAGCGGAGGTGGCAGTGAGCTGAGATTGAGCCATGGCACCTGGGCAAGAGTGAGACACTGTTTTAAAGAAAAAAAAAAAAAGACTATGAAAAGGGTCACAGAAATTAATTTCGCATTGATGACTAAAATGAGAGTGGTAGAGGGGGAGGGAACAGACACTGAAGACTGAGGAGTGAAGGTAAGTTTAAAAAACACTGAAAACAAAAAGTATGGGAAATACGGGTGATAAAGGGAAGAACTAAAAACTGGGCAGCAGCTATAGGGAGAGGCAACGTTGAGGGAAAGTTTTTTAGAAATGAAAATGACAAGTATATTTACAGAAAGACAGAAAGGAGCCAATGAAGAAAAAAGTCTGAAAATACATAAAAAAGAAACAATTTTTTCTGGAACAAAGCCCACAAAATTGCTAGAAGATATGGGATTGAAAAAGCACAGGTGGGCCGGGCGCGGTGGCTCTCGCCTGTAATGCCAGCACTTTGGGAGGCCAAGGCGGGCAGGTCACCTGAGGGAAGGAGTTCAAGAACAGCCTGGCCAACATAGTGAAACCCTGTCTCTACTAAAAATACAAAAATTAGCCAGGCGTGGTGGCAGGTGCCCATAATCCCAGCTACTCGGGAGGCCAAGGTAGGAGAACTGCTTGAACCCAGGAGGCAGAGGTTGCAGTGAGCCAGTATCGCACCATTGCACTCCAGCCTGGGGGATAAGAGTGAAACTTCGTCTCAAAATAATAATAATAATAATAATGAGCTGGGTGTGGTGGCACATATCCCAGCTACTTGACTTGGGAGGCTGAGGCAGGAGAATTGCTTGAATCTGGGACACGGAGGTTGCAGTGAGCTGAGATGGAACCACTGCACCCCAGCCTGGGCGACAGAGTGAGGCTCTATCTCAAAAAAAAATAAAAATAAAAAAAAAGCATAAGTGGACCTGCTGAAAATCTAATTCCAATAAATAACCAGTGCAAATATGTGGCTATAAGATTATTCATCACGATATTCTTATTTTTAAAATTTTCTTAAAATAGCAACGGGGCCGGGCGCGATGGCTCACGCCTGTAATCCCAGCACTTTGGGAGGCCGAGGCGGACAGATCACGAGGTCAGGAGATCAAGACCACCTTGGCTAACATGGTGAAACCCCATCTCTACTAAAAATACAAAAAATTAGTCGGGTATGGTGGCAGGCGTCTGTAGTCCCAGCTACTCAGGAGGCTGAGGCAGGAGAATGGCGTGAACCCGGGAGGCGGAGTTTGCCGTGAGCCAAGATCACGCCACTGCACTCCAGCCTGGGCGACAGAGCAAGACTCCATCTCAAAAAAAAAAAAAAAAAAAAAGAAAGAAAGAAAGAAAGAAAGAAAATAGCAACAGGGGCCAGGTGTGGTGGCTCAAGCCTGTAATCCCAGCACTTTGGGAGGCCAAGGAGGGTGGATCACCTGAGGTCAGGAGTTCGAGACCAGCCTGGCCAACCATGGTGAAACCCTGTCTCTACTAAAAATACAAAAATTAGCTGGGTGTGGAGGCAGGCACCTGTAATCCCAGCTACTCGGGAGGCTGAGGCAGGAGAATTGCTTGAACCCGGGAGGTGGAGGTTGCAGTGAGCCAAGATGGCACCACTGTACTCCAACGTGGGCAACAGAGCAAGACTCCGTCTCCAAAAAAAAAAAAAAAAAAATAGTGACAGGGCCCCACTATGTTATCCAAGCTGGTCTTGAACTCCTGGGCTCAAGCCATCCTCCTACCTTAGCCTCCCGAAGTGCTGGGATTACAGGCGTGAGCCACCGCACCTGGCTTCATCACAATATTCTTTTTTTTTCCTTTTGAGACAGAGTCTTGTTTTGTTGCCCAGGCTGGAGTGCAGTGGTGTGATCTCGGCTCACTGCAACCTCCACCTCCCAGGTTCAAGTGATTCTCCTGCCTCAGCCTCCTGAGTAGCTGGGATTACAGGTACGCACCATCACGTCTGGCTAATTTTTCTATTTTTAGTAGAGACGGGGTTTCACCATGTTGCTCCTGACCTCAAGATCTGTCCGCCTAAGCCTCCCAAAGTGCTAGGATTACAGGCATGAGCCACCAGGCCCGGCCTCATCACAATATTCCTTAAAATAGGTTTTTTTTTTTTTTTTAAAGGAAACTTAACAAAGGTCTAATAATTAGACCGTTTAAGTTTCATATATCCAAACAATAGGATAAGTCATTAACAACTGGGTTGTAGATGGGAATTTATTGACACTAAGAGATGTTCATCGTATTCTAATAAAAAAGAATATTACAAAGGTAATTTTTACTTACTATTTATTATTTTTTAGAGAAGTAAGGTCTCACTCTGTCCTTCTTTCTTGATCCCCTTTAATTTTTCCCTAACGCCCCTTTTCTCTTCCCAAGATCCTATCCAGGATACCATATCACATTTTGTCATCATGTCTCCTTAGCCTTTTCTGGACTGTCAGCTTCTCAGACTTCTCTTGACAGTTTTAATAAGACTCTGGTCAGATATTTTACAGAATGTCCCTCAATTTGAATTTGTCAGATGTTTTTCTCATGGTTAGACTGGAGTGATGGCTTTTCGGGAAGAATACCAAGGGCCATGCTCATCACAGCATATCAAGAGTACAGACTATCAACATGACTTATCAACTGATGATGTTAACCTGATCCCTGGCTGAGGTAGTGCTTGCCAGGATTCTCCACCTGGTTGGAGGAAGCAGTACTTCTCCCCACCCTTCCACACTGTACTCTGTGGAAACAAGTCATTAAGCTCATCATCCACCCCTAAGTGGTGGAGGAGTTAAGCTCCACCTCCTCGAGGGGAGAATCTACATAAACTGGCAGGCTGATTTTTATTTATTCATTTATAGCTAACATAACTACTATAAAAACAGACCAACTAGTTGAAGCTCAGGAATTTCAGGGGGAAAAAAAAGAAAAAAATTATTAATATCTTAGTTCTCAAAATATCTAATGAAATAAATTCAATTTATTTATTGTTGGAAAATAATTACAAACTGATTGGAAGCACCTGAGGGTTAAAGCCCTCTTACATATCTTCGTATCTTTCAGATTGACCAGCATATAGCAGAAATCACAGAATATGGAGGTTTGAATATTACAGGAGCTTCATAAATGTTTGCTGAAACCCAAACTCTAAGAGATTTTTAGATTTAGCTTGTTATTTCAAAACTAGACTGAGTAGTAACTAGTAACTGGACATTTGTCTTATTAATGTAGTAGTTACTAAGACAGCAGTTCCCTCTCATATAAGTCAAAACAGTGCTAATTTCCAAGATGCCCACTCTTCTGTTACATCACTAAAAAGAGCTGGAAAGCTTTCTTTGCACCATTTATTAGAGTAAATGCATATGCAATCTAAGAGGAAGAACAAAGCAGAACTCTTGTTGCAAAAGAAAATTAGAAAGCCTGACAGAAACAAAATGGACTATGTAGATATGAAATTGGTTAAAGGTTGGGCGCGCTGGCTCACTCGTGTGATCCCAGCACGTTGGGAGGCTGAGGTGGGAGGATCACTTGAGCTTATGAGGTCAAGATCAGCCTGGGCAACATGGTGAAACCTCGTCTCTAGAAAAATACAAAAAATAGCCACGCCTACAGTCCTAGCTACTCCGGAGGCTGAGGTGGGAGGACGGCTTGAGCCCAGGACATGGACGTTGTAGTGAGCCGATATCATGCCACTGCACTCCAGACTGGGTGACAGAGCCATGCCTTGTCTTAAAAGTAAATTAAAAGGCCAGGCGCAGTGGCTCACACCTGTAATCCCAGCACTTTGGGAGGCCAAAGCAGGAAGATCACCTGAGGTCAGGAGTTCAAGAGCAGCCTGACCAACATGGAGAAACCCCGTCTCTACTAAAAATACAAAATTAGCCGGACGTGGTGGCGCATGCCTGTAATCCCAGCTACTTGGGAGGCTGAGGCAGGAGAATTGCTTGAACCCGGGAGGCGGAGGTTGCAGTGAGCCGAGATCACGCCATTGCACTCCAGCCTGGGCAACAAGAACAAAATTCCATTTCAGAAAAAAAAAAAACCATAATTAATTAATAAACTGGTTACAAATATATCTTAATACCCCAGCCTTCTTTTTTTTGAGACAGGGTCTTCTGTCTTCTGTTGCCCAGGATGGAGTGCAGTGGTAGTGCAATCACTGCAGCCTCGACCTTGAGGGCCCAAGTGATACTCCCACCTCAGCCTCCTAAGGAGCTGGGACTACAGGCATATACCACCACACCCAGATTATTTTTAATTTTTGTAGAGATGGGGTTTCATTATGTTGTGCAGGCTGGTTTCAAACTCCTGGGCTCAAGCAATCCTCCCATCTTGGCCTCCCAAAGTGCTGAGATTACAGGCATGAGCCACTGTGCCCGGCCAGAGTCTCTTTCTAATATGCCAGAATGTGGCATTCAAGTGGTTATGAAAAGATGTTTTTCTGGATTAAAGTTGTTAGTAGAAAATACCTACAGTCCAGAAGAAATAAAAGAGGCTAACCTTAAACATATTTCTATTACAGATACAGTTTTATGGGCTTACAGGAAAACTCTCTCCTCAGCACTTAAATGGATACATCCATTTCCATAGAGGTCTTATAGAAATTACGAATTATAAGCATGTAACAAAGTTTACAATTTGACTTTCAAAAACCAAATGTTCTTAACCTAAAGTTTATGAATGAATTTGACAGCAGTTCATGAACCCTGTGAAAACTATGCAATACTTTTTTTTTTTGAGATGGAGTTTTGCTCTTGTTGCCCAGGCTGGAGTACAATGGTGCGATCTCGGCTCACCACAACCTCGACCTCCCAGGTTCAAGTGATTCTCCTGCCTCAGCCTTCCCAAGTAGCTGGGATTACAGGCATGTGCCACCATGCCCAGCTAATTTTGTATTTTTAGTAGAGATGGCGTTTCTCCATGTTGGTCAGGCTGGTCTCGAACTCCTGACCTCAGGTGATCCGCTCGCCTCGGCCTCCCAAAGTGCTGGGATTACAGGCGTGAGCCACTGCATCTGGCCACAATACTTTGTTAATATGCATGTTTTTCTGGGAAGAGTTTCTCCACTCATTCTTCCCATAAATATTTATTGAACACCTCTTATGAGCCAAGGGCTTGTTTTAGTTGCTGGACAAAACCAATAAGGAAGCTGGGCATGGTGGCTTATGCCTGTAATCCCAGCACATCGAGAAGCCAAGGAAGGAGGATCTCTTGCACTCAGGAATTCAGTCAAGACCAGCATGGGCAATATGGTGAGACCCCATCTCTCTTTTTTTCTTTCTCATTGAACTTTTTTAATAGGTCTCAAAATTCTGTGACAAATTGTGACAAATTTGGTCAAGTTGTTCCCATTAAAAAGTACTTATTTTAATAACTTAAAACTGCCACATGACATGCAAAAAAGAAAACCAAAGTGGTCTATAAAAGCATTCCTTCCTTCTGAAGGTGTTTTTTTTTTTTTGAGACGGAGTCTCGCTCTGTCACCCAGGCTGAAGTGCAGTGGCATGATCTCGGCTTATTGCAACCTCCGCCTCCCAGGTTCAAGCGATTCTCCTGCCTCAGTCTCCCGAGTAGCTGGAACTACAGGCGCATGCCACCACGCCCAGCTAATTTTTTTTTGTATTTTTAGTAGAGACAGGGTTTCACCATGTTAGCCAGGATGGTCTCCATCTCCTGACCTCGTGATCTGTCTGCCTCAGCCTCCCAAAGTGCTGGGATTACAGGCATGAGCCACCGCGCCCGGCCAGGGGGTTAGGTTTTAACATATGATTTGGCCGGGTTGCAGGGGTGGGGACATAAACATTGAGTCTACTGCAATGAGAGAAGAGCATTCTAGGCAGAGTGAACAGCAAATAAAACCCCGAGGTAGAGGGTTATTTCTGGTGTAAAGAACAAGGAAACCTGGGCACAGTGGCTCATGCCTGTAATCCCAGCACTTTTGGAGGCCGAGGTTGATGGACGACTTGAGGTCAGGAGTTCAAAACCAGTCTGACCAACATGGTGAAATCCTGTCTCTACTAACAATACAAAAATCAGCCAGGCATGGAGGTGCGCACCTGTAATACCAGCTACTTGGGAGGCTGAGGTGAGAGGATTGCTTGAACCTGGGAGGCAGAGTTTGAAGTGAGCCAAGATCGCGCCACTGCACTCCAGCCTGGGCAACAGAGTGAGACAAAGAGGCCAGTATGGTTGAAGCCAGGTGAGAAAGGGGGAGGTTGAGGCCAGATATTACAGGGTATTTATTAATAAGTCTTCTGAGGATATCAGCATTTACGGAGTGTAACAGGAAGCCACTGTAGCACTTGGCCCATAAGTGACATGATCCAACTTGCATTTTCACAGGCTTATACCAGCTGCTGTGTGGAAAATGGACTGAAGAGAGGCAAAGGAGAAAGCAGGGAGACCAGATAGGCGGCATCTACAATAACCCAAGAGAGCTAGCCTGGACCAGGGTGGTAGCAATGGAGATTGACAGAATTGGTCAGACTTTGGATATCTTTTTGAAGGTAGAATCAAGAGCATTTGCTGATGGCTTCTATGAGGGACAGAAAGGAATCAAGGATAACTCCAAGGTTTTTGATTTGAGCAAAAGAAGGAAAGAACAGAATGGCCATTTATTGAGATTGAGAAGACTGTGAGAAGAACGAACTTAAAAGGAAAGATTGGGACAGGCACTGTGGCTCATGCCTATAATCCCAGCACTTTGAGAGGCTAAGGCAGGAGGATCGCTTGAGCCCAGGAGTTCAATACCAGCCTAGGCAACATAGTGAGACCTCGTCTCTATCAAAATAAAAATAATTAGGTCGGACGCAGTAGCTCACACCTGTAATCCCAGCATTTTAGGAGGCCAAGGAGGGTGGATCTCCTGAGGTCAGGAGTTCAAGACCAGCCTGACCAACATGGTGAAACCCTGCCTCTACTAAAAATACAAAAATTAGCTGGGCATGGTGGCACATGCCTATAATCCCAGCTACTTGGGAGGCTGAAGCAGGAGAATCGCTTGAATCCAGGAGGCGGATGGTGCAGTGAGCAGAGATCGTGCCACTGCACTCCACCCTGGGTGACAGAGTGAGACTCCATCTCAAAAAAAAAAAAAAAAAAAAAAAAGAATTAGCAATATTAAATCTCAAGAATAAGGAAATCCACAGAGTCAGAAAGCAGATTAATAGTTGTCAGAGAATTGAGGGGAGGGAAGAACGGTGAATTACTGCTAACAGATATGGGGTTTCTCTTTGGGGTAATAAAAATGTTCTGGAATTAGATAGTGGAGATAGCTGTACAACCTTGTGCATACACTAAAACCCACCTTAAAATGGTGAATTTTATGGAGACAGAGGATGAAAAGCCAGTGAGAGTGAGTATGTGGTGTCACAGAAGACAAATTAAAAAAGCATTTCAAGGAGAGAATAATCAATTATGTCAAAAGCTGTTGTGAAAGCATGTTAAGAGGAGGATGAAGTGACCACTGAATTTAACAATGTGGAAAATATCTGGTGAACTTGACTAGAAAGTTTCTGTAGAGCAGTGAAATAAAAAGGCACCTGGCTTAAGAACCGTGGAGCCAGAAATTAAGACTTTTAAATTAAACTGATCACTGAATTCAAAAGGGTAACTGAGCCACTTTTACTACATGTTGCTTCAAATCTTAAAGCGTGGGCATTAAACTCTCTGTGCCTGAGTCCCCATCTGTAAGAAGGGGGTTATATCGCTACCTGTCTACCTCACAGATAAACATAATACAAGTCTTTCCTCTATAGAATATGGCCTCTAGAGGAATGATCTATATTTTATTTACCTTTCTGTCTTCCACAGCACCTGGCAAAGAGCCTTCATGTATGCTCAGTTGTTGAATTAAGGTAACATATGGGCACAACTTAAATCATAAAGCAGTACACAAATGTAAGATATCGTGAAAATCAAGTACTTCTATCTCATACGTAAAATAAAGACAATGCCCTCCACTGAAATATGTTCAAATAACAGGACACAATTTTCATAACAAAAGGTTTTCCAGAATGTCCTTCCATATATCTTGAAGGGCGAGCTACCAATGAGGAACAGGTCAAAAAGCTCACCGTTCCCTCTGGTTAAGTTATGATGATATGGTTACAGGAGATAATAAATCAGTTGATTGGAGAAAACAGGTAAGAATAGTTCTTTGAGACTGGGTGTGGTGGCTCACATCTGTAATCCCAGCACTGTGGGAGGCCGAGGCGGGGGCAGTTCACTTGAGGTCAGGAGTTCGGGACCAGCCTGACCAACATGGTGAAACCCCATCTCTACTAAAAATACAAAAATTAGCTGGGCATGGTGGCACAAGCCTGCAATCCCACCTACTCAGGGGGCTGAGGCAGGAGAATCGCTTGAACCCGGGGGGCGGAGGTTGCAGTGAGCAGAGATCCCACCACTGCACTCCAGCCTGAGCAACAGAGGGGGATTCTGTCTCAAAAAAATAGTTCTTTGAAATAAAAAAAAAAAAATCAAAAATCACAAGAGTGGGCCACTTGCTGATAAGCTCACTGTCTTCTCTGGTTAGGTTACAATGATATGGTTATAGGAGATAATAAATCAGTTGATTGGAGAAAACAGGTAAGAATAGTTATTTGAAATAAAAAAAAAAAATCACAAGAGCAGGCCACTTGCTGATAATCTTCTCCCATACGTAAAATGGAAATGCAAACCCCGTTACAGTATTTAAAGAGATTCTCTCTGAGGTTGCAATATCACAGAGTAACATGTCTTACAAAACTCACAGATGCCCAGAAGACTTCAATGATGCAATCACAAGCAATACTGATTACAGCTAAACTTATTTAACACACACACTTCTTTCAAAACATCAACACCATACCCTATGATCCAAAATAACTCTACAACTAGTAGCTGTCATAAATGAACAGAATAGAAGGTTAAGTCAGTTTTCTGGGCAACTTCTGAATAAGTCAATTATAAGAACAAAATATCGACCTGCTAATTTTTGTCTAAAAAGTTTTACTATGAGTGCTTACTTCAGCAGCACATATACCAAAATTAGAACAATACAAAGAGTATTAGCTAAATTAAGAGAAAAAGTTATACTACAAAATTGATGAATTTTTCACAAGTTTGTATACTTTAGGAGGCTAAATTCATCATCAACAATAAAGTTAACACAAACTATAAGCTAAGTGCACACAACAAATATGCACATTTATATTAGAAAACCTACTTACTTAATGAAGCCTTTGTAATTCTGTTCAGAATTACAAAAATGGTAAATTCTAGGATTATGGGTAAAGAGAAGTGTCTTTCTGCAAAATATACTCTTGACTCAAACAAAATTGGAAAGCTCAACTTTCCCTTTTCCCTTCAACCAGACGTCACCAATTCCTTCATGACCAAACTTCATTTTACAAGGCTTGAAACATGCACAGGACTAGACAGGTAACTCCTATATCAGGATAAATATATTATTTCCTCACAGGATAATTTGATAAAAGCAGTAATATTGGTTTTTATTTTCAGCCCATCTTTAAAACACCAAGAATAAAAACACTGAGGTTCTTACCAGCCACTTAATGAACAACCCCTTAGAAATGACAATTTAGGGTAAGGGTGCACCTACTAAATGTATGTAGATTGGTTGTTTAATTTGATCAGAGTGGTTCCATTACTTGTGAATTTGACAATAAACAAAAACAGCATTAAAAAAAAACTTCTTGGCCGGGCGTGGTGGCTCACGCCTGTAATCCCAGCACTTTGGGAAGCCAAGGCTGGCGGATCATGAGGTCAGGAGATCAAGACCATCCTGGCTAACATGGTGAAACCCTGTCTCTACTAAAAACACAAAAAATTAGCCAGGCGTGGTGGTGGGCACCTGTAGTCCCAGCTACTGGGAAGCTGAGGCAGGAGAATGGCATGAACCTGGGAGATGGAGGTTGCAGTGAGCTGAGATCGCACCACTGCACTCCCGCCTGGGCGACAGAGCGAGACTCCGTCTCAAAAAAAAAAAAAAAAAAGCAAAACACACTTCTTATTCTTGGAGAATAAAAACAATCCAAGTCAGCAGGCATTTGCAGGCCATATTGACATGACCATTCTTGCTGTCTCCTGTATGCTTGCCTCTGTGCTGAAAGGGGTTTCCTAATGTATCATAACAACATTTATTAGTCAGAATCTGCATAAGTATTTAAGCATATTGATTCATGCCAAGCCTTCTGGGAAACATCTTGACTCCTCCCTCTACCTCTTTAACAGACCACCTCAGTGGAAGCGGGTGGCAGCTTTATGACATTAATGTGAAGGGCCACAAACTGAAACAACTGACTCACATGTGGAAAGGGAAAAAAGGCATAACAATAGTCTTTGATTGTGAGGAAGACAGATTTCTCATTTGTACTTGAACTGCTATGTGGTATCTATTAATATGTGCAAGTAGTTTGTAACCTACAAATGGATGTCAAACATTAGGTATTGTTATTTAATAAAGGTCAGGATTTAAGGGTACAAAGCAAATGTGTCTAGGTCACATTGTTGATCTATATTTCATTTCTTCACATTAATGGTACAGTTATTTACTACAGGCAAGACACTGTGTTAAGCCCTATAAATGTGTTCACTTTTTTTTTTTTTTTAGATGGAGTCTCACCCTGTTGCTCAGGCTGGAGTGCAATGGCGCTATCTTGGCTCACTGCAACCTCCACCTCCTGGGTTCAAGTGATTCTCCTGCCTCAGCCTCCTGAGTAGCTGGGATTACAGGATTACACCCAGCTAATTTTTTGTATCTTTAATAGAGGCAGGGTTTCACCATGTTGGCCAGGCTGGTCTCGAACTCTTGACCTCAGATGATCCACCCGCCTTGGCCTCCCAAAGTGCTGTGATTACAGGCGTGGGCCACCGTGCCCAGCCAAATTGTGTTTAATTTTCATACCAACTCCAAGATAGATACTATTATCCCAATTTTCAAGTTAAGGAAACTGAGGCTCAGGACTTGCACAAGATCACATAATTATTAAGAGACAGGGCCAGGATTGAAATCTAGGCATTCCTGGAGCTCAAGTCTGTGTTTTAACACATTACACTGCCACTGATAATCTGACACGAATGTAACACTCAGATGATGTCAGTGTTGGACGGGGGCCACATTCCTTTTTATTTAAGGGTTAACTCAAAACACAAATTACATATTCACATTTGATTAATATGGTAGAACAAAGTGTGAAAATGAAGCCATAAAAAGTACACAGAACAACTAAGTTTCATGAGTGAGGAAAGAAATATTTAAAGCAAAACCTTTTTCAAAAAATTGCCCAAGCTGTTTTTGCTTTGAGCTAATTTCCATGAACAAACATATAAAATGTAGTTTTATTTTGGCATCATGATTTTCTTTTTTCCTTTTCTTTTCTTTTTTTTAAGACAAGTTCTGGCTCAGTCACCCAGGCTGGAGTGCAATGGCACAATCTCAGCTCACTGCAACCTCTGCCCCCAGCTCAAGCCATCCTCCTACCTCAGTCTCCTAAGTGGCTGGGACCACAGGCGCACATCACCATGCTCAGCTAATTCTTGCTTTTTTGTCTTTTTGTAGAGATGGGGTTTCACCACTATTGTCCAGGCTGGTCTCAAACTCGTGAGCTCAAGCAAGCCACCCACCTCAGCCTCCCAAAGTGCTGGGATTACAGGTGTGAGCCACCAGACTCAGCCAACTTTCATAACAACAATAAAAAGCAGTCTCTAGCAAGTATAGAATTTGTTCTTTTTTTTTTTTTTTTTTTTGAGACGGAGTCTCGCTCTGTCCCCCAGGCCGGAGTGCAGTGGTGCAATCTAGGCTCACTGCAAGCTCCGCCTCCTGGGTTCACGCCATTCTCCTGCCTCAGCCTCCCGAGTAGCTGGGACTACAGGCGCCCCGCCACCACGCCCGGCTAATTTTTTGTATTTTTAGTAGAGACAGGGTTTCACCATGTTAGCCAGGATGATCTCGATCTCCTGACCTCGTGATCCGCCTGCCTCGGCCTCCCAAAGTGCTAGGATTACAGGCGTGAGCCACCGTGCCCGGCCAAGTTACAGAATTTCAACATCGTGTCATCAGTAAACTATTAAAGTACTTTTAAAGTTCAGATGATAGACGTGTCTCTATACTTGAGGCCTAATAAAGGCAACTCTTGCTCTGAAATGAACACTGAATATTTCAGTCTCTTTTACCTCAACCTCAAATTTTTGCCTCTGATATCTTCAGTTTCCTTCAAAGGCAGAAATCTGGGAAGCCATCCTGACCCCTGATCCCCATCTCTAAGCATACTACATTGCTGGCTGCATTAGAACCTAAGGCACTAAAGTACAGAGTGCCATCACTCATTCTTGACCTGTATATAGTAACTAATACTTCTAAAATTAATTACTGGACAGGTCAGTCAAGACAAAATTGTTTTCTGTAGGACACCAACCAATCACTTATTTTTCTTTAACTAAAATCAAGACAAGTCTCCAAAACCAAGAGGAGCTTGGTGAAAGAACATGAAGCTGGAGGATGACAGCAATACGTACAGATTTTTTTTTTAAACAATTAAGGTAATTTTTTAGCATCTACATTTTAAATAAGTTAAATTTTGGAATAACAAACTTCATCTTATTTTCATGGTGCAAAAGCCTGAGACACTTCCTTTGTGACATGAAGAAAAACATCCAGCAAGGAGGAAAGGCTTCTGCAATAAAAATGATTACAACACATTGCAGTAACTTTTTTTTTTTTTTGAGATGGAGTCTTGCTGTGTCGCCTAGGCTGGAGTGCCATGGTGTGATCTCAGCTCACTGCAACTCCCGCCTCCTGGGTTCAAGTGATTTTCCTGTCTCAGCCTCCCGAGTAGCTGAGACTACAGGTGCCCGTCACTGTGCCCGGCTAATTTTTGTATTTTTTAGTAGAGACAGGGTTCCACCATGTTGTTCAGGCTGGTCTCTAACTCCTGACCTCAGGTGATCCAACCACCTCAGCCTCCCAAAGTGTTGGGATTACAGGAGTGAGCAAGCGTGCCTGGCCCCACACTGCAGTATCTTAAGGTAAACTTTTATGTTCAAGTAGTGACCCAACAAATGAGGATCTTGCATTGGGCCCACCAAAACTGTATTAGTGCTTTTTAGACAATATGAATGCACATTTGCAATGGATAAGCATTTAAGATAAGAGTCTCTTGGCTGGGCTCAGTGGCTCATGCCTGTAATCCCAACACCTTGGGAGGCCGAGGTGGGCGGATCACTTGAGGTCAGGAGTTCAAGACCAGCCTGGCCAACATGGCAAAACCCCATATCTAGTAAAAGTACAAAAATTATCTGGGCGTGGTGGTGCATGTCTGTAATCCCACCTACTCAGGAGGCTAAGGTGGGAGAATGGTTTGAGCCCAGGAGACAGAGGTTGCAGTGAGCCAAGATCACACCACTGCACTCCAGCCTGGGCTACAGAGCGAGACTCCAAAAAGAGTTTCTCTTTAGTTTATTTCTCAAGTGTGCCTTTCTAGCTCGTAAATTTGATAATTTATTCAACAAATACTTACCAAGTACTACTATATATCACTGTTTTAAGTGCTAATAGTGATACGTGTCTACAGCACATCTAAGAAATACAAATTCTGTAATAAAATTTTACTAAGAAATAATGGGTAAAGCTGGTCACAGTGGCTCCCATCTGTAATCCCAGCACTTTGGGAGGCCGAGGAGGGCAGATCACATGAGGCCAGGAGTTTGAGACCAGCCTGGCCAACATGGCAAAACCCCATCTCTACCAAAGATATAAAAATTAACCAGGTGTGGGCCGTGTGTGGTGGCTCATGCCTGTATTCCCAGCATTTTGGGAGGCCGAGGTGGGCGGATCACGAGGTCAGGAGATCAAGACCATCCTGGCTAACACTGTGAAACCCTGTTTCTACTAAAAATACAAAAAATTAGCCGGGCATGGTGGTGGGCACCTGTAGTCCCAGCTACTGGGAAGCTGAGGCAGGAGAATGGCATGAACCTGGGAGATGGAGGTTGCAGTGAGCTGAGATCGCACCACTGCACTCCAGCCTGGGCGACAAAGCGAGACTCCGTCTCAAAAAAAAAACCAAAAAAAAAAAAAAAAAAAAAAAAACCAAAAGAAAATTAACCACGCGTGGTGGCACACGCCTGTAATTCCAGCTACTCGGGTGGCTGAAGCATGAGAATCATTTGAACCCCGGAGATGGAGGTTGCAGTGAGCCAAGATGGCTCCACTGCACTCCAGTCTGTGACAGAGCAAGACCTTGTCTAAAAAAAAAAAAAAAAAAAAAAAAAAAAAGAAAGAAAAGAAAAGAGAAAGAAATAACGAGTGGAAACCGCGGCATTTAATATTATTCGGAAAATGTAATGCAAACTCATGTACTTGGAACAGCACTTCACGATATAATTCTACTACTTTCGACAAAACACATAATTTCAGCACCTTTTCCACTATTATAAAGAGAAGTGCAAAAAATACACAATAAATAGATAAAAATTGTGACAAGGGTAGATGACATAAAAAAAGGTAAGCCAAACAGAAATATGTTATGTCATTAAATTCGTATTGCCAATTTAGGTGCCAATTAGGTTGTGGTATGCCTGTGTGTCTGTGAACAAAATACTCTTATTTCATTGGCCTACTAGGCCAGTTCTTCCATAAGTGCATTAAAAGAATGAAAAAGTTGAATCTCAAATGATTTCACCATTTAGTTATAAACAAACTAGGACTAAATTTTCAAATCTGCTAACTAAAATGACTCTTCAACACTTAACATCTGTCTTATCTTGAGCTTACAGAGCCAAATTTCTAAAACTTAGGTCTGAATCAAAAATGAAAAATCAAGAAAACCCAAAAGGTAAGTACAAAAGGGCCTACCAAACAGTAAGCAATGACAAGTGATTAAAGCAAAAAGATCAAGTTGCTAAGTTATAAGGAAGTCGCTGTTCATCTGGACCTTAGCCCAGAACACAAAAATTTGGAGAAAAGGCTGGTGGTTTAAAGGAGACAGGGTTCTAAATTTGCTGCCTCATTCTTTTATCTGCAAAAGCTTCCTGATACTGCCTGTTTCTACTGAAATGGCCATAACCACACTGAAAAAATCCAACAGGGCTCCAAAGCTCTCAGACAGGTGAAAATTCACTGCTAGAAAAACACGTAGAGAATAATACATTTAAGGTTAAGATCAGAAATTTTTTCTTTAGAACCCAAGATTCTGCCAAAGGAGACAACGAAGCATTAAAAAAAAATGATCAAAATCCTTTAACATAACTAAATAGAGAGCAAAATTATCTCTACTCTCCCGAATTTACGGCCCTGCCTTTGACAAAAGGCATTTTTTTTCCCTTCAAAGACTCCGTTCCTTTGAGAACTACCACCTGCCCATGGTGGTTTTTTTTTCCCCCCTTAAGAAGGCATCTGCACTGCAGATTTCTGCATAAGGGGAGCTTGCCAGGCAGCTCTTACCAGCAGGCAGACGCGTATACAATGCAAACTAAAGGAGGTCTGCAGCTTCGTTCTTAGTCTTTCACAGAGATGGGAGAAGGGGACTCAACCAGCCCTTGCTTTGTCTGAATGTTCTCCCCCTCCCCCTTTCTGCAATAAACACCCCCCTTTGTTATACTTCGATCAATAGTAGCCCACAGAAAACATGAAATCAAAACATGTTGATAGCTTAGCATGACTCTATTTTCTAGAATATAAGCGACTGATTGCGTGTCCCCACCCCCACGCAGCGCCAGGGAAGAGCAGGCTGTTGCAGATGCAGCCACGGATCCATCTTGGACCATTAGCAGCTCCCTCCCAAATCTTCCCTGAGCTATTCTCATCACGCCTCCTTCTACCTCGGAGCCTCAGAAAAATCCGGCATTCATGGAGTCTAGCCGAAAACAGTAAAAACAAAACAAACAAACAAAAAAAACAGGCTACAATGCTTCCATTAAACTTCCTCATCCTTCCCATGGGCAGCCAAAAATATTTTGGAGGACTATCATGAATGCTTGATTATGTCAACACCTGTCTGCAAACCTGCAATGCAACCCTTTCACCACCATCCCCTCAAAAATAGTAACAAATTGTTTCTCCCACCACCCACCTGCCCGTATCCTTTCAATCTCTCTAATCCTCACTAAATCACCCAGGTTCACCATATGCATCGAGCAACTCTCCATTTTATCCCACGAGCTGGTATTTTTCCCCACCTGCCCAGTCTTGGCGTTAACGCCCACTGGACTATCTCCCCGCCCCCAACCTGTTTTCCTCACACCCCGCTATTTCCTCACCGCCTGCACAACCTTACGTTCCCCTTCCCCTTTGCCCATTTTCCAAACGCTCGTCCCCGGGGGGCTGAAGCCGTCAGTAGTCGAGGGTAATTCGTCCTCCTCCCGCCTCGCCTCCTAATCCCCCCAGCCCCCAGGCTCCCGCTCGCCCTCTTTCCCAGGGCGGGGGCTCCCCGCGCGCCTTACCCGCACAGGAGGAGCTGCAGCTCTTCGTCCCCAGGGCGGGGCAGGCTCCTGGGCTCCCGCCGCCGCCGGGCGCGGACGGCTCGGCTCCGAAGGACGACGAGGAGATGGAATGGGACTGAGTGGCCGCCGACGGCTCCGCCATGGCTACGCGAGCGAGGGTGGGAGAAGGGTGAAAAGAGATACGGGGCGGGAGAGAGGGAGGGGAAATAGAATAATCCGGCAACTGGCTCGCTCAAGTCCCTTTACTCCGCCTGCTCCGAGGACAGACTCCGACAGACTGACTGACTCAGCCGAGCGCAGCTAGAGGGCGGGAGCGCGAGCGCGCATGCGCACAAAGGGCCCCAAGCGGGTGCCAAAGCGCGCAGCGGCGCAGGGCGCAGGCGCAAGAACCGCTCCTCTGCGCTCTTGCAGGGAAGGAGGGGCAAAGCCGGCCTCACGCGGCGCCTCGCGCGCCGAGGGTTGGGGAGCGTCCCTTGGGGACCAGACGCAAAAGGCGTATCCAAGCCCCAATCCCCGCCCACGACTGCGGCTAATCGTGGAGCTGCGGGATAGTATTCCCTCCTGCCTCTTTATGTGAATGTTTTAGGGTCGGCAGATTATGTATTTTAACGGTAGAAATGTCTTTGGGCTTCCATTATGGAAACTCTCTTTCCCGTACATTCCAGAGCCTATATCTTTTGTTTGATGCATTCCCACCTGTGACTCCAATAAAAACTGAAAACCAGAGTGTAGAGTAGGCCCACTCTGCAAGGTGCTTTGTGAATCTCACTGGCTGTGTCGTAATATCTCCTCACCGAGAGGCAGAGATGGCACGGCCCCCCATTTGGTAGGTGGAGAAAGATGCTATACAGAATGAAAAACGATTACTCATTCCAATCACATTGCAATGCAGTCGCAGAACCTGCTTCGTATTCTTATCTCGTTACTGTTGCCAGAGAAGGGTCCACCTTGGGTCTTAAGGTTCTCTTTTCCTCCGAATAGACTGTCAGATAGAGACGACATATTTTAGAGAGGGAAAAAAAATGCTGAGCTGATGAAGAAGAGCCAGGAGATAAGAAAATGTTGGCTGTGATTATGGGGGATGATAAAATTAGATATTAAAAATTCAGAATAAGGCCGCAGTCAGTGGCAGAGGCCCGTAGTCTCTGCTACGGCAGAGAAGGGAGGATCACTTGAGCCCAGGAGTTGGAGTCCAGCCTGGGCCACACAGCGAGAACCTTCCTGCCTTAAAAAAAAAAAAAAAAGTAAAAAAAATCAGAATAAGGCACAAAATACACATAATTGAATTTTATTCATAGACTAAAAGAGGTCCTTAGCAGAACATGTATTTAAAACCAGATTTCTAGCCTATATTGGATTTTGTTCATTTTTTGCTTTTCCTGGGCTGGATTGCCAAATTCGAAGCCTTCTCCCTACATCTGGTCAAAATATTGGAAAGGTGCATAGTCTTTGTTAAAGGAGGACTGTTGGCTGGGCGCGGTGGCTCACACCTGTAATCCCAGCACTTTGGGAGGCCGAGGCAGGTGGATCATCTGATGTCAGGAGTTCAAGAACAGCCTGGCCAATGTGGTGAAACCCTGTCTCTACTAAAAATACAAAAATTAGCTGGGGGTAGTGGCGGGCGCCTGTAATCCCAACTACTCGGGAGGCTGAGGCAGGAGAATTGCTTGAACTCGGGAGGCAGAGGTTGCAGTGAGCAGAGATCTCACCATTGCACTCCAGCTTGGGTGAAAGAGCAAATCTCCGTCAAATAAAAAAAAAAAAAGGAGGACTGTATCCTGGAAATAATAAAAATCAAGGCTGTCGACTGTTACTGCTAAAGCAGCAATCGATGACCCAAAGTACAATTGCAGGATCAGCAGATCCTGTAAAGATGCAGCCTCATGAAGCGGGAGGTGGTCAGCCAAGCTGCCACTGAGGGGAAAGGCGATCTGACCAGTGGAAATCTTCTAGAACAAGCTGTGTACTACATCTGCCCTTGAGTTTTTAAGGTCAGGTAAAGCCCCAGGGGGTGGGAGGATGACTCCTGGCCTTTGCAATGCTCTGAAAAAGGCATAGAAAAATATTTCCCAAAATAACTTTGTGGCTAATACCTTACCCTGGCACTTACTGCATCAGCTGATAATGCAGCAAACTGTCTCTTGGATGGCAAAGGGAAATAATAGCAGATCGGATAACCAAGCCAGTTATCTACCCATTCTGATACGTGCATATGTTTTTTTAAAAATCGCATTATTAGGGGAGCTGTTTTCTTCTTCCTTCCTTCTTTCTTGTCTATTAAACGCTCTGCTCCTTAAAACAAAACAAACAAACAAAAATCTACATTATTAAGTGCTAGATAAGGAAATAAATGATGCTGGTAGCTAACTCTGACAGCACTTGCTACAATCTGGAGACTCCAGCTGGAAGGAAGTCCATTTTCCTAATATGTAGCAGCAGAGAAGTTAAAAAGCAAGATATGCACGTGGTCTTACTGGTCTTTTCAGACCCTTCAGACATTTTTTTTTTTGAGATGGAGTCTTGCTCTATTGCCCAGGCTGGAGTGCAGTAGTGCCATCTTGGCTCACTGCAACCTCCGCCTCCCGGGTTCAAGCAGTTCTGGTTCAGCCTCCTGAGTAGCTGGGATTACAGGCACATGCCTCCATGTCCGGCTAATTTTTGTATTTTTAGTAGAGGCGGGGTTTCACCATGTTGGCCAGGGTGGTCTTGAACTCCTGACCTCGGGTGATCCTCCTGCCTCAGTTTCCCACACCTGGGATTATAGGCGTGAGCCACTGTGCCCGGCCAGTTCTATGAATGTGTATTGATCATGTGCTGTGTGTATAACACAATTCTGGGAACTTTGAAGAGACCTCCAAAATATGTTAGTCTTGTCTTCAATGAGCTTACAAGCTAGTTAGGACAAAAAACATACTCACATAAAGTTAAATAATATAAATTAAATAGCAACTAAAAACAACCCCAAACACCATAAAACCATAGTGCTTTGATTAGATGGCAAGTAAATTAAATGAATTTAAAAGAGAGGGGCCAGGCGCAGTGGCTCACGCCTGTAATCCCAGCACTTTGGGAGGGCAAGGTAGGCGGATCACCTGAGGTCAAAAGTTTGAGACTAGTCTGGCCAACATGGAGAAACCCCATCTCTACTGAAAATACAAAATTACCCAGGCATAGTGGTGTGTACCTGTAATCCCAGCTACTCGGGAGGCTGAGGCACGAGAATCACCTGAGCCTGGGAGGCAGAGGTTGCAATGAGCCAAGATCATGCCACTGCACTCCAGCCTGGGCAACACAGTGAGACTCCACCTCAAACAAAAACAAAAACAAAAACAAAAACAACGAGGGGAAGGAATTACCATGAAGTTGTAGTGGCTTAGGGAGGTTTTTTTTTTTTTTCTGTCACCCAGGCTGGAGTGCAGTGGTGCGATCTCGGCTCACTGCAACCTCTGCCTCCCAGGTTTAAGTGATTCTCCTGCCTCAGCCTCCCGAGTAGCTGGGACTACAGGTGCGTGCCACCGTGCCTGGCTAATTTTTTGTATTTTTAGTAGAGACGGGGTTTCACTGTGTTAGCCAGGATGGTCTCGATGTCCTGACCTCGTGATCTGCCTGCCTCGGCCTCCCAAAGTGCTGGGATTACAGGCGTGAGCCACTGCGCCCAGCCAGGAGGTTTTGTGAAGATGCTCAAAGTTAGATAGGTGTTTGGAATTGTAAGGAAGTCATTAAAAGCAGAAAAGGATGGTATGAAGCAAATACAGGGGTTGCTTTTGTGAATGTATACAAAAAAAGTACTCTTCTGGGCAGATGAATCACAAAAAAGAACCTCTTTCTCCCAGCCCCACCCATGATACAGTTCCATGCTGATTTGGCTAGCAGAACCTCACCTAGATTTGATCCCCTCTTGCCCCTTGTCTCCACAAGCTGCCTTGGTGTAACACTCAGACTGTACAGCCATATGTGGTGGCTAAAGGCTCAGACGTGAGCGTGTATAAGGTGTCTTGGGTGTTGGTTAGACCAAATTGGCTGGAGCTGAAGGCTTGAATTAGGACAGGAGGGAAGATATAGGGATAACATCTAAAATGAGGAAGATATGTTGGGGCCAGTTTTTGGAGAAGCAGTAGTATTGAACCAAAGAACTGAGGCTTTGTCTTAAGAATAATGGGGATTGAGTGGAAGTTTTTGGTGGGAAATGGCTCAGCTGGGATTTTTTTTTTCCTTTTTTTTGTCCAAGATGGGATTTTTTTTTTTTTTGAGATGGAGTCTCACTCTGTCACCCAGGCTGGAGTGCAGTGGCATGATCTCAGCTGACTGCACCCTCCACCTCCTGGGTTCAAGTGATTCTTCTGCCTCAGCTTCCCGAGTAGCTGGGACTACAGGCCCATGCCACCATGCCTGGCTAATTTTTATATTTTTAGTAGAGACGAGGTTTCACCATGTTGGCTAGGCTGGTCTTGTACTCCTGACCTCGTGATCTGCCTGCCTCAGCCTCCCAAAGTCCTGGGATTACAGGCGTGAGCCACCGCGCCCGGCCCAAGATGGAATTTTTAAAGTGCTCCCTGGCTGTCATGGTGGCTCACCTCTGTAATCCCTACACTTTGAGAGGCCAAGGCAGGAGGATGGCTTGGGCCCAAGAGTTCAAGACCAGCCTGGACAATATAGCGAGACCTCATCTTGAAAAATAAAATAACTCCAGGCGCGGTGGCTCACGCCTGTAATCCCAGCACTTTGGGAGGCCGAGGTGGGTGGATCACGAGGTCAGGAGATCGAGACCATCCTGGCTAACACAGTGAAACCCCGTCTCTACTAAAAATACAAAAAATTAGCCGGGCTTACTGGCGGGTACCTGTAGTCCCAGCTACTCAGGAGGCTGAGGCAGCAGAATGGTGTGAACCCGGGAGGTGGAGCCTGCAGTGAGCCGAGATCGCGCCACTGCGCTCCAGCCTGGGCAACAGAGCGAGACTCCATCTCAAAAAAAAAAAAAGAAAGAAAAATAAAGAGCACACTGGAGTATGGCCATTTCTCTGAAGTTCCCTTGAACACCTGAGGCGCTGTGCTAGGTCTCTTATTCTTTGGCCCTGTCTTTATAGGACTGGTATTTTTGTGTGCATGTGTGAGTACGTAGTAAGGACTGGTATTTTTTTTTTTTGAGACGGAGTTTTGCTCTTGTTGTCCAGGCTGGAGTGCAATGGTGCGATCTTGGCTCACCGCAACCTCTGCCTCCCGGATTCAAGCGATTCTCCTGCCTCAGCCTCTGGAGTAGCTGGGACTACAGGCATGTGCCACCACACCCGGCTAATTTTGTATTTTTAGTAGAGACAGGGTTTCTCCATGTTGGTCAGGCTGGTCTCGAACTCCTGACCTCAGGTGATCCACCCGCCTCGGCCTCCCAAAGTGCTGAGATTACAGGCATGAGCCACCACTCCTGGCCAGGACTGGTATCTTATACAGATAATTTCTTTATTTTCGAGACGGAGTTTTGCTCTTGTCGCCCACACTGGAGGGCAATGGCATGATCTCAGCTCACTGCAACCTCCGCCTCCTTAGTTCAAGCAATTCTCCTGCATCAGCCTCCCCACTGGCTAGGATTACAGGTGCACGCTACCAAGCCCAGCTAATTTTTATATTTTTACTAGAGATGGGGTTTCACCATGTTGGCCAGGCTGTTCTTGAACTCCTGACCTCTGGTGATTGGCCCACCTCAGCCTCCCAAAGTGCTGGGATTACAGGCTTGAGCCACTGTGCTCGGCCTATACAGATAATTTCCCAGTTTAACTTCTAAGCCATCTAATTACCCTATATTTTCTTGACTTTTAGAAAAAATTATATATTTTATTTTATTTTTAAATTTTTAAAAATTATATATTTTAAATTAAGACATTTGAAGGGCGGGCGCAGTGGCTCACACCTGTAATCCCAGCACTTTGGGAGGCCGAGGTAGCCAGACTGCCTGAGGTCAGGAGTTGGAGAACAGCCTGCCTAACATCGTGAAACCCTGTCTCTACTAAAAATACAAAAAAATTAGCCGAGCCTGGTGGCACATGCCTGTTGTCCCAGCTACTCAGAAGGCTGAGGCAGGAGACTCGCTTCAATCTGGGAAGCAAAAGTTGCAGTGAGCCAAGATTGCGCCACTGCACTCCAGCCTGGGCGACAGAGTGAAACTCTATCTCAAAAAAAAATTTGATATGTAGTCACAGATCATTCATATATACGTACACAAATATTCAGGAATATATATATTGTAAAGTTTTATCACTAACTCCCTCCACTCCTCTACACACATATAGGTAGCTACTATTAGGATTTTCTCTTTTTTTTTTTTTTGAAATGGAGTCTTGCTGTGTCGCCCAGGCTGGAGTGCAATGCTGCGATCTCAGCTCACTGCAAGCTCTGCCTCCTGGGTTCACGCCATTCTCCTGCCTCAGCCTCCCAAGTAGCTGGGACTACAGGCACCCGCCACCACGCCCAGCTAATTTTTTGTATTTTTAGTAGAGACGGGGTTTCACCGTGTTAGCCAGGATGGTCTCGATCTCCTGACCTCGTGATCTGCCTGCCTCGGCCTCCCAAAATGCTGGGATTACAGGCGTGAGCCACCGAGCCTGGCCACTATTAGGATATTCCTGTGGCAAACATAAGCAAAGGTGAATATAGCAAATCTGTATCCTCATCCCCACTGCCTTTTTTTTTTTTTTTTTAGTGGAGTCGCTCTGTCACCCAGGCTGGAATGCAGTGGTGGCATGATCTTGGCTCACTGCAACCTCTGCCTCCTGGGTTCAAGCCATACTCCTGCCTCGGCCTCCCAGGTTGCTGGGATTACAAGCATACACCACCATGCCTGGCTAATTTTTGTATTTTTAGTAGAGACAGTGTTTCACTGTGTTGGCCAGGCTGGTCTTGAACTTGTGACCTTAAGTGATCCATATGCTTCAGACTCCCAAAGTGCTGGGATTACAGGCATGAGCCACTGTGCGCTGTCCCCCGCCCCCACTTTCTTTCTTTCTTTCTTTCTTTTTTTGGAGGTAGGGTTTGCTCTGTTGCTCAGGCTGTAATGCAGTGCTACAATTATGGCTCACTGCATCCTCTACCTCCTAGGCTCAAGCAATCCTCCCACCTCAGCCTCCCAAGTAGCTGGGACCACAGGTACCCCACCATACCTGGCTAATTTATTTGTTTATTTTTGGTAGACATGGGATCTCCCTATGTTGCCCAGACCGTTTTGTTTGTTTGTTTGTTTGTGACAGAATTTTGCTCTTATTGCCCAGGCTGGATGCAATGGCAGGATCTCAGCTCGCTGCAACCACTGCCTCCCGGGTTCAAGAGATTCTCCTGCCTCAGCCTCTGGAGTAGCTGGGATTACAGGTGCCTGCCACCACTCTTGGCTAAGTTTTTGTATTTTTAGTACAGACGGGATTTCACCATGTTGGCCAGGCTGGTCTCCAACTCCTGACCTCAGGTGATCCACCTGCCTCGGCCTCCCAAAGTGTAGGGATTACAGGTGTGAGCCACTGCCCCCAGCCCCCAGACTGGTCTTGAACTCCTGGGCTCAAGAGATCCTCCCAGTTAGACCGCTGTGCTGTTGGCTGAAATACCAATAATGAAGTAGCTGACAAGGTCTTAAGCTTTCAGTATGTTACCATGTTGAGGACCTAATATTCAACTTTATAAGACCCTATCAAGTGGGGTTGGCTATTTTCTTTTTACAAATGAAGATGCCAAATCATTACCCCATTTTACACACATGCAAAATAAGGTATGGAAATTTAAATGATGCCCAGGGATGTAGTATTCCAACTTGTCCCTTCCAAGTTGCTTAAATAATGATCCTGCACATAGAGGGCAGAAAGCTGAACTGTGTCCCAGTACAGTCACAGTGAATGATATTTCCTCAGCTGTCTATCCCACAGGACTGCGAGTCTCTGGAGGATAGGAATGTGTCTTATGCAGCATTATGGCCTATCACGGTACCTGGCATATAACAAATGACCTATTTTTGGAAAGCTTTGGAACCTGAGTCATGGTGGATGCCATTGCAGAAAACAATTTTGCTATTTTTGTGTTTCATAAACCACTTGAGTATCTTGAATATTTATGACTTTATTTTGCTTTTCCAGAATGAATATGCTGATTACTAATTTTGATCACTAACCACGCAGTCATCATTTCCAAACACACAGCTCACTTAGCCTAGAACAACCGTGTGGGTCTTTAAATCATTTTGCAGATGATGAAATGGATTCAGAGAGGTTAAGTAGCTCGCCCAAGGTTGCATAGCTAGTGAACATCAGAGCCAGGTAAGTCTGACCCCAAAGCCAGTAGTCTGTCCACTCAAATATGTCTACATGTCACCTACTTCTGGAAAACCTCAAGGGAAGCTCAACCTCTGATCATAGCACATAACTCAATTCAGAGTGAGATAGCTGAAGGCAGGCTGTAACCAGTATTGTCAATATTTGGCACTTTCAATGTCCAGTGTTTTGATGACCCTGGATATTTGAGAAGGAAATAACACAAAACATGTTTCTCATTTACAGGGGTTGCTTTCTAAGTTGTGACTAATCCTTAAGTCCACCTATAATTTGTACTGTTTTGTTCCAAATGCCAAAAGCTTCTACAAGGGCTACAATGCTGATGTGCTAACATTGACCTTGATACCTTGATGATGTAATATTGAGACATATATCAGTATTTGCTGGTCACTTCCTGAGAAGTTGGATTTCAGTGAATCTCTGGGGAGCCCTTAAAATAAACTAGGGTATTTTGTTCAATAGTAAAAGTTAGGTATTTAATATTAAAGGAACCAGAAAGTGAGTGAGCAGTGTTAGATGTAACATATATCTTCTTCATCCATTAATTCAATAGATATTTGAGTCTCTATTATCTGCCAGCAGTATTTAGGGACTGGGGATATACAAGTAAACAAAACAGACAAAAATTCCTATCTGTTTGGAACTTACATTCAGTGGGAAGAGACAAACACAATGAAAGGTAAAACATAAGTCAGATAGTAGCAGGAAGTCTTTTTTTTTTTTTTTTTTTTTGAGATGGAGTCTTGCTCTTTCTCCCAGGCTGGAGTGCAGTGGTGCCATCTCCACTCAATGCAACCTCTCCTGCCTCAGCCTCCCGAGTAGCTGGGATTACAGGCGCCTGCCACCACGCCTGGTTAATTTTTTGTATTTTTAGAAGAGATGGGGTTTCACCATGTTAGCCTGGCTGGTCTTGAACTCCCGACCTCAGGTGATCCAACCACCTCAGCCTCCCAAAGTGCTGGGATTACAGGCGTGAGCCACCGCGCCTGGCCAAGTGGTATGAAGTCTTTTGGAGAAAAGTAATGCAGGGAAAAGGAGCAGAGAATGCTGGGATGTGCGTGCAAGTTTTTTTTTTTTTTTTTTGATGGAGTTTTGCTCCTGTTGCCTACGCTGGTGTGCAATGGTGCGATCTCGGCTCACTGCAACCTCCGCCTCCTGGGTTCAAGCGATTCTCCTGTTCAGCCTCTGGACTAGCTGGGATTACAAGCGTGCGCCACTACGCCTGGCTAATTTCGTATTTTTAGTAGAGACGGGGATTCTCCATGTTGGTCAGGCTGGTCTCGAACGCCCACGACCTCAGGTGATCCACCCGCCTCGGCCTCCCAAAGTGCTGGGATTACAGGCGTGAGGCACGGCGCCCGGCCTGGACTTCTTACATTAGCTATCAGAGCGGTGATGGTGCGCATCAGCCATGGCCAGGGACAGGAATATAGGGAGATGATAATAAAGGTGGTAATGAAGTCACGGCCACCTGCCCTTATGAAGTCAAAATCATTAAAGACCCAGTGACGTTCATGCCATCCAGGGTTGAGGCCTCTCTTCTGCCCACCTGTGGTCCCAGGCCTAGTTAAACACCAAAGCTGTCTCTCACACTGGTGGTTCCAGGATAAAGCCTCGGCCTGGGGCCTGGTCTGCACGTTAGGCGCCGGCCGCAGCTCGCAGGAGGACCCGAGCCAGCCCGCCCCTTCCCGCACAGCCTGCTGGGAGTTGTAGTTCAGTCGTCGGAGAACCACGCCAAGCCCCGCCCCAGATGAGTGCGCAGTATGAGGACCGCTGGCCGGGACCCAGTGAGCGCGGGACTACAATTCCCAAAGGACGGTAGCACTCAGCGCCCCGCCAACAGGTACCCGGCGGCTCGCTTCGCGCACACGCGGCAGGCGGTGGCGGGATTCTGCCGCGTGCGCTTTCCCGCCCCGCCTCGCCTAGCCTCGTCCTGCGCTCGCCACGCCTCGGGCTGTCCGTTGGGCCACGCAGACCGCGCTGCGCTCGCTCCGTCGCGGCTCCGCGTGCCCCACCTTCTGGCTAGTTTTTTCTAGAGCCCAGGCTCCGCCCGTTTCCCGCTTCCAGGGCCCGGTTCGTTCCCGCCCGCACCCGTCCCTCTCCTCTGCACCCCTGCTGCTTCTGCTTTGAAGGCGGAGGCTCCATGTTGTCCCCTCAGCGAGTGGCAGCAGCTGCCTCAAGAGGAGCAGGTGAGGCGCCGATTTTCCCTGGATCGCCCCGCGGCCACCCCCGCCGCCTTCCCTGCTGTAGTTCTGAAAAGAACCCCCGCCCGCGCCGCCGCCCTTCCTCGTCCCGGGGCTGGGACCGCGCGTCCCTCGCCGGGGTCACTCGGTTTCCGAATTTGTGGTGGGGGGGCCCCTCTTCGGGCCCAGCTGGTCCAGCGAGGGCGGCACCTTCCTTACTTTTCGGCCGGGGGCGGCCGCCGTCAGGGCTCGGGCCCTGGTGCCGCCGGGGGCTCCTCCAGCTCCTCCCCTGGGCTGCAGCTGCCCCTGGGCGGCCCAAGGGCCGGTGGTCCCCGTGGGCGGCGTCCGGAGCTTCGGCCCCGCCGAGCCCCGCCCTGGGCAGAGCCGGGCGCCCCAGGGCGCTGCCCCTCCGTGCCCGGGCACTCAGCGCCCTCTCTGGTCGGAGAATCGGGGCCTGGATGGAGCGGGAAGGTGAATGCTGGTTTATTTGGCCTTTCTGGAAGTGCTGGAAGGCTGCGAAGTGTCTTGGAAGCTTTATTTTTATCCTAACGACCTTGAGGCACTGACCACAAGTATTAGGAAAGTTGGTTTTCAACCCATACTTAACGCTGTAAAGAATTGGTCTAAATTGGTTTTTCGTAAGTTAGTGCTTTTGGCACAGTACGTTGTTCTTTTGCTTTCCCGAAGACATGAAACATAGTGAAAGTATTAAAAACCAAATAAGGAGTCACCGTGTATTCACGGATCTGATTTAGTCTGTCATTTTACTTGGCTTTATTCTAGTGTAATGTGTGTGCTGTTGAAATGACCGTTTCACTTGCGAAATCGAAGAGCAAAAAGGAAAAGAACAGTGAAGAATTTTTAAATGAGTCTCAGTTCTCAAATTCAAATACGAAGCAATGGAACGTTTTGTCAGTCTTAGAATAACGGACCAAAAATGTACGATTTCACATATTGGCTTACTTTTGGAGATTTAAGAAGCATAACCTACGGAGTACTAATCCCTGTCAAGAATTTAGCATTGCAACATAGGTACTGAAATTCAAATTAGTGCTTTTTTTTTTCCATTCCCACAGAGATTAGCTTGTACTCCAGAAATTCCTGTTGCCGCTCTAACACCTGTAAACACTTGGCTGAGAAGGATCTCAGTATTGCAGTAGTCCAGCACATTGTTTTATTATTATTTTTTGAGACGGAGTTTTGCTCTGGTCACCCAGGCTGGAGTGCAATGGCGCGATCTCGGCTGATTGCAACCTCCGCTTCCTGGGTTCAAGCAATTCTTCTGCCTCATCCTCCCGGGTAGCTGGGATTACAGGCGCTCTCCACCATGCGCGGCTATTTTTTTTTGAGACGGAGTTTCGTTTTTGCTACCTAAACTGGAGTACAGTGGCGCAGTCTCGGCTCACTGCACCCTCCGCCTCCTGGGTTCAAATGATTCTCCTGCGTCAGCCTCCCGAGTAGCTGGGATTATAGACATCCGCCACCAGGCCCAGCTAATTTTTTGTATTTTTAGTAGAAACGGGGTTTCACCACGTTGGCCAGGCTGGTCTCGAACTCCTGACCTCAGGTGAACCACCCTCCTCTCCTCGGCCTCCCAAGTACTGGGATTACAGGCGTGAGCCATCGTGCCCGGCCCATTATTGTATTAGCTACAGTTTACTACCTCATTGTAGTAGAATTCATGAAATAGAAGTAACGGGATAGATGTGGTGTTGTGTACTAGCTTAATTTTCTTTTTCTTTTCTTTTTTTTTCTTCTGGTGAGAAGGAGTCTTGCTCTCTCGCCCAGGGTGGAGTGCAATGGCGCGATCTCTGCTCACTGCAACCTCCGCCTCCCAGGTTCAAGCGATTCTCCTGCCGCAGCCTCCCAGGTAGCTGGGATTACAGGCGCCCTCCACCGCGCCTGGGTAATTTTTGTATTTTTAGTAGAGACGGGGTTTCACCATGTTTGCCAGGCTGATCTTGAACTCCTGACCTCAGGTGATCCTCCTAGCTCGGCCTCCCAAAGTGCTGGGATTGCAGGTGTGAGCCACGGCGCCTGGCCCAGTTGCGTGGTATTTCGATTGTCAGAACACCTTAGATATATTTCACAGCTGAAGTATGTTAACAGATTAGAAGACAGGCTTTCCTGGTATAGTAGGCGCTAATTAGGAAATCCTTACTTGGCCGGGAGCTGTGGTTTACTCCTGTAATCCCAGCATTTTGGGAGGCTGAGGCAGGTGGATCACCTGAGGTCAGGAGTTCAAGACCAGCCTGGCCAACATGGTGAGACGCCCCCCCCCACCCAAAAAAAAATTAAAAAAAAGTTAGCCAACGTGGTGTTGCAGGCCTGTAGTTCTGGCTACTCAGGAGGCTGAGGTGAGAGGATGGAGTGAGCCCAGGAAGTTGGCTGCAGTGAGCCTTTTTTTTTTTCTTTTTTCTGCAGTGAGCCTTGTTCTTGCCACTGCACTCCAGCCTAGGCAACAGAGTGAGACCTTGTCTCAAAAAAAAAAAAAAAAAAAAAAAAGGAACACAGCTAATTCAAACCTTTGGTGGCATTCTTATTCTTAGGAAAGAGATACAAAAGTGTTACTGAGCTCATTCCATTAAAAAGGTTTTTTTCCTCCACTTGTGATATAGCCTGGCATCATTTTCAGATTCAGCCCTCTCCTTGGATTTTCTGAATCTTCAGTACCATTTAGTCATAGATAATTTTTGTAAACCTATGAAGCATTACACAATCCTTAGTCAACAACAAAAAATATGGTTTTGTTCAGCCTTCTGTGCTATGGCGAAAAGATTTTCTACAACAGACAAATATAAAATTTGCCCAGTATTCTGGTTAATTAGATTTAAATAGTATTTTCACTGAAACAGCCTTAAGCGTATTGCAGTGTATCTACTGGCACAATCACTGCCTTAAGACAAAACGGTATATAAAAGCACCCACCCCTCCACCACCAGAAGGAACCACACCCAGCAGTTCTAGAGTTGGCTAAGGTCTTAGTATACTTACTCTTGCCTGTGATGATGTTTTCTCTGGCTTTGTCAGTTAGAAACCTTAAAGACTGCCAGCAAGAACAAGGCATGAAAATGGTATGCCTCTGTTTTGGGTGTGTTGCTCTTGCCCTTTGGAGAATATGATATTTTATAAGGAGACTGGAAAACTCAGGTCATAACTTTACCCTGAGTCATACATGAATCTACTCAGCAAAGTGTTTCTGTGACTGGTTGGTTACTTTGTATTCAGAACTCTTTGAATGGTAAGGATAAACACCAAGGCTGACTCTACTCAGTGGTTCTTAACCTATGGTAATATTGCCTCTTCCTGCCCCTGGAGCATTTAGCAATGACTGGAGACGTTTTTTGGGTGT
The DNA here is from genome assembly GCF_000001405.40 of Homo sapiens. Lineage (NCBI taxonomy): Eukaryota > Metazoa > Chordata > Mammalia > Primates > Hominidae > Homo > Homo sapiens. The sequence goes on along the minus strand of NC_000011.10, from coordinate 63,667,943 downwards.
TAGAACCTGTTGTGGGGAGTGTTACTGGTATCTAGTGGGTAGAGGCCAGGGATGCTGCTCAATAGCCTGTAGTGCGTAGGATAGCCCCCCACAACAGTTGTGCAGCTCCAATGTCAATATGTCAGTAGTGCTGAGGTTGAGAAACCCTAGTCTACACTGTCATTTTTTTTTTTTTTTTTTGATACAGAGTCTCGCTCTGTCACCCAGGCTGGAGTGCAATGGCGCGATCTCAGCTCACTGCAGCCTCCATCTCCCAAGTTCAAGTGATTCTCCTGCTTCAGCCTCCCGAGTAGCTGGGACTGCAGTCATGCACCACCACGCCTGGCCAATTTTTTTGAATTTTCAGTAGAGTCAGGGTTCCACTATATCGGTCAGGCTGGTCTCAAACTCTTGGCTGCAAATGATCCATCCGCCTTGGCCTCCCAAAGTGGTGGGATTACAGGCGTGAGCCATTGCACCCGGCCCACTTCTCAGGAATCCTAAACTCTTGGGAGGCTGAGGTGGGAGAATCACTTGAACCTGGGAGGTGGAGGTTGCAGTGAGCAGGAATGACGCCACTGCTCACCAGCCTGGGCGACAGAGCAAGAATCTGTCTCAAAAAAAAAAAAATGCTTTCTAATTATACAAAGATTTTCAACATTTTCTACATACTTGAACTGATGAGTGATAGAATATTATCATGAGCTATTTACAGCAATGAAGTAGTCCCCATTATCTGAGGGGCATATATTGTAAGGCCCCCAGTGGATGCCTGAAACTGCTGATAGCACTGAGCCCTGTATACACTACGTTGATCAGTGAGAAGGCTACTAAATAACTAATGGGCATGGTAGCATATACAGTGTGGATACTCTGGAAAAGGGAATGATTCATGTCCCAGGCAGGATAGCACAAGATTTCATCATGGTACTAAGAACTGCGTTGCAATCTTAAGACTTACGAATTGTTTATTTCTGGAATTTTAAACATATGTTGTAAATTCACATAAATACATATGAATGATAGATGTAACAGTGGTCCAGCTGTAGCTTTGTGTCTGTGCAAAAACATCACGTTATCCATATTCATGTAAGTAATGTAATACAGCATTAACTGTTGTTGCAGTATGCAGAATTAGACCTTGGAAAATAATTGCTTCTCTAAAGGGACAAGGCATGTAAAGTTGCCACTTACAGATATTTTTAGTACCCTCCCCGGAGACTAGATCTCCAGAGTTTAAGATTCCTGACAAGTGGACCGGGCACGGTGGCTCATGCCTGTAATCCCAGCACTTTGAGAGTCTGAGGTGGATAGATCACTTGATCGCACGGTGTGCGATCCACCCCCCTCGGCCTCCCAAAGTGCTGGGATTACATGCATGAGCCACCACACCCAGTTAGCACTTGACCCATTTTAGTGATGAAACTGAAAACTAGACATGCCCAGGATCACACAGGTTGTTAGTGGCAGGGCTGGAACAGGAACTTGTGTTTTGAGTCCTAAATTTGTATATTTCCACAGGTTACTTCTGAGAGTAAGCAGGTGAATCTGTCCCTTAGGCAGTTGTACATTTAGACTAAATGCAAGTTAGAGATCTGTGAAGTTGTATCATCCAAATAGAGGGTAGGCCGGGCGCGGTGGCTCACGCCTGTAATCCCAGTACTTGGGGAGGCTGAGGCGGGTGGATCACCTGAGGTCAGGAGTTCGAGACCAGCCTGGCCAAGGTGGTGAAACGCCACCTCTACTAAAAATACAAAAATTAGGCGTGGTGGTGGGTACCTGTAATCCCAGCTACTTAGGAGGCTGAGGCAGGAGAATTGCTTGAACCCAGGAGGCAGAGGTTGCAGTGAGATGATACTGGGAGGCTGAGGTGGGAGGATTGCCTGAGCCCGGTAGGTTGAGGCTGCAGTGAACCATGATTGCACCACCGCACCTCTAGCCTGTGCAACAGAGTGAGACCCAGTCTTAAAAAAGGTGTAATATATAAGCAGCTCCATTTAACTTGCATTATTGGTGTGTACAGCTCAAAATAATTCTTCCCTTACATAAGCCCAAACCCAAGGATCACTGTCAGTGAACAACATCTTTTTTTTTTTTTGAGACAGGGTCTTGCTCTGTTGTCCTGATTGTAGTGCAGTGGTTGACTTACTGCAACCTCTGCCTCCCAGGTTCAAGTGATACCAAGTAGCTGGGATTACAGGCGCGTTACCACCAAGCCTGGTTAATTTTCATATTTTTAGTAGAGATGGGGTTTCGCCGTGTTGCCCAGGCTGGTCTCGAACTCCTGATCTCAGGTGATCTGCCTGCCTCAACCTCCCAAAAGTGCTAGGATTATAGGCGAGACCTCCCATGCCTGGCCAACAAGATCTTTTTTAATCTGGTGGGTGTTGATAATCATGCTTATATTACTGGTGTGAAGAGAAATGCAGAATCACCCCAGCTCTTCCAACTAAACAGAGCCTGGTTCCCTTCCTTTATTCTTGGGTACCGTGCTACAGGGAGAGGAAGAGATGAGTAAGGACTTTTCCCCCATAGCTGTCCTCAGTAGTCTTCAGCTTCTCTTGAAGTGCAGTTCACTGTACACAACTGTATACATTCTTCTTTTTTTTTTTTTTTTTTGAGATGGAGTCTCACTCTGTCACCCAGGCTGGAGTGCAATGGCTTAATCTCAGCTCACCGCAACCTCCGCCTCCCGGGGTTCAAGCGATTCTCCTGCCTCAGCCTCCCGAGTAGCTGGGATTACAGGCATGTGCCACCACGCCCAGCTAATTTTGTATTTTTAGTAGAGACAGAGTTTCTCCATGTTGGTCAGGGTGGTCTTGAACTCCTGACTTCAGGTGATCCACCCACCTTGGCCTTCCAGTGTTGGGATTGACAGGCATGAGCCCCCATGCCCAGTCTCAACTGTATACATTCTTATCATTGGATTACCCCATCTTGTAACCACGTAACTTTATCTTCCATGTCTACTGCTCTGACAATGCCACTTGGATCCTTTGGGTTGTAGCCTTCAACCACATTATGGTACATGTCATTCATTCATTTTACAATAGTTTATTGGCCGGGTGCGGTGGCTCACGCCTGTAATCCCAGCACTTTGGGAGGCTGAGGCAGGTGGATCACAGGGTTAGGAGTTCGAGACCAGCCTGGCCAATATGGTGAAACCTTCTATCTACTAAAAATACAAAAATTAGCCGGGCATGGAGGTGCATGCCTGTGGTCCCAGCTGCTCGGGAGTCGCTTGAACCCGGGAGGCGGAGGTTGCGCTGAGCCAAGATCGCGCCACTGCACTCCAGCCTGGGCAACAGAGCGAGACTCCGTCTCAAAAAAAAAAAACAAAAAAACAATAGCTTATTGTATGTGCTGTGTGTCATTACATTGATATTGCTCATTACATTCACATTGCTCAGTACGCTTTTTTTTAAAAGACAGAGTTTCGCTCTGTTGCCCAGGCTAGAGTGCAGTGGCGCAATGTTGGCTCACAGCAACCTCTGCCTCCCGGGTTCAAGCGATTCTCCTGCTTCAGTCTCCCGAGTAGCTGGGATTACGGGTGCCTACCACCACGCCCAGCTAATTTTTTATATTTTTGGTAGAGATGGGGTTTCACCATGTTGGCCAGGGTGGTCTCGAACTCCTGACCTCAAGTGACCTGCCTGCCTCGGCCTCCCAAGGTGCTGGGATTACAGGCATGGGCCACCGAGGCTGGCCTCGCTCAGTAAACTTTTAATAGTGAAATAGATAAAACAAAAAGATCTGGTATGATGAACTTAATTGTAAAGTCCTGGAAGACTGTTGTGTTGGCTGCTAGGCTTGGCTGTATTTGATGGAGCCTCCAAATAAGTGATTTAAGCAAGGTAGACATTTATTTTTCTTTCACACAGAAGTGAACCAATATGGCAGTTCTGCTATACGAAATCTGACCTCTCTTGTTTCTCCAGCATTCCTGGGGTGTTGCCCTCATATGCCTGGCCCAAGATGATTCACTCCCACTTTTACATCTAGCCAGCAAGCAGGGGGAAAATGCCTGATCTGGAAGTTGTGTCTGTTATTTCCAGTCACTTCCCATTGTTCAGAATTTAGTCACCTGGTCATATCCTAGCTATAAATTTGGGTTGGAAATGTGTTTCTTCTGGGCAGTTGTATGCCCAGCTAAAAATCTATTATATAGCAGGAGGGAGAAATTAATATTGGGGGAACAACCAGACATCTCTGCCACAATCAAGACTTTGTTTTGTATTTCTTTGAGTGCTACACAGTACTTAACACTGTGGCTTATCCCTGAAGTCTGAATAAATTCTTCTCATTAGTTCTTTGTATGAAAGACTGAAGGTCTTTGGATCTTGGATTTACCTGCTGCTGGGGCAATAAGAACCCTAAGAGATTATTCACAGAAGTGTTTCCTTTTTAATCCAGGCAATAACAGGAAAGAAAAGTATTAGTATACATTGATTACAATGATAGCATGACATTTAACCTATATTTATAACTTGTTTTCCAATAGTCTGCAAAAACTTAAAAAGTAGGAAGAAGCCAGCCACAGTGGCTATCATCCACATTCACAGTGGCCTATCATCCCAGCATTCTGGGAGGCTGAGGTGAGAGGATCACTAGAGCCCAGGAGTTTGAGACTAATGTGGGCCACATAATGAGACCCCCATCTCTACAAAAAAATTAAAAAATTAGCCAGGCATGGTGGCACACACCTGTACTGCCAGCTACTCTGGTGGCTGAGGTGGGAGGATTGCTTGAACCCAGGAGTTTGAGGCTGCAGTAAGCTAGGATTGCACCACTGCATTCCAGCCTGTGTGCCAGAGCAAAATACTGTCTCCAAAAAAAAAAAAAGTGCGAAGAACCCTTCTGTTGCTATCTGATACTATAAATGTAAAAAGTGAGCAGCAATTCCAGTAGCTTGAAGGGGAGAGAGTCTTGCAGTCAAACTGTTTTGTCTGCTTTGCCTGCCATGATCGTGTAGCCTTCAGTGCTGGTTAGACAAAGTCATTTTGGAACCATCTTTGTGATTTTGGCCATGTCTGCCTGTCAGTACTAAGCTTTACTTACTATGTCTCCTTAAGTCTACTTTAAATGGACTTCTTGGCTGGGTACTGTGTCGCTGTGATTTTGGCCATGTCTGCCTGTCAGTACTAAGCTTTACTTAATATGTCTCCTTAAGTCGACTTTAAATTGACTTCTTGGCTGGGTACGGTGTCGCTGTAATCCCAACACTTTGGGAGGTTGAGACGAGTGGATCATTTGAGCTCAGGAGTTCAAGACGGGCCTGGGCAACATGGTGAAACACTGTCTCTCCAAAAATACAAAAATTAGCTGGGTGTGGTGATGAATGCCTGTAGTCCCAGCTACTTGGGAGGCTGAGGTGGGAGGATGACTTGGGCCGGAGAGGCAGAGGTTGCAGTGAGGCAAGATTGTGCCATTGCACTCCAGCCTGAGTTATAGAGCCAGACCTTGTCTTAAATAAATAAACAGACTTCTTAAACTTAGCATCCTTCTAAAGAATAATTTATCAAAATACAGATTTGTTGTTTTAAAGTATACATTAACATGCATAATTATTAAAATTACTATGTCCTTTTAACTACCTAAAAACATCTTTAATACCAGTGACACATACTCTTAGGGAAATAGTTCTTTATTCATTCCTTACGCCCCACTGGTAGTTTTTTGTGAACTTCCCATAAGTCCACAGCTACTAAGTGGCTCTGAATTTCTTTCTTTCTTTCTTTTTTTTTTTTTTTTTGAGATAGAGTCTTGCTCTGAAATCTAGGCTGGAGTGCAGTGGCACGGTCTTGGCTCACTGCAGCCTCCACCGTGCAGGTTCAAGTAATTCTCCTGCCTCAGCCTCTGGAGTAGCTGGGATTACAGGCACCCACCACCACGCCCGGCTAATTTTTGTATTTTTAGTAGAGATGGAGTTTCACCATGTTGGACCAGGGTGGTCTCGAACTCCTGACCTCAGGTGACACGCCTGCCTTGGCCCCCAAAGTGCTGGGATTACAGGTGTGAGCCACCATGTCTAGCCTGAATGAATTTCCTTCTTGCTTTCTTTTCACTTTTTTTTTTTGAGACGGAGTGTCACTCTTTTGCCCAGGCTGGAGTGCAGTGGTGCAATCTCAGCTCACCACAACCTCCACCTACTGGGTTCAAGCGATTCTCCTGCCTCAGCCTCCTAAGTAGCTGGGATTACAAGCACGTGCCACCACACCGGGCTAATTTTGTATTTTTAGTAGAGATGGGGTTTCTCCATGTTGGTCAGGCTGGTCTGGAACTCACAACCTCAGGTGATCTGCCCGCCTCGGCCTCCCAAAGTGCTGGGATTGCGCAGGTGAGCCAGCACGCCCGGCCCCTTGCCTTCTCTTCTCTTCTCTTCTCTTTAAGACAGTCTCTCGCTATATTGGCCAAGTTGGTCTTGAACTCCTGGCCTCAAGCAATCCTGCCATCTCAGCTTCTCTAAGTGCTAGGATTACAGGCGTGGATGCTGTGCCTGGCCTGAATTTCAAATTAATTAGTTATCTTTGTGCTTTGGTAGGGAAACTCTGGTAAGGAAAGTATAATATAGTTAGTGCTTAATTTTGAACTATAGAATTAATAGCTTCTAAAACTTTTTGAGTTATTACTAGTGATATGCAAAATACAACCACCTAAAGATCTTTTTGAGCTTATATCTAGGACCTGTTGGGCAATATGCTGAACCTTCATAAGCCTTCATTTCCTTCTTTTTTTTTTTTTTTGAGACCAAGTCTCACTCTGCCACCCAGGCTGGAGTGCAGTGGCGCGATCACGGCTCACTGCAGCTTCTGCCTCCCGGTTCAAGCAATTCTTCTCCCTCAGCCTCTTCAGTAGCTGGGACCACAGGCGTGCGACACCACGCATGGCTAATTTTTTTTTTTTTCTGTATTTTTATAGAGACGGGGCTTTACCATGTTGGCCAGGCTGGTTTTGAACTCCTGACCTCAAGTGATCAGCTTGCCTTGGCCTCCCAAAGTGCTGAGATTGTAAATGTGAGCCACTGAGCCTGGCCATTTCCTTCTTCTTAAAATGGAGCAGTATTATTTACATCAAAGAGTTGTTCTGAGGATTAAATAATATATATATATGTGTATATATATATCTAAATAAAGCTTAGCAGTGGCAAACACTATTATTGATAGACATTGTTTTATTTCCACTTTTGGACTGTTTTGAGTAAAGCTGATAATGAACTTTCTGTTTTTGAGATAGAGTCTTGCAATATTGTCCAGGTTGGTCTTGAACTCCTGGGCCCAAGTAATCCTCCTGCCTCAGCTCTCCAAGTAGCTGGGACTATATGTGCGAGCCACCATGCCCAGCTCAACATTCTTGTATATATGTTTTTTGGTGGACATAGGCATTCATTTCTCTTAGGTGTATACCTAGGAGTAGAATTGCTGGATCACAGATATATTTAATTTTTGTAGATACAGCCAAACAGTTTTTTGAAGTGGCTTTAGTATTTTGTGCTCCTATCAGAATGTGTGAGAATTGCGGTTGCTTCATACCCTGTCCCACAGTTGATATTGTCAGTCTTTAAATTTTAGCCATTCTGATGGGCAGGTAGTGGTATCTTATTGTGGTTTTAATTTAGATTTCCCTGTTAAGTAATGATATGGAAGTACCTTTTAATAGGATTTGTATATCTTTTTCTTACAAAGTGCCTGTTATTTTTTTCTTATGGATTGCTATGTTGATGCTGGATGTGGGTCCTTTGGAAACAGATATTGTGAATACTCTTCCCTAGCCCATGGCTTGCATTTTTACTTATTGAAGTCTTTAAGTGAACAAAGTTTTTAATTTTAATGAAGTCTGTGTTGTCATTTTATTTTCTTTTATGGATAGTACTTTTTTTCTTTGAGACAGGGTCTTTTTTTTTTTAACAACATTTTATTTTATTTATTTTTTATTATTATTATACTTTAAGTTTTAGGGTACATGTGCACAATGTGCAGGTTAGTTACATATGTATACATGTTCCATGCTGGTGTGCTGCACCCATTAACTTGAGACAGGGTCTTATCTGTCACCCAGGTGGGAGTGCAATGGCATGATCTCGGCTCACTGCAACCTCTGCCTCCCAGTTTCAAGTTATTCTCGTGCCTCAGCCTCCCGAGTAGCTAGGACTTACAGGTGCGTGCCACCACACCCAGCTAATTTTTGTATTTGTTGGTAGAGATGGGGTTTCGTCATGTTGGCCAGGCTGGTCTTGAACTCCTGACCTCAAGTGATCCACCCACCTCGGCTTCCCAAAGTGCTGGGATTACAGGGGCGAACCACTGTGCCCTGCCCTTTTATGGTTAGTATTTTTGTGTCCGTTTTTTGTTTTGTTTAGTTTTGTCACCCAGGTTGGAGTACAGTGGTGTGGTCATAGCTCACTGTAACCTCAAACCCCTGGGCTCAAGCAGTCTTCCTGCCTCAGCCTCCCAAGTAGCTAGGACTACAGGTATACACCACTACATATGGCTAATTTTTTAAATTTCATAGCGCTGGGTTTCACCGTTTCCCAGGCTAGTCTGAAACTCCTGGCCTCAAGTAATCTTTCTGCTTTGGTTTCCCAAAGTGCTGTGATTATAGGCATGAGCCATTGAGCCTGGCCCTGTCCCCTGTTTAAGAAGTTTTTGTTTTCCCTATATTCAAAAACATATTTTAAATATTTGACACTGATTTTTTTTCTCTGCATGAACATAGATGATGCCATGGAGAGCAGCAAGCCTGGTCCAGTGCAGGTTGTTTTGGTTCAGAAAGATCAACATTCCTTTGAGCTAGATGAGAAAGCCTTGGCCAGCATCCTCTTGCAGGACCACATCCGAGATCTTGATGTGGTGGTGGTTTCAGTGGCTGGTGCCTTCCGAAAGGGCAAGTCCTTCATTCTGGATTTTATGCTACGATACTTATATTCTCAGGTAAGATAGAATTATTTTATTTCAAGTAAAAAGTGAGACTTTAATGTCCAAAAAAGCGAAATAAGCTCATAGATTATCCTTGATGCATAAAATTTTTAATTTAAGATTTAATAGAAATTTCTTACTTCTGTAGAAGGAAAGTGGCCATTCAAATTGGTTGGGTGACCCAGAAGAACCGTTAACAGGATTTTCCTGGAGAGGGGGATCTGATCCAGAAACCACTGGGATTCAAATCTGGAGTGAAGTTTTCACTGTGGAGAAGCCAGGTGGGAAGAAGGTAAGGATGAAAATGACCTTACAGATTAACAACAACAACAACAAAATATGAACTTCAGCATGTACTGTGTTAACCCAATTAAAAACCTTTTATCAAAGAATTTAAAATGGGTAAAGTAAGAAAAGTTAAAAAGTCCCTGTTTTGTCCTGAAATTTTAGTCTGTTGTGGATAAATAGGATTTTCTGACACAGGTATGCGAAGTTGTAGCTCTGATGTCTAGCTGTAGTCTCCTTGGTCTGCTGATTGCATTATTTTAATTTTCTTTTCTGGAAAAACATTTTTGCTAAAAGCTATACAGACTTTTTTGTTTGTACCTAGCAGTACTTTATGTAGTATTCCTTAGGGCTATGTAGCATTTTTAGACTCAGTTAAAAAATATTAATCTGTTGCTGACTCTGTTAATTCCTATTTCAACATGTGTTTCCTTGAATAATTCAGGATACAACTTACTGTGTATGACAGCTTTCCTTCACACACTATTTTTGTGGGTGTGTGTATATCCAACTTGGGGAGAATTTAAAAAACACATAGCTTTTTAATTTGTTTGAAACAGACCTTCTGCCTGTTACATTTTGTGCTCTTAACCAATTAAAGAAGCCAGTGGCAGCCGGGTGCTGTGGCTCACGTCTGTAATACCAACACTTTGGGAGGCCAGGGTGGGCAGATCACAAGGTCAGGAGTTTGAGACCAGCCTGGCCAACATAGTGAAACCCTGTCTCTACTAAAAATACAAAAAATTAGCTGGGTGTGGTGGTGGGTGCCTGTAATCCCAGCTACTTGGGAGGCTGAGGCAGGAGAAACGCTTGAACCCGGGAGGCAGAGGTTGCAGTGAGCCGAGATCACACCACTGTCCTCCAGCTCGGGCGACAGTACGAGACTCCGTCTCAAAAAAAAAAAAAAAAAGCCAATGGCATTTTTAGTTTCATATTGTGTTTTCCACTGGTATATACCTGTTGATTTGTTTGTGTCTTTTATGAACTGTTATTTTCTGAAATTTTTTTTCAATAAAAGGAAGGAAGATGTGAAAACAACTTTTTATCAAAGTGAATGATTTAAAATTAATACATATTGATTGTTTTTAAGATTCTTAAATAAAATGCATGAATATAGTTTAAAAGGTCAGGTACTACTGTAAGGCTTCTAACAGAAAGCAGCTGTCATGTGTGTTATTCTCCTCTCTACCCAGTTTTCACTTCCCAGAGGCTGATGCTCTTATGTGTTACCACTTCTGTTCTTTACTTCCTTACTCCTGTATGGGTGGCACAGACCTGGCTGTTGTTCTGGGAGTTGAGCAGGGAAATGGCATTGGGGATCTCACTGTTCAGAAGGTGGGCATTCACTATCCCCTAGCTATCAGTAGGGCTTCTTAGCCCCAGTCTCATCTATGCCTTGTAAGCTATGGGCATAGAGCCTCTCCACAGATTTCTTTGTAAGGATCGGGAGGGGTAAGTCATGTGTTTCTTATACAGACTTTCATCCATTACTTCTGTTTTTAGCCCAATCCTATAAGCATGCCTTCACACCTGTTTGTCCTTTTTTTTTTTTTTTTTTTGAGATGTAGTCTCACTCTGTTGCCCAGGCTGGAGTGCAGTGGCACCATCTTGGTCACTACAGTCTCCGCCTCCCAGGTTCAAGCAATTCTCCTGCCTCAGCCTCCTCATTAGCTGGGAGTACAGGTGCACACCACCATGCCTGGATAATTTTTGTATTTTTAGTAGAGACAGGGTTTCACAATGTTGGCCAGGCTGGTCTGGAACTCCTGACCTCGTGATCCGCCTGTCTCAGCCTCCCAAAGTGCTGGGATTACAGGGGTGAGCCACCACACCTGGCCACCTTTGATATTTTGAAGTGCTGGAGTGTTGGTACTGAATTCTTTTAGCTTTCATACATCTGAAAAATCTTTATTTTGCCTTTGTTTTGGAAAATATTTACTCTTAGTGTAGAGTTCTAGGCCAACGTATTTTTCTCAGTACTTCAAAGGTGTTGCCCCTTTGCCTTTTTGCTGACATTGTTTCTTTTTTTTTTTTTTGAGAGGGAGTCTCTCTGTTGCTCAGGCTGGAGTGCAGTGGTGCGATCTCGGCTCACTTCAACCTCTGCCTCCCGGGTTCAAGCAATTCTCCTGTCTCAGCCTTCTGAGTAGCTGGGACTACAGGCGCGCACCACCACGCCTGGCTAATTTTTGTATTTTTAGTAGAGACGGGGTTTCGCCATATTGGTCAGGCTGGTCTTGCACTCCTGACCTCAGGTTATTCACCTGCCTCTGTTTCCCAAAGTGCTGGGATTACAAGCATGAGCCACTGTGCCCAGTCTGCTGACATTGTTTCTGACAAGAAATACACTGTTATTCTTATTTTTGTTCTTTTGTACCTAATCTGTCTTTTTTGTCTGGTTGCTTTTTTCTTTAAATTAAAAAAAATTTTATTTTCGTGGGTACATAGGTATATATATTTATAGGGTATGTCTGGTTGCTTTTAAGATTTTATCACTGTTTTTGAGCAAATTATTATGTGTTTTGATGTAGTTCTTTTTTTTTTTTTGAGACGGAGTCTCACTGTGTCGCCCAGGCTGGAGTGCAGTGGCGTGATCTCGGCTCACTGCAAGCTCCGCCTCCCGGGTTCACGCCATTCTCCTGCCTCAGCCTCCCAAGGAGCTGGGACTACAGGCGCCTACCACCACGCCCGGCTAAGTTTTTGTATTTTTAGTAGAGACGGGGTTTCACTGTGTTAGCCAGGATGGTCTCGATCTCCTGACCTCGTGATCTGCCCGCCTTGGCCTCCCAAAGTGCTGGGATTATAGGCGTGAGCCACTGCGCCAGGCTGATGTAGTTCATGTTATTTGTATGTGGGTTTTGTTGAGCTTCTTGAATCTGCAGATTTATAATGTTTATCAAATTTGGACATTTTAAGGTTATTATTTCTTCAAGTTTTTTTGGTCTGTTACTCCCTTTGGAGACTCCTATTACATGTGCCTCTTGCTGCTTGAAGTTGTTCCACAAGATGTTCATTTAAAATTCTTTGGCCGGCGCGGTGGCGCACGTCTGTAATCTCACACTTTGGGAGGCCGAGGTGGGTGGATCACCTGAAGTCAGGAGTTTGAGACTAGCCTGACCAACATGGTGAAAACCCATCTCTACTAAATACAAAAAATTAGCTGGGTGTGATGGGTCATGCCTGTAATCCCAGCTACTTGGGAGGCTGAGGTGGGAGAATCGCTGGAACCCGGGAGGTGGAGGTTGCAGTGAGCCGAGATCGCACCATTGCACTTCCGCCTGGGCAACAAGAGCTAAACTCCATCTAAAAAAAAAAAAAAAGGCCAGATGCGGTGGCTCACGCCTGTATTCCCAGCACTTTGGGAGGCTGGGGTGGGCGGATCACCTGAGGTCAGGAGTTCGAGACCAGCCTGGCCAACATGGTGATGCCCTGTTGCTACTAAAAATACAAACATTAGCTGGGCGTGGTGGCGCCCACCTGTAATCTCAGCTACTTGGGAGGCAGAGGCAGGAGAATTGCTGGAACCTGGGCGGCGGAGATTGCAGTGGGATTAGGAAGAGTACTCAGTCTTGCCTCAGTAATGAGGAATAACAACACTCTGGTTCCATTTAACAAATCTAAACAGCAAGAACAGAAAAAACCAGAGTTTCCAAATTACTTAACTACATCTCAGAATAAAGCTAGATATTTTATAGGAATGCAAAAATAACCAGCACCCAACAAGGGAAAATCCACAAGTCTACATCCTATCAAAAATTTGCAGACATAAAAGAAGCAGAAAAATATAACCCAAATGAGGAGAAAAATCAATCAAAACTGTCTCAGAACTAACACAGATATTAAAATTAACAGAAAACAACTTTTTTTTTTTTTTTTAGACAGTCTTGCTCAACTAAAAATACAAAAATTAGCCGGGTATGGTGGTGTGCACCTGTAATCCCAGCTACTCAGGAGGCTGAGGCAGGAGAATCGCTTGAACCTGGGAGGTGGAGGTTGTGGTGAGCCGAGGTTGCGCCATTGCACTCCAGCCTGGGTGACGAGCAAAACTCTGTCTCAAAAAAAAAAAAAAAATAGGCCAGACATGGTGGCTTAGGCCTGTAATCCCAGCACTTTGGGAGGCCGAGGTGGGTGGATCATCTGAGGTCAGGAGTTCAAGACGAGTCTGACCAACGTGGTGAAACCCTGTCTCTACTAAAAATACAAAAATTAGCCGGGCATGGTGGCTCATGCCTGTAATCCCAGCTACTCGGGAGGCTGAGGCAGGAGAATCGCTTGGACCTGGGAGGTGGAGGTTGCAGTGAGCCAAGATCGTGCCATTGTACTCCAACCTGGGCAACAGAGTGAAACTCCGTAATCCCAGCACTGTGGGAGGCTGAGGCGGGCGGATCATGAGGTCAGGAGATCGAGACCATCCTGGCTAACACAGTGAAACCCCGTCTCTACTAAAAATACAAAAATTAGCTGGGCGTGGTGGCGGGCGTCTATAGTCCCAGCTATTTGGGAGGCTGAGGCAGGAGAATGGCGTGAACCTGGGAGGCGGAGCTTGCAGTGAGCCGAGATCGCGCCACTGCACTCCAGCCTGGCCACAGCGCAAGACTCCGTCTCAAAAAAAAAAAAAAAACAAATTGTATCTTTATTTTGTTTTAGGTTTTCAGGAAAATTAATTGCAACCTGCCCAGTTCCCACATTCTCCTTCAGTTTGCTCTGTTGTTTACATCTTGTAATAGTGTGATACATTTGTTACAATTAATATTTGAACCAATATATTGTCATTAGCTAAAACCCATACATAGTTTACTTTAGGGCTCACTCATTGTGTTGTACATTGGATTTTGACAACTGTATAGTGACACATGCCCACTATTACTGTATCATACGGAATAGTCACACTGCCCTAAACATTCTCTGTAATGTACCTATCTGTTCCTCTCTTCCCTCCCCACAAACTCCTCCACTGATCTTTTTACTGTCTCCATAGTTTCGCCTTTACCAGAATGTCATATAGTTAGAATCATACAATATGCAGCCTTTTCAGATTGGCCTCTTTCACTTAGCAATGCAATTTTAAGATTTCTGCAACTCTTTCGTGTCTTGATAGTTCATTTCTTTTTATTGCTGAATAGTATTCTACATTATGAAGGCACCAGTTTGTTCATCCATTTGCCTGTTGAAGGACATCTTGGTTGCTTTCAAATTTTGACAATTAAGAATAAAGCTCCTATAAATACTCATGTGTTGGTTTTTGTTGAGACATAAGTTTTCAGCTCCTTTGGGTATATACCAAAGAGTTTTGGTTTTTTTTTTTTGGGACAAAATCTCGCTCTCTCACCCAGGCTGGAGTACAGTAGTGTGGTCTCGGCTCACTGCAACCTCTGCCTCCAGGGTTCAAGTGATTCTCCTGCCTCAACCTCTGGAGTAGGTGGGACTACAGGTGTGCACCACCACGCCCATTTTTTTTGTATTTTTAGTAGAGACGGGATTTTGCCATGTTAGCCGGGCTGGTCTCGAACTCTGGACCTCAGGTGATCCACCTGCCTTGGCCTCCCAAAGTACTGGGATTACAGGTGTGAGCCACTGCGCCTGGCCTAATTTTTGTATTTTTGGTAGAGACACGATTTCACCGTGTTGGCCAGGCTGGTCTGGAACTCCTGGCCTCAAGTGATCCACCTGACTTTGCCTCCCTCCCGAAGTGCTGGGATTACAGGCATGAGCCATTGCGCCTGACCTAATTTTTTAAATTTTATGTAGAGACTGGGTCTCACTATGTTGCCCAGGCTGGTATTGAACTGGGCTCAAGTGCTGCTGCTGCCACGGCCTCCCAAACTGTTGGTATTATAGGTGTGAGCCACTGCACCTGGCCAAGATGAATATTTTTTAGTTTCTTTTTCAACAACAGGAAACATCCAAATGCCTGGCTGGGTGATAAGCTAATTGCTTTCAACTTTTGTCTGTTTCAATTGGTGGGGCAATTTTTGCCTTCCATATTGCTCTGTATAACGCTGGATAATCTTCAGTAGAGTGCTGTAGTCAAAGCAAAGCACCTAAATAGTTGTACAGAACCTACAAGCAGGTGCTTAAGGCTCACATAAACATTACCTGTACTTAAGTATATATTACCTGTACTTTTCAATTTCTCCTTTACGGTTTCCTCCTTCTTAGTTTAATCTCTTTTGTTTGTATTTTCCTTTTTTTTAGGTTGCAGTTGTTCTGATGGATACCCAGGGGGCATTTGACAGCCAGTCAACTGTGAAAGACTGTGCTACCATCTTTGCTCTAAGCACTATGACTAGTTCTGTTCAGGTAAAAACCACTTGACTCAGAAAAAAGCTCGCAAAGGAAATAAGATAAAGGGAGGAAATACAGTTTTGGTTATTGTTCTGTTAACAGAATTTCTAGGATGATATGTAAATATTATTTTTAAACTGTAGATGCAGTTAAACTTTTAAAAGTTTGAGAAGGAGCCAAAGAATTTTTCCTCTTTGGTCATAATTATATATAATATGTTCCAAGAAAAGTCCAAAAAATGGAAATTTATTATATCATATAGAAAATACAGATTTGATAAGAGCTTAGGAAAACTGTTTTAAACTGTAAAGGAGGAATTTTTGATTTCAATCTTATGTGCATAGTTTTCCAAAAGACAGATCATATTGCTGTTTGAACAGGCCTCATGTTCTTATATGCAAGTCTTTAATTGTTCAAAGCTTCTGTCAGCCCTTTAGGCTTATTTGGGATTTGTTTGAAGTAAGCCAGAGTAGTATCAATCTGGATTTTTGTTTTCTAGATTTATAATTTATCTCAGAACATTCAAGAAGATGATCTTCAACAGCTGCAGGTATATATTTCTCATAACAATTTTAACATCATATTATTTAAAAGTTTTAAGATTAAGGAACATTTTACAACTGAGTAGTTTTTAGCAAAAGATTGAAATGTAGAGGAAGGTTTTTGGTTCATAGTAATTCTATACTATGTATAGCCATTGGTGGGGTGGAGCAGGAGTGGTCGGGGAAGGCCTTAATGATTTGAGCAGAGAATGAAAGAAAGTGGGCAAGTGAGTCCTTCAGATACATTTGGGCGGAAAACTATTACAGGAGAGGAGCAGCTGCTGGAAGACAGACCCTGAGGGGAGTGTGCTTGGCAAGATCAAGGAATGGCAGGGAGGCCGGTGGGTAGGATTGGAGAGTGTGACAGGAAGGGGTTAAGTGATGAAGTCAGAGAGGCAGTGAGGTCCCACTCATTCTGGGTCTTTTCCTCTGGGGAAGGTGGGAGCCATGGGAGGGTCGTCAGCAATGATGTTATCTGACCTGTTGTAAAGGGATCATTCTGGCTGCTATGTTCAGAATAGACTTTTTTTTTTTTTTTAAGACGAAGTCTTGCTCTTGTCCCCAGGCTGGAGTGCAATGATGCAATCTTGGCTCACTGCAAGCTGGGATTACAGGTGTGCGCCACCATGCCCGGCTACTTTTTGTATTTTTAATAGAGACGGGGTTTCACCATGTCGGTCCGGCTGGTCTCAAATTGTTGACCTCGTGATCCGCCTGCCTCGGCCTCCCAAAGTGCTGGGATTACAGGCATGAGCCACCGCGCCCGGCCTTTTTCTTCTCTTTTTTTATAGCAGCAGGTCTTATCTGTTTTTCCCACAAAATGCTCTTTTGTGAGTATTCCAGGGTTGGATGCAATTCTGGTATGTTACTCTAATGCTACTTCTCCCACTGACATTCAAGAAAGCATCAGAATGTGAGTGAGTAAGGGTGTCATTATTATAGGGATTACCTTGAATTAGTTCTATTTTATGTTTATTTTAAAAAACAAGGAAAATTCCTCCTAAACCTCGATCCTTAATGTTGCTTATGGCAATTGTCTGTACTTCATAATTGGTAGTTCTGTACCAGTGCCATGGCTTAGTGGTTGAGAGCTGTTGCTCTGTAAAACTTCGATCACAACTTGAGTTGGTCACCATTTCACCTGAAATTTATTCCTTTCTAAGCTCCTTCCTTTCAACCATTTTTCGAATGCTTACCTTGTGTGAGGTAGAGGGCCAAGTGCTATAGATATATGTAAGGTCACATTCACAGGTACCAGGTGCGAGGACTTTAGCATATTTTTCTTCAGGACACAATTCAACCCATAAGAAGTAGTAAGTAGATTATGATGCAGTTATGTAATTCACCTTGTCTCACATGACAAGGCTGTTGGTAGACTCAGCAACTGTAAAATATAAATATTACAGAGGAGAAAGTAATATGTTTGTGTGCCTGGAAATCCGTAAGAATGAACTAGAAAATTATTTGGAACTTAAAAAATAATTAAGGTCTCCATTACAAAATACAGATACAAAATCATTAGGTTTTCCTCTCTACTAACAATAACCAGTTTAAAAATGTAATGGAAAAAATTGACTTTAGCAACAAAATATTGAAAACAGAATAAACTTAAAAAAGATCTATATGGAGCACTTCAGAATTGTATGAGGCATATAAAAGATTTAACATGCAGAAATATGCCTTGTTTCTTCCATATGGGGATGATAATAGCCAACGTGTATTTATTGCTTACTCTGTACTAGATACTGCGGTGTGTTATAAACATTATCTCATTTAGAATGAGAATTATAAACTTGTCAGTTCTTCCCCACTAAACAAAATCATAAAGGCATTATTTTGGGAACTTGACAGAATTGTTGTGAAATTCATTTGGAAAGTTAAATTGTAAAACAGCCAAAAAAAAAAATTACAGGGGAAATATGAGATAATTGACTTAGTACATATTATAAATCTGTAATTACAAGAACATGGCATTGTTTCAGGAAAAAATAGATCAATGCAGTGTACTTACGATATACTACATTTTCATATATTTTATTCTACTTAAGAATATATACACATATACCATAAAGCATAGATCAGTCAATAAATGGTGTTAGGACAGTTGGCTATGTATTTAGATAAATTAGAAATTATATTCCTCTTTGGAATGCTGAGGCAGGCTGATCACCTGAGTTTGGGTGTTCGAGACCAGTCTGGCCAACATGGTGAAACCCTGTCTCTACTGAAAGTACAAAAAAAAAAATTAGCTGGGTGCGGTGGCAAATGCCTGTAATCGCAGCTACTCGGGAGGCTGAGGCCTGAGAATCACTTGAACCTGGGAGGCAAAGGTTGAAGTGAGCTGAGAGCACACCACTGCACTCCAGTCTGGGCAACAGAGTGAGACTCTGTCTTTAAAAAAAAAAAAAGAAAATAAAATTATATTTCTACCTTGTACTATATACAAAAATTCCAGATAGACCAGATAGATTAAATATTTTGATGTAAAAAAAGAAATCACAGCTGGGTGTGGTGGGTCATGCGTGTAATCCCAGCACTTTGGGAGGCTGAGGCAGGTGAATCATGAGGTCAGGAGTTCGAGAACAGCCTGGCAAACATGGTGAAACCCCGTCTCTACTAAAAATACAAAAATTAGCTGGGTGTTGATGTTCATGCAGAGCCTTCTGATTAAACACATTAATATTTCTTCAGTGAAATATATAACCAATAAAATGGGGTAAATAAGCCTATAAAAAGCTTCATGTCAGTTGAAGGCAGGTTTTGTTTCCAAATAAGTTTCCCCCCTAACCTGGATTTTTAGTACTTTTTTTATTTTTTTTGAGATGGAGTCTCCCTCAGTTGCCCAGGCTGGAGTGCAGTGGCACGATCTTGGCTCACTCACTGCAATCTCCGCCTCCCAAGTTCAAGTGATTCTGCTGCCTTAGCCTCCTGAGTAGCTGGGACTGCAGGTGCGTGCCACCACACCCGGCTAATTTTTTTTGTACTTTTAGTAGAGACAGGGTTTCACTATGTTGGTCAGAGTGACCTCAAATTCCTAACCTGAAATGATCTGCCTGCCTCAGCCTCCTAAAGTGCCAGGATTACAGATGTGAGCCGCCGTGCCTGGCCTTTTTGTTTTTTTGCTTTTTTTTTTTAGAGACAGAGTCTCACTCTGCTGCCTAGGCTGGAGTGCAGTGGTGCGATCTCGGCTCACTGCAACCTCCACCTCCCGGACTCAAGCAATTCTCCTGCCTCAGCCTCCTGAGAAGCTGGGATTACAGGCATGTGCCACCATGCCCAGCTAATTTTTGTATTTTTAGTAGAGACAGGGTTTCGCCATGTTGGCCAGGCTGGTCTCGAACTCCTGACCTCAAGTGATCTCCCTGCCTTGGCCTCCCAAAGTGCTGGGATTAGAGCGGCCAGCCCTGCTAAGAGGCTTTTCTCAAATGTCTAGCTGGTGGTCCTTGACTACCTATTTAAGAGAGAGCCACTAACAATCCAACTGGGAGCTTTGATAAGAGGATAGGCCTTGTGTACTGGTTTGGATCACAATGAGGTAGGTGGTTTGGCAAGGTTATCTAGCTATTTTGTTGCCAACTCCTAAATGTCTATTTTTTTTGCAGATATTTATTCTTGGGTTGTTAGTTTCCCTGGAAAAAATTTCTTTAAATTCCTGCCTTGGTGGGTAGAAGCTTGCTGTGGCAACCAGTAGGGTGAGAGGGCTAAGGAGTCCCACTGCTCACTATGTGGACTTTGATTTAAGTACCTGTTTGAAGGTAGGAGACTTACTCCTAACCTCAGCTGAGTTTGGTATCTAAGTCTAGATTTTTTTTTGGATTTATCTTCTCCAGATAGTACACTTCCCATCTTCTATGGAGGCAGGAAAAATACGGCAGTTAGAGAGGGGTGCCTGGAAGTGTAGGTACTTTCTCCTAAGACTCACATATTTCCTAGTTGTCAGCTGGACTCCTACACCTCCTCCTGTAAGGTAACTGTATGCTTATAATTTCTGAGCATTTCAGGGATTTCTACTGAGATAATTTGCTTCTTCCTTGTTGGCCCCTGTCTCTTCCAGATTTCTTAGCAGAACAGAGAAAGCCAAAACTTGAGACAGTTCTCATTTGTCTATTTTCCATCCAGAATGTTTTTGACAGGGCTTTTCTGCTGGCTGCTTTGTCCTGTTTATTTATTTACTTTTAAAGTTTGTTTTGTTATGCTTTTAGTGAGGCTTCCTGAAGATTTAGAGGTAAATATACATGTAAACCTTAACCTTAAAGAATTCAGTCATTTGAATGACATAAATATTATGGGCCTAATACTTTTCTTGCTGCTGGAAATCCAGTAGTGCACAAAACAGACAAATATTCCTGCCCTCATGGAGTTTAAATGCTAGTATAAAGACAGATGCAAATCAAATCAAGAAGAGGTATAGTATATTAGATAATGATAAATGTTAAGAAAAAAACTTTTAAGACTGGGTGTGGTGGCTCACGCCTGTAATCCCAGCACTTTGGAAGGCCGAGGCAGGTGGATCACCTGAGGTCAGGAGTTCAAGACCAGCCTGACCAACATGGAGAAACCCCGTCTCTACTAAAAATACAAAATTAGCCAGGTGTGGTGGCACATGCCTGTAATCCCAGCTACCTGGGAGGCTGAGGCAGGAGAATCGCTTGAACCCGGGAGGCGGAGGTTGCGATGAGCCACGCGCCATTACGCTCCAGCCTGGGCAACAAGAGCACAACTCTGTCTCAAAAAAAAAAATTTTTTTTTAAAGACACGAAGTAGGAAATATTATTGGCAAACTTGTAATCTTTTTCGGTAGATGGCCATGGAAGTCTTCACTGAGAAGGAGCTATTTGAAAGACCTTAAGAAGTGAGGGAGCAGATCATGAGGAAATTTGGGAGAAGAACTTATAGTTAGTGGGAGGAGCCAGTACGAAGGTCCTAAGGCAGCGGTGTGCCCCGTGTATTTGAAGAACAGGAAGGAG
The DNA here is from genome assembly GCF_000001405.40 of Homo sapiens. Lineage (NCBI taxonomy): Eukaryota > Metazoa > Chordata > Mammalia > Primates > Hominidae > Homo > Homo sapiens. The sequence continues at coordinate 63,646,976 of NC_000011.10, read as the reverse complement.
GGCCAGTGTGGCTGCATCACACTGTAAGGACTGGCTTTAATACTGAATGAGGTTGTGGGGTTTTGAGCAAAGCCATTATATGATCTAACTAACCATATTATAAAAGAGTCAATGTGGCTGCTGTGTTGAGAATAGCCCATAGGGAGGCATGGGCTGAGGCAGTTAGGAGGCTATTGCAGTATTCCAAGCCACATGGAAATAGTGAGTGGCTGGATTCTGGATTTGTTGATGAATTGGGATGTGGGATGTGAGCAGGGAATAACCAAGATGATTTTAAGGTTCATGACTCCTGTGGGCTTTTGAAACTGTAGAAGTCTGGTATCAGTATAAATATAATGAATACTTTGCTAAAAAGGCCATAGAACTATTTTAAGTAATTTTGCTTTACAAACCATAATGCTTCTTTTTTAAAGCTCTTCACAGAATACGGTCGTCTGGCAATGGATGAAATTTTCCAAAAGCCTTTCCAGGTTAGAATATTTATTTTAAATATAATTCATACCTTTGTTTTTGTTTTCACAGATTGGCAAACTACAGCTCATAGGCCAAATCTAGCTTGCCACCTGTTTTTATATGACTTGTGAGCTAAGAATGGTTTTTACATTTTTAAATGGTTGAAAAAAATGAGCAGTACTATTTTATGACACGTAAATTACCTGAAATTCAAGTGTCATTGTCTGTAGGTAAAATTTTAGTGTAACACAGCCATGCTCATTTGTCTTTGTACTGTCTGTGACGGCTTTCCTGCTACAACGGCAGAGTAATCGCTTAAAAAGTAAGCTCTGTGGGTTGGGCGTGGTAGCTTACACCTGTAATCCCAGCACTTTGGGGAGACCCAGGTGGAAGAATTGCTAGAGCCCAGGAGTTTGAGACCAGCCTGGGCAACATAGCAAGACATCTCTTAAAAAAATGGGGGTAGGTACAGTGGCTCATGCCTGTAATCCCAGCACTTTGGGAGGCCAAAGCAGGCAGATCACCTGAGGTCAAGAGTTCGAGACCAGCTTGGCCAACATGGAACCTGTCTCTACTAAAAATACAAAAATCAGCTGGGCGTGGTGGTGGGTGCCTGTAATCTTAGCTACTCAGGAGGCTAAGGCAGGAGAGTCGCTCGAGCCTGGTAGGTGAAGGTTACAGTGAGCCGAGGTCATGCCACTATACTCCAGCCTGGGCGACAGAGCAAGACTTTGTCTCAAAAAAAAAGAAAAAAACAAAAATAAAATAAAATAAAAAGGTCGTGCACGCCTGTAGTCCCAGCTACTCGGTGGGGTTGAGGTAGGAGGATCACTTAAGCCTAGGAGGTCAAGGCTGCAGTGAGCCATGATTGTGCCACTGCACTCCAGCCTGGGTAACAAAGCAAGACCGTCTCAACACAAACACACACATACACACTCACTCACTCTCTGTCTCTCTCTGTCTCTCTCTCTCTCTCTCTCTCTGCAAAAAGTCTTTGCTGACCTATGCCTCAGTTCAGTGTTTCTTGAGAATGAGGAAGCACAGCAGCCTCAGTCAATGGGATTAGAGGTGCTTTCAGTGTGTAAGCCTTATTTCTTTTCTTTTCTAATTTATTTTTTTTTTTTGAGATGGAGTTTCTTTCTAAAATTTTGCCCAGGCTGGAGTGCAGTAGCATGATCTTGGCTCACTGCAACCTCTGCCTCCCAGGTTCAAGCAATTCTCCTTCCTCACCCTCCTGAGTAGCTGGGATTTCAGGCGCCCGGCTAATTTTTTGTATTTTTTGTAGAGATGGGGTTTCATCATGTTGACCGGCTGGTCTCAAACTCCTGAGCTCAGGTGACCCACCTGCTTCGGCCTCCCAGAGTAAAGGGATTATAGGCATGAGCCACGGTGGCTGGCCTTCCTTTCTAATGCTGAAAACAGACCTGATTTTTTTCTTTTTTGGAGACAGAGTCTCGCTCTGTCACCCAGGCTGGAGTGCAGTGGCGTGATCTCGCCTCACTGCAACCTCCTCCTCCTGGGTTCAAGTGATTCTCCTGCCTCAGCCTCCCAAGTAGCTGGGATACAGGCGTGAGCCACTGTGCCCGGCCACAGATCTGATTTTATGATTAGCTGGTGCCATGTGGTTTTCTCTTTTGTCCTTTACTGTATTCCCCATAGATTTCTTTAAGGCAGAGTCCCAAATTTACCATTTTCTCATTAATGTCTTCCTTCTGTTCCTACTAACCTGTGGGAACAAAAATAGCAGATAGGATATATTGACCTCATATTTGGCTTAAACATGTCCCTCCAGTGTTTGTAAAACTTCTAAGACATTACAGAATAGATAAATCTGGCCGGGTGTGGTGGCTCACACCTGTAATCCCAGCACTTTGGGAGGCCAAGGCCACAGGATTGCTTGAGGCCTAGAGTTCAAGACCAGCCTGGGCAACAGAGCAAGACCTTGTCTATATAAAAAAATTAAAAAATAAGCCAGGAGTAGTGGCATGTGCTTGTAGTCCCGGCTACTTGGGAGGCTGAGGTGAAAGGATCACTTGAGCCCAGGAATTCTAGGCTACAGTGAGCTATGATCATGCCACTGCACTCTAGCCTTAGTGACGGAGCAAGGCCCAATCTCTTTAAAAAAAAAAAAAAAAAAAAAAGGTAAATCCTTCTACTTTACCCCCTTTGTAGAAGCTGGCATTATGCAAAGATGTATTGCAGTTGTTCTCTTGAAAATGTGTTTATGCATGTTAAAATATGTTCCGCTCTTTTCTTAAATAGACACTGATGTTTTTGGTTAGAGATTGGAGTTTCCCTTATGAATATAGCTATGGACTCCAAGGAGGAATGGCATTTTTGGATAAGCGTTTACAGGTAAGTGGGACTATAATCTTCTGATGAATTATCTCAAAGTAGTGATAGCTTTCTCATTTGCTTTTGGCTATTGTGTTTAAAGCAATTATTGAAAATGATATTGAATACATTAACTATATATGAATCTTAACACAAGCTAATATTTATTCTTGACAAGATTAAAGAACCTGTATATACAGTACACAGGAACTGTAGAAGAAAACTCTGGGCCAGTGCCCAAGCTTTGATTATAATTTCCATTTTACATTTTAAACCAAGTTCTATATGTGTCTTTAGAAATCATACTCAGAATTTTAGTTATGTTATTCTTCAAAATTTTTACTTATTTTGGGATAGATATAAACAGGCCTAACCTGTTCCCCCAAACCAAAACACAGGAATCCTTTGTCTGTCACTACTAATTGGTTAGATCCTCCTTCATCCCCACAAACCATCTCTTGTGTAATACTCATTTTAATGAAACTCTTATGCACCTGTTTGCTAGCTATAGGAGTCAAGCCGTAGGTAATCAGATTTGTGTGTTTATTGCTTCTTAGGGTTCTGAGTTTTCTCATTTGGCCACTATGATCCATCAGAGTTGAGGAGTCTTCTTTCCTTTGTCCTTATACTAGTTGTCCCTAGTGAAGAAAACCAAATGACTTTTGGTTGGTAAATTCTTGGTCTTCATTGGCAGGTGAAGGAACATCAACATGAAGAAATTCAGAATGTTCGAAATCACATTCACTCATGTTTCTCCGATGTCACCTGCTTTCTCTTACCACATCCAGGACTCCAGGTGGCCACAAGCCCTGACTTTGATGGGAAATTAAAAGGTGTGTTCCAGGTGTTATTTTAAACCTGTGATTCGATCTTTGGAATTAAAAATAATGAATCACTTACAAATCAAGTGAATGCTTAAGAAAAATGGTATGCTCTCTTAGAAAGAGTAGTATTTAAAGTCTAGTTCAGATTTTGCTCCTGACTTACTGAGACCATCAGAATTAGTTTACCTTGACTTCTCCACCTGAAATGGTGGTGTTCATATCCATTAGTAGTCTTTCTAAAGAGACTCATTATGGTTCTTGGTTTACAAGAGATACAAATGCTAAATAAAGGAAGACTAAACATTAGTCAGCTAATATTAAGTAAAATTAACTTCCTAAGGGAAGGCAGCATGATGCATGGCAGAGCTATTATTTTCATCTTATTTGTGATTATAGCAAAACCTGACGCTGGGTCATGTGCTAATATCAGGAAGTGCTAACTAAATGGTAGGTGAGAGGAATCGTAGTTGGGACTCTTGGGCTCCATTATCTTATCTTTGTTCCTTTTTCATTAAGGCCTTGAGTCATTAAATGGCTAGCCCTTAATTTATACATGTGTTAAACTGAGCACTTGTTAATAAGCTTATCCGAGTCTCTCAGATTCCTGGTAATGTTTGCAACACTATGCTAGGTACTTTGATATTTATGCTCCCAGTAATTCCAATGACTTTGATGTCATTTCCTTTATCTTATATGTGAGGAAAATGGCAAAAATAGTTAAGGAAAAGGAGGAAAGTTAAGTAACTTGCTCAAAGTGCTCAGCTAGTTAAGTAAGTGGTGAGGCGTAGATCTACATCCAAGTTCTTGTTGCTCCAAACCCATACTGGGCTAAAATAGGGGTTCTTCTGTTATATGGAGGAAATCATTTAGAGGATATGTACTGTTTAGTTACTACTAAAAGGTTTTGAAGTGAATGGTTTTCATAGCCTCATATTAAATATAAAATGCATCATTTCCAACCTATTTGATTTAGTTGATCCAAGAAAATGAATGTTCAACTCAAGATTTTCATTCTAGCTGGTCTTAATATTGCAAAGAAACTGAGTTAAAGAGACTTAACCTTTACCTTTTATTTGTCACTTCTCTGATACTTTTACGTGATTGACAGCTTTCCTGAGGAGGAGACTTCCCTGGCCTGTTTCATGGCAATTGAAAAATCTAAGATTATTGCTTGGGGAGAGAAATCCGCTTGGCAAGCAGTGGACCTAGAACCTTTTACCTGAAAAGCAGTTTCAAGGGAGTTTTCAGAGCTGAGTAGGGAGAGAAAGTTAAGTGTGTATGTGTATGTCTCTAGGTAATATATTGTTTAGGATTATAATGCTCCATTATTGGTTGTACTTTTCCCAACCTGAACTCAGATTTGTTCATCACTGATAGGGAATGTGTCCAGTGGAATTCTTAAATGGAGGTGTTAGGAGAGGGTGAATTAGAGTGACTCCTAGTGATTATCCAGTATAAACACACACACATGGCATTCTTCCATAGTTTCAGTTTTAGTATTCCAATGCATTGCTTTAAAGTTCATTTTCATTTTTATCATTCAGGGAGTAGGCAGAGTTTTTTAAAGTTCAGTAACCCTGGCTTTTGAAATTTGTGTCACTTTTGGTTGTATTAATTTCCTGTGGCTGCCTTTAACCAATTACCACAAACTAGGTGGCTTAAGACAACGGAAATTTATTCCCCCGCAAGTCAGGGAGCCAGAAGTCCAAAATGATGGTTGGTTCCGCCCGGAGACTCTGAAGGAGAACCTGTCCCACACTCTCTCCTAGCATCTGGAAGTTGCCAGCAGTCCTTGGCATTCTTTGACTTGTACCTTTAGTTGCCTCCAGGTTCTTTGTTGTCACATGACCGCCTTCTTTGTGTGTTCTGTCTTTTTCTTGTGAGCACACCAGTCTTTGGATTTAGGGCCCACCTTAATCCAGTATGACCTCCTTTCAGCTAATTACATTTGCAAGACTGTTTCCAAATAAGATTTTCTGAAGTTCCAGGTGGACATGCATTTTGTTGGGGAGGGGGATGCTGTTCAACTCACTATACATATATGTAGATTATGAATGGTTTAATCACTAAATATTAAGCGTGTCAAGTTTCATATATAACATTTATAAAATAGGGAACAAATTCTGTATGAGCAATCTTTAGTCTCATAATTATGTACTATTTGGTTTCCTCATCAAGATAGAGCTATATAAAATGCACTGGTAAGTCTTAAATCTTCCTTTCTTACATGAAAAGGCAAGTCCAAAAAGAAGAAATACAAATGGTCATTATATATTAATGAAAATATGTGCAGCATCACAATAATCAGGAAAGCACAAAAGCATTGGTAATAAATGATCATCTTTATGAATTGTAACGTGGCAGCATCAGAATTCAGAATGTTCACGTCCTTTGATCCACTATCCCACTTCTAGGAGTTTATCCTAAGGAACTATTTAAATAAGTGGATAAAAATATGTATACTGGCTGGGTGCAGTGGCTCACGCCTGTAATCCCAGCACTTTGGGAGGCCAAGGTGGACGAATCACCTGAGGTCAGGAGTTTGAGACCAGCCTGGCCAACATGGTGAAACCCTGTCTCTGCTAAAACAAAAATTAGCCAGGCATGGTGGCAGGTGCCTGTAATCCCAGCTACTTGGGAGGCTGAGGCAGGAGAATCGCCTGAATCTGGGAGGCAGAGGTTGCAGTGAGCCGAGATTGCGCCATTGCACTCCAGCCTGGGCGACAAGAGCAAAACCCTGTCTCAAAAAAAAAAAAAAAAAAAAAAAAAAAGATACTATGGTAGCATTATTATCATAGAGAATAACTGGAAACAACACAAATGTGTCTTTATGTGGAGTTGGTTAGATTATGGTACATCTCAGCCTCGGCAACATAGGGAGATCCCCCCCATCGCTAAAAAAAAAAAAATACTAGCTGGACATGGTGGCACACCCCTGTGGTCCCAGCTACTCAGAAGGCTGAGGTAGGAGGATTGCTTGAGCCCCAGACGTCAAGGCTACAGTGAGCTGTGATTGCACCACCGCACTCTAGCCTGGGTGACAGAGTGAGACCCTGTCTCAAAAAAACAAAAACAAAAACAAAAATTAAGGTACATCTGCAGAAAGGAATAAAATGCAGTCATTAAAAAGGATAAGGTAGAGGCCGGGTGCGGTAGCTCACGCTTGTAATCCCAGTTTGGGAGGCCGAGGCAGGCAGATCACCTGAGGTCGGGAGTTCCAGACCAGCCTGACCAACATGGAGAAACCCCATCGCTACTAAAAATACAAAATTAGCTGGGCATGGTGACACATGCCTGTAATCCCAGCTACTTGGGTGACTGAGGCAGGAGAATTACTTGAACCCGGGAGGTGGAGGTTGCAGTGAGCTGAGATCGCGCCATTGTACTCCAGCCTGGGCAACAAGAGCGAAACTCTGTCCCAAAAAAAAAAAGATAAGGTAGATAGTTGAATCTGTGTGTCTTTATACAGAAAGATGTTTGTGATATATTATTAAATGCAGAAAGATAGTGGAGTAGCATATGTGGTATGATCCTATTTATTTAAAAAAAATAAGTACTTTAAAATTTGTATGCATTCATGTATGTATGTATGTATTTATTTATTTATTTTAGAGACAGGGTCTTGCTCTGTTGCCCAGGATGGAGTGCAGTGGCGTGATTGTAGCTCACTGTAGCCTCTAACTCCCAGTCTCAAGCAATCCTCCCACCTTAGCCTCCTCAGTAGCTGGGACTACAGGCATGCACCACTATGCCTGGCTAATCTTTTTATTTTTTTGTAGAGACAGGGTCTCCCTATGTTGCCCAGGCTGGTCTCGAACTCCTGACCTCAAGTGATCCTCCCACCTTCCACTTCAGCTTCTCAAAGTGTTGGGATTACTGGCTTGAGCCACCACGCCCAGCCAGTACTTTCTTAAGTGGAAAGATTTGAAAAACAAAAATTTGCTTTTTTGCCTAACTTTAAAAATATGTTAAAAGCCTGCCCTCTGTGTTTATTTAAGGAACTACAATTATTATGAGGATTGTTCATGAAGAATTCTTACTAGCTCTGCAAAGGTTTATGTACATTTTAGATTTGGAGATGGATATTTTTTAATTTTAGGGAACCACTTAACCAAGATTTTGAAGGGTTTTGAGTGAAGAGTAAATTGGATGCTAAATTGCAAATAGCGGGTGATTTGTATTTGGCAAGTGCTAGCTTGAGAACCACACACAGTTTATTGTAGGAGACCTGTTAGTAGAACTAACGTAGTTTTCAGAATTTAAAAAAAAGGGTAGGCATTATATTTTCTCAAATATATACTTGTGCAGTTCCATGGTTGAGATTCTGCAGTCCTGTTCTGTGTAACTTGGAAAAGACATTAGCCTGAGGTTGTTAGGGCTAATCCATAAAAGGAACTTAAAGTGTAATTTTTGTAGAACATTTAAATTTCATAAGAACTACATTCTGAAACTATTTCTGCAAATGTTCCCCCAGATACTTTAGGAATTATTTTAGTGGTTTTATTTTATTTTTAAAGATCAACCACTTATTTAGAGGTAGATGCCTGCCAAACATGATCTTAGTTTTGGTATAACTGATGCTGAGCTGCTGTTTCTTGAAGTAATTAGCTAGAATAGCTGCTGAGTTTTTTTTTTTTTGTTTTGTTTTGTTTTTTGAGACAAAGTCTTGTCTACACTCTGTTGCCCAGGCTGGAGTGCAGTGGTGCGATCTCAGCTCACTGCCACCTCCGCCTCCCGGGCTCAAGCGATTCTTGTGCCACATCCTCCCGAGTAGCTGGGATTACAGGAGTGCGCTACCATGCCTGGGTAATTTTTGTGTTTTTAGTAGAAACGGGGTTTCACCATGTTGGCCAGGCTGGTCTTGAACTCCTGGCCTCAAGCAATCTGCCCACCTTGGCCTCCCAAGGTGCTGGGATTACAGGTGCGGGCCACCACGCTAGGCCTAGAATAGCTGCTTTTTGAGAATACTTTTCATCAGATGCAAGATGACTGTGTTGTCAGCATAAAGAAAATTGTTATCTTCCTACTTACTGTCACAGGGAGACCTAATACAGTAACTACTGAGTTGTTTAGTTGGAAATTAACACAGGAGGCTTTGTAGGGCACAGTCTTCTTTGACACCACTAAAGATTGAGTTTGTTTCTGTTATGAGATAGTTCTTGTCTATTCTAATTTTAAAACTATTATTTTGGTGTAGCCTTCATAGAAACATGAGTAGCATATAGGGTCTGTACAGCTTGTTAAAGTGACAAGTGTAGCATCTGGATCCTGCTGCTACTTGTGTGAGGTATTTTTTGAAACACTCCATCTTTCAGTGTGATGGAAATTGAAACCATACAAAAAGGTTTTTTGGATATGTAATACATTCACATGTTTAAAATTTTAAAAAGGATTAAAAAGTACTCAGTGAAAAGTCTCTCTTCCATTTTTGTAGTCTTTCAGAGTTTCTTTAGTATATGAAAGCAAATGTGAATGTGTACAGAATGGCCTGTTATGTATACTTTTATACTTTTTCACTGCAAGGTTATAAAGTATTTTTCCCATGCTTTCTTGAAATTTTAGTTTCATTTTTCATATTATAGTCTGGTTGGTGGAGTATTAAAGAGTTCTTATTTGATGTGGGCTCCTACCTGCTTTTTTTCAGTGTATAGCTGGGAACCCAGGAAGATGTTAGAAGATTATGTAAATCAGCTTTTCTGTATTTTAATTCTCCTGTGTCTTCATAGTTGGACCAGCTAATAATTCTTACTTTGAGGAAAGAGCTCTATTTAATGGCTGTACTGATCCCTCTGTGGGAACCTTGTAGAAGCTGCAGAGAATCTGTCACCTTTCTTGAGTTAGTGGTCTTTTCATTTTGGGGTGGTTCCGAGGGTCTCTGAGGAGATAATAGAAAATAAATATAATGAGGCACAGGTACTTCTACTTCTTTTAACATTAAAAAAATTAACAAGAATAAATCAATGACCAGTGATTTCTAATTGATTTAAAGGAGTAGTAGTGTGAGGGCATGGCAAAGGCCTGAGACAACTTGAGAGGTTGAAAATTGACTTGTTGAAGACCCTGTTAATGAAATTCTTTTTTTTTTTTTCTGAGATGGAGTCTCACTCTGTTGCCCAGGCTGGAGTGCAGTGGTGCGATCTCGGCTCACTGCAACCTCTGCCTTCCGGGTTCAAGCTATTCTCTGCTTCAGCCTCCCGAGTAGCTGGGATTACAGGTGCCCGCCACCACCCCCGGCTAATTTTTGTATGTTTAGTAGAGACGGGGTTTCACCATCTTGGCCAGACTGGTCTGGAACTCCTGACCTCGTGATCCACCCGCCTTGACCTCCCAAAGTGCTGGGATTACAGGCGTGAGCCACCACGCACGGCCATCAAATTCTTTAAAAAGTGAAATTTCTTGAAAGGCTAGGGAGTAGACCAGATATCCCAGAATGAAAACCAAGGTAAAGATATTCTGCATATATAGTATTCTATTTTGAACTAGAGAAGACTTTCTACTACAGTGGGGAAGGAGAAAAATGAAGGTACATTGGGACAGAGATCTGTCAGCAACTTGGTCATAGCCAGAAAGTGTCAAAACATAGTCTCAGACCCCTTCTTCTCTCCCACTTTTTTTTTTTTTTTCTTGAGATGGAGTTTCACTCTTGTTTCCCAGCCTGGAGTGCAATGGTGCAATCTTGGCTCACTGCAACCTCCTCCTCCTGGGTTCAAGAGATTCTCCTGCCTCAGCCTCCTGAGTAGCTAGGATTACAGGCACCTGCCACCACGCCTGGCTAGTTTTTCTATTTTTAGTAGAGACGGGGTTTCACCATGTTGGTCAGGCTGGTCTCGAACTCCTGACCTTAGGCAATCCACCTGCCTCGGCCTCCCAAAGTGCTAGGATTATAGGCGTGAGCCACCGTGCCCGGCTTCTCTCTCACTTTTAACAACCAATGTTAAAAGCACTAGACTGGGAAGACTGCATTGTGTGTTCACCTTGGTTGAATAAGGCTGTTTGGCTTATTTTTCCCTTCTTTGTCGTCCTGTGAACAGATATTGCTGGTGAATTCAAAGAGCAGTTACAGGCACTGATACCGTATGTATTAAACCCATCTAAGTTAATGGAAAAGGAGATCAATGGCTCAAAGGTCACCTGTCGGGGACTACTGGAGTATTTTAAGGTAAATATGGGTTTTAGTTATTAAAATGTTTGATTTTTGGTAAAGCTGATCTCACTCGTAAATCAACTTGAATTTAAATATTTTGAAACTTAAAAATTTTCTGGGGGAGATGGTGAGAGGCATTTTCAGAGACCTTGGTGTCCTTCCAGGAGTGGGCCATTGGGTGGCAGTATCGGTCTAAGAACCAAATGGATGTTCTTTGCACTCTCTTAGAGGAGCAATTAGCTGTGACTAAAGGAAGATTGTTCCTCAAGGAAGATGGTGTGGACAGGAGGTGGTTAGGAAGTTGCTGTGAGTAGGAGGAGACGGCACCTAGATGTGACACGACTACCTCAAGGCGGATGGTCACTCTGCCCACAGGTAGTGGTGAGGCCAGCGTGCATGGGGAGCTGGATGGGAATCCTAGCCTCTGTAGGCTTGTGCTGCTTGAGAACATTTTTAGTTAACTAAAAATGCTAACATGCACTCAAAGGTGTGTGGTGTGTTTTTGCTAATTCCTGGTTGTTGACCTAAGTCTTTAGGAAAATGCAGTTGTATGGTCACTTTCTAAAAATTAAATATGAGTAAGATATGACTGAATAACATTTTATAGCAGTTTTTATGTTTATATTTTAAGGCATATATTAAAATTTATCAAGGAGAAGATCTGCCTCACCCCAAGTCCATGCTTCAGGTAAACAATGATTTGACATCCTAAACGCTACCCTTAAATTACTTGAGTTGACCTGTATACAATAAGCAGAGTTCTTTAGGAAGAGAATGCACTTTTTCTCCTTTTTCATCATGCTGAGGTCTGTTAATTTTTTTTTAGCACATTTTGCAGTAGTGTGGCGACCTTTTCTAGTTCACTTGTTTGTATTCATGGTGGTACAGTTAAAACGAAATGGCCTCTCCTCACTGGGCCTAGTCTTTTCACCAAACACACTTTGGGAAGCACAGTTTATTATACGTGGTTGAAACATACCCACCATGTTAGACAAGCAAGTTCTTGTCATCTGTTGTTTATTTTTTTTATTTTTATATAATTTCTAATTTATTATTTTTTTGAGACAAGAGTCTCACTCTTGCCAAGGCTGGAGTGCAGTGGCACAATCTTGGCTCACCGCAACCTCCACCTCCTGGGTTCAAGTGATTCTTATACCTCAGCCTCCCGAGTAGCTGGGATTATAGGCATGTACCACCATGCCTGGCTAATTTTTGTATTTTTTAATAGAGATCGGTTTAGCCATGTTGCCCAGGCTGGTCTCCAACTCCTGGACTCAAGCAATCCGACCGTCTTGGCCTCCCAAAGTGCTGGGATTATAGGGGTGAGCCACCATGCCTGGCTATAATTTTTTTAATTAAAAGAAAAAAATAGGGATGTGGTCTTGCTGTGTCGCCCAGGCTGGTCTCAAACTTGGCTCAAGCGATGTGCCTGCCTCAGCTTCCCGAAGTGCTAAGATTACAGGTGTAAGCCACTGTGCCTGACCTGTTATTTACTTTAGTGGAACATGTCCTGACACACCTGTTTACTATTCACTAATCAGGTTTTTAATTTGCAACTAGAATGTCATTTGGTTAAAACATAATTTTTGACTTTCATATGTTGAACATAAGGGGATTTATTGCCAAGTGTTGATTTATTTTGTAGCAGAAAATTTTCATAAAGGGAGCTAGAGCCTGGGATTGACATTGCAAATAATTTTTTCCTTTTTTTTTTTGAGGTGGAATCTTGCTCTGTTGCCCAGGCTGGAGTGCAGTGGCACAATCTCGGCTCACTGCAAGCTCCACCTCCTGGGTTCACGCCATTCTCCTGCCTCAGCCTCCCGAGTAGCTGGGACTGCAGGCGCCTGCCACCACGCCCGGCTAATTTCTTTGTATTTTTAGTAGAGACAGGGTTTCACCGTGTTAGCCAGGATGATCTCGATCTCCTGACCTCGTGATCTGCCCGCCTCAGCCTCCCAAAGTGCTGGGATTACAGGCGTGAGTCACCGCGCCCAGCCCCCTTTTTTTTCTTCTTCTTCTTTTTTTTTTTTTTTTTTAAATAGAAACAGGATCTAGCTGTGTTGAGCAGGCTGGTGTTGAATTCTTGGACTCAAGTGATCCTCCCACCTCAGCCTCTCAAAGTGCTGGGATTACAGGCGTAAGCCACCACACCCGGCTTTTTCCTTTTTTTTTTTTTTTTTTTTGTTTGAGACAGAGTCTTGCTCTATTGCTCAGGCTGGAGTGCAGTGGCGTGATCTCGGCTCACTGCAACCTCTACCTCCTGGGTTCAAGTAGTTCTCCTGCCTCAGCCTCCTGAGTAGCTGGGACTACAGGCGCACATCACCACGCCTGGCTAATTTTTTTGTGTTTTTGGTAGAGATGGGGTTTCAACATGTTGGCCAGGCTGGTCTTGAACTCCTGACCTTATGATCCGCCAGCCTCGGCCTCCCAAAGTGCCAAAGTGCTGGGATTACAGGCGTGAGCCACCACGCCCAACCTTTCCTTCTTCTTTTTTTTTTTTTTTTGACTCACATCTATTTCTTAAAGTTGGAGCAATGGAGCCAGGTGTGGTGGCTTACTCCTGTAATCCCAGCACTTTGGGAGGCTGAGGTGGGCAGATCACTTGAGCCTGGGAGTTCAACATCAGCTTGGGCAATATAGGGAGACTCTAGCTCTGCAAAACAAAAACTTAAAAAGTTAGCCAAGCGTGGTGGCACGCACTGGCAGGAGGATGGCTTGCATTCAGGAGGCGAAGGTTGTAGTGTGCTGAGATTACCACTGAACTCCAGCCTGGGTGACAGAGTGAGGCTCTGTCTTAAAAAAAAAGAAAAATTTAAACAATTAAAAAATAAATTGATGCAATGGAAATAATATTTTCCTTGAATTTTGGAGATTTAATTTTTGCTAAAGATTCTTATGTATAAGAATACATATTTCTATGTATATGAACTTCTACCTTTTTTTGGTAGAAAATTTGGCAGAAAAAGTGTATTCTATTTCATCAGTTGAACTATATGGAAATCTAGAAAAATAGAAGGTTAATAAAAAAGGAAGAATGGGGAATAGAGAAGATTTTTGTTAGGTTATTTGTGGAGGAATGTTAAAAGAGGAAGGATTTACAGTTCACGTTTTTCTCTCTTAAAAGGCCACTGCTGAAGCCAACAACTTAGCAGCTGCAGCCTCTGCCAAGGACATTTATTATAACAACATGGAAGAGGTACGTGGGACATACGCCTTATTCTGAAATATCTATAATCTGGGCATTGTTGCTGACTTCAAAAGCCCAACTTGATCCTACTTAATGTATCTTTAAGTGATGAGGCAATAAACTTATATTCAGGTTGTCCTGGTAACGGGGGCCTTCTAATTATTACCATTTCTTTGTTTGTTTGTTTGTTCTTGTTTTGTTTTGTTTTGTTTTGAATAGCAAATAGTTTATTGGTAAGTACATAGTTTCAATGGGAGTAATAAATTCACATGAGCAGGAGACAATAATCAAGTCAAAAGAATAAATGCTTACTAATCATCAGAAAATCTGTGGCCATTAAGGCTGGCACATAAAAATCCAAAATCACTCAGAGGCCGAATCTTAAAAGAAGATTCGTCCTCTTATTAGTTCATATGGAATAGGTCCATAGTAACTGGAATCTGTAGAATTCTGTAGATTTATCACCTTCTAACCAAACATGACCCACTGGGACATAACTGTAGCTTTTAAAGAAATCTGATGGACTAGTGGTGAGGATTTTGTCTCCTTCCAAACCAGTTACTCTTTTACAAATATTTGATGTTGGATCACTTGGGCTTTTTGCAATCACAATGTCACCTCTTTGGATACTATCAAAATGTCGACTAAGATTTTGTGCAAAGACAGTATCTGAATTTTGAATTGTAGGCTCCATTGATGGTCCAGAACACATGACAACACCACCAACGTATTCAGAAGCACAGTGAGCTATACAGCCATACTGAATAGCATAGCCAACAAGTCAGAAGGTTTCCCCAGAGCACCACGAAGCATAGTTCTATGTAGACTCTGCCACCATTGGTCATAGATCTGTTCTATAATTCATTTAATTTTTAGGGAAGTCGCAGGGCTTCCAGAAAAAAAAAATTAAAGCATGTCTCAAAGCGTATGTGGGTGATCCATGATTTCAGGAATCCTCGGGTCCCAAAGAACCCTGAGGACCCTCAACCAGGACACAGGTGGGCCTTTCTCACCTGGGCCCTGCAGAAGTCGACCGTTTGCTTTTGTTTTTTAGAGACGGAGTCTCACTCTGTCGCCCAGGCTGGAGTGCAGTGGTGCGATCTCGGCTCACTGCAACCTCCGCCTCCCGGGTTCAAGCGGTTCTCCTGCCTCAGCCTTCTGAGTAGCTGGGATTACAGGTGCCTGCCATCACGCCCGGCTAATTTTTTTTGTGTTAGTAGAGACGGAGTTTCACCATGTTTACCAGGCTGATTTCAAACTCCTGACCTCAAGTGATCTGCCCGCCCTGGCCTCCGAAAGTGCTGGGATTACAGGCGTGAGCCACCGCACCCGTCCCAGTGTCACTGCTCTTTCCAATTGATATTATCACCCTGGTTTTTTAAGTGTGCTTTTCAGAGGAAGTGAAACTAGACTTTATTGGTCTTAGTCATCTTTTAAAAGTTAACTTATTAATACATTGTTAACATCTTAAAACATTCTAATCCTTTCATTATCTTTTCATGTTTTATTTGGCACTTGTTTTTGAAGAGATCTTTTAACATATTGTTTCTTTGTTCTTTTTAGGTTTGTGGGGGAGAGAAACCTTATTTGTCTCCAGACATTCTAGAGGAGAAGCACTGTGAATTCAAACAACTTGCTCTGGACCATTTTAAGAAGACCAAGAAGATGGGTGGGAAGGATTTCAGCTTTCGTTACCAGCAGGAGCTGGAGGAGGAAATCAAGGAATTATATGAGAACTTCTGCAAGCACAATGGTAGCAAGAACGTCTTCAGCACCTTCCGAACCCCTGCAGTGCTGTTCACGGGCATTGTAGCTTTGTACATAGCCTCAGGCCTCACTGGCTTCATAGGTCTTGAGGTTGTAGCCCAGTTGTTCAACTGTATGGTTGGACTACTGTTAATAGCACTCCTCACCTGGGGCTACATCAGGTATTCTGGTCAATATCGTGAGCTGGGCGGAGCTATTGATTTTGGTGCCGCATATGTGTTGGAGCAGGTAAGTGGTGCTGCTGAAGAGCCTGAGGGTTGATAATGGGCAGATATTTGTGCTTCTGTTGTAAAATATCTCAGTTTGGAAGAATTTCATAGTGAAGACATGAGACAGTGGCCACTCCGTTGGCTGTTGTTTTCTGATAGACTGTATGTTTTATTATCCTTTAGGATATTAATATTTATTCTTAATATTTTGTTTCCATGTCTAAAAAGGCCCCCGCCCCGCTTTTTTTTTTTTTTTTTGAGACAAAGTCTCGCTGTGCTCTCTTGCCCAGGCTGGAGTCCAGTGGCATGATCTTGGCTCACTGCAACCTCCGCCTCCCAGGTTCAAGTGATTCTCTTGCGTCAGCCTCCCAAGTAGCTGAGACTACAGGTGTGTGCCACCACGGCCCGCTAGTTTTTGTATTTTTAATAGAGACAGGGTTTCACCATGTTGACCAGGCTGGTCTCGAACTCCTGACCTCATGGTCCGCCTGCCTCGGCCTCCCAAAGTGCTGGGATTACAGGTGTGAGCCACCGTGCCCAGCCCAAAAATAGCCCTTTAATGCAAAAACATTCCAACTTAGACATACTGATTGTGTTCCCCTTTGGCAACTTTTTTTTTTTTTTTTTTTTTTGAGACAGATTTTTACGCTTTTGCCCAGGCTGGAGTGAAGTGGTGTGATCTTGGCTCACTGCAACCTCTGCCCACTGGGTTCAAGTGATTCTCTTGCCTCAGCCTCCCAAGAGTAGCTGGGATTATAGGTGCCTGACACCATGCCCAGTTAATTTCTGTATTTTTTTTTTTTTTTTTAGTAGAGACAGTGTTTTGCCATGTTAGCTAGGCTGGTCTTGAACTCCTGACCTCAGGTGATCCACCCACCTCGGCCTCCCAAAGTGCTAGGATTATAGGCATGAGCTATTGCGCCTGGTCGGCAACTTCTAATTACATGCTCTTCAGACATAATTTTTATGTGATTCTCACTTCTCACCCCCTCTAGATTAATTTACTTCATTGAAAAGCAAGAACTTTGAAAAAATTATGAACTTAACGAAAAATGTTCGGTTTTGAGTCCTACTGGATTAGGAAAGGGATGGTATCTTTTTTATTTAAAAATCTTCCAAAAGCCAGTGGCTTGGTTATTTATTTATTGGGTTGCTTATTTATTTATTTATAAAATTTTTTTTGGAGACGAGGTCTTGCTTTGTCACCCAGGCTGGTATCTTAGCTCATTGTAACTTAAAACTCCTGGGCTCAAGTGATCCTCCCACCTCAGCCTCCCAAGCAGCCGGTGTTACAGGCGAGTGCCACCACACCTGACTAACCCAGTAGCTCTTGGACATTGACATGGTCACAAGTTTTGTAGATCTTTGAGATGATACATTTGTTTTTCTGAGTAACATGAACAGGTGAGTTGGGTTAGCAGCTTGTGAAGCCACAGGAGCTGCCTATCCTACCCTAGCCACAGAGCAGATGTTCCCCTGGCTCTCTTGGGAGTTAGCTGCTGCCACAGCCTCTCTGTATCCCTGCATTTTCATTCAACTGCTTTCTGTAACATGCCGATGATGGAGACAGGTTTTTGAAAGTTTAAGGACTTACTTTCTTGTTGCTGTGTTGTATTTTATTAACTTATATGTTGAATAAATGGACTTTTGCAGGCTTCTTCTCATATCGGTAATTCCACTCAGGCCACTGTGAGGGATGCAGTTGTTGGAAGACCATCCATGGATAAAAAAGCTCAATAGCATCTTAACGTGAAGATCAAACAAGAACACAACAAGCCCCTACTGATTTCTGGGTTTCTGCCACGGCCACAGGTTCATATCCAGAGGAATGGCAGATCTGAGACGATCCAGGAAGAGCTAAAACATGGCCCTGTAATAAATGAGCAGACCTCTCCTGTGGTTTCAAATTATTAAACACACTTCCATTTCTCTTGGAAGCATTTCTTTTCCTTGCTGTTATAGATGCAAGCCTGTGTCTATTTTCATATTACTCTGCTTTGTGCACTTTATGGAGGAGGAAGCTAGAGGAAAAATGGAAATGCAGCTTTTAAGTTCTTTATGTGCCACTTAGTGCCTTTTAAGATTGATTCCATGGTTTTGCACACACGATGGGGAGGGGATGGAGGATAACCTCATGAAAGGTGCCGTTTTCGGGTGAAACTTGACATTTCTTTTATACTTTACTCTTTTGAGAAGGATTCTTTTTTTTTTTTTTTTTTTTTTTGAGTTGGAGTCTCGCTCTGTCACCAGGCTTGAGTGCAGTGGTGTGATCTTGGCTCACTGCAACCTCTGCCTGCCGGGTTCAAGCAGTTCTCCTGCCTCAGCCTCCCAAGTAGCTGGGACTACAGGTGTACGCCACCATACCCAGCTAATTTTTTTGTATTTTTAGTAGAGATGGGGTTTCACCATGTTGGCCAGGATGGTCTTGGTCTCTTGACCTTGTGATCCGCCTGCCCGCCTTGGCCTCCCAAAGTGCTGGGATTACAGGCGTGAGCCACCGTGCCCGGCCAAGAAGGATTCCTTTTTTAAAAGTTTACAGAACTTGGAGAAACTTCAGAACTAAAGACTAACTGAAAATGATGTCATTACACTCAAAAAAAATTTACAATAGGGAATCCTGTTGCCACATAGTGTGGAAAAATCATGTCATATTTAAATATACCATACTCTGAAATGTGAGGTTTTTACCCAGTAGGCTGACAGTTTTGTTGCAACTTGCTCTATTTTTTTTTTTTTTTTGGTCCCTATAGCTTCTTTCTAGAAAAAGAGGCAAACGTGCCTTGAAAAGCCAGAGTGGCTCATAATAAAAGGAATGCGCTAGATACTTCAAGAAAAAAGCTAAGTTTAAATGAACCATGTGACCTCTGATAAGTCACTTGAACTTGTGCCTTGGTCAGGTTCACTGTAGGTTTACATATGTATGTATGTTTTACACAACTCTTGTAATTGTCATTTGAGGGGTTTTGTTTTTGAGAGTT
The DNA here is from genome assembly GCF_000001405.40 of Homo sapiens. Taxonomy (NCBI): domain Eukaryota; kingdom Metazoa; phylum Chordata; class Mammalia; order Primates; family Hominidae; genus Homo; species Homo sapiens. The sequence goes on along the minus strand of NC_000011.10, from coordinate 63,628,080 downwards.
CTGCATAAGAACAGAACTTTATTAAGGATTAGAGGGAAGATACAAATATTACTGCGTTTAATTGATGTCTAATTTCATGTGGCTTAGCAGCAATTAATAACCTGATTTAAGGTCTTTATTCAGAATGTTAATTTGCATTCTCTGCCGTGTCTAATGTTCTTAATAATGAAGCTAAAATTAACCCATTTTATTTAGTGAATTATCTATTTAATTTTACTTTGGCTAGTCTGGTAGCTTTAAGATAGCTTTGCCTTAGCAAGGATCAAAGTCCTACCCAAATATAAAAAATATCTAGAAGTATCTAAGAGTTCTTTTTTTCTATTTACCTTGATTAGGAGATAAAAGTTTTATCTGTTAGTTGCTTTTCCTTTTGGAATTATTGTGGATTTTAAAACTTAAAACTTGCCTGCAAGTATTTATATAAACATTCAGGTATATAAGCCTTAATTTCTAAGATAATTTAACTTTTGTTATGGGAGGGAGGTAAGAGTGTAAATTTTATATACATGAAGGTAAGATCTGAGTGTAAACTTTACATACATGAAGTATGAATGGAAGGTAGAAAAAAAGTCCCTTTTCGCATGTAATCTCTTTATCAAAGAATTTTCTTTTGACACTTTACCACTGAAGTATTTTTGTAAGTCCTAAATTCGCAGCATATTGTTTCATATTTATATGCCATCTTGCAAATAGTTCTTGCTATTTTATTCACTGCTGTTACACTTTAGAAAAATTCCAGCTTGTTTACTTGCATTTATCAGTGATGCCAACCAAGCTTTGACTGTTAACTTGAAAGCTTGCTTCTGAAATGTTGGTGCATTTTCAGGTGACCTCTTATCTCTCTGAAAGTTCATACCTATTAGCAGGCTCTGTAAATATTGACATACTTAGCTTTTAATACATTCTATAAGTAAATTTATAGATTTCAGAATAACTTAAAAAATTTAATGGTAAGAAGGGGTGATGTGTCGAAAACTCATACTAAAGTATTAGGTCACTTTAAAAAAAGTGATAATGTATGATTTAATGAAATCTTAAGATTCAGTTACTATTTAAATTCACCATTTCTGTTTTGGTCTTATAAAGAGACCTTGGTTTAATTATCCAGAGGAAGTCCTCTTCACCATTTTTTTTTTTTCTTAGTTCTGCTTCTGGAAAGTGTTTTATAAAGTTTTCTCAGTGAGGGTTCTTAAGAGTTTTCTTTGGCCTCTTTTCTCTCAACAGTAAATTGATGATTTTATATCAGCTTTTTCAATAAAAGATGCATTATCATTACTGGCTATAAATCATCCTGGGGAGATTTATAACCAGGTTAAAAATAATATCTTTTACTTCTCTCACCTTTTACTTGTGGTTCAGATGCTCAGACTGTGCCTGTTTGCGTCGTGTCTGTTGCTCTGCCGCTTTCCATGCAGGCATTTTTAATTTTACACAATCCTAACAATATATGGAACTCATTCCTATGAATATATAAAAGGAGGCTTCCAAAATTTTCTATTAAAATATTTCAGGATAAATTAAGTGTTGATAATTTGAAAAAATAATTTCAATGAGCTGCTTATAGTAAAAATGGTAGAATCAGAGTTTTCATTCTTTGAGAAATCTTTCTGTAAGATTGGCTCATAGATAAAATGAGACAAACTACTATGTATGATAAAACACCTTCAGAGTCATGCCTTGTTTTATTTTATTTTATTTTTTGAGACAGAGGTCTCGCTCTGTCGCCCAGGTTGGAGTGCAGTGGTGCAATCTCGCTCACTGCAACCTCCACCTCCCAGGTTCAAGCGATTCTCCTGTCTCAGCTTCCTGAGTAGCTGGGACTACAGGTGTACACCACCACGCCTGGCTAATTTTTGTTTTTTTACTAGAGGTGGGGTTTTGCCATGTTGGCCAGGCTGGTCTCAAACTCCTGACCTCAGGTGATCCACTCCCCCCAGCCTCCCAAAGTGCTGGGATTACAGGCATGAGCCACCCCGCCCAGCTGAGTCATGCCTTATTTTCGTAGTATACCAAGAAATGTTCTATGGAAGTTTACGTTTTAACACCTCTTTTATACTTGGTAAAATTGCCTGTGTTTCGCTTTATTCCTTTTTTTTTTTGAGACGGACTCTTGTACTGTCACCCAGGCTGAAGTGCAGTGGCGCAATCTTGGCTCACTACAACCTCCGCCTCCTGGGTTCAAGTGATTCTTTTGCCTCAGCCTCCCAAGTAGCAGGGATTACAGGCATGTGCCACCACACCCGGCTTATTTTTGTATTTTTAGTAGAGACAGGGCTTCGCCATGTTGACCAGGCTGGTCTCAACTCCTCTGGGAATCCGCCTGTCTTGGCCTTCCAGGGTGCTGGGATTACAGGCGTGAGCCACTGGAACCTGGCCTTGTTTTGCTTTATTTTTTCTCTTACATGAAGTAAAGCGCTTTGGTCAAACACACAAAAATACTGCCTTGTACTGGTGGTTGGTTTCATTAGTGGATCACACACAGTGTTCTACTTGGCTTGTAAAATGGTGCCTTGGATAGGGTGAGTTTGGATAAGTATGTATGTATGTATGAGTTATAGCAAAATTAAGTAGATTGAATCAAGTCCATGCAAAAGCAATAAAACAGTTTTAATTTTTTAATTTTTTAAAAATTAAAACTTTAATAAAACAGTTTTTAATTTTTTGCTAGGTTCTTTTAAAAAATGATGTAACTTACATGGAAGTCTTCACAGGACTTTTTTCTTTCCTGGAACTATTGAAATGTAATTTAGGATGATTTGATCTTCCATCTCAAGTTGTCAACATGGCTGTGTCATTCTGGCTTACATATGTTTTATTTAACAAAATTCTAGTCAAGGGATAAGGGCATAATGAAGACAAGCTTCAGTTATGAAAGTACAAACTATTTGTGTGATTAATTTTTAAAAATGACATTAAGAAGCCCATTGTAAAATAATATTTGCAGTCAAATGGTTTTTCTTGCTGTAAGTCCTGTTGTAGCTATGTTTAGGGTAGTGGTTCTCATCTACCTTGGAGTGCATAAGACTTACCTAGCAGGCTTGTTTAAAAAGTTCAGATTCCTAGCTTTGTACCCAGGGATTGCCTCAGGTGGTATGGGCTGTGGTCCTGGAGTCATCACTTTTATAAATAGTGGTTCAGAGACCACAGAGAGAGACTGCTTCATCGAATGGGAAGTACCAAGGAGAAAGTACAATTCAGTATTGTCTGGAGGCAAGTGGACACTTTGTACCTGAGGTTTAGAATAGGTGGTCTCTTGCCAGTACAATCCCCAGGCGTTTTCTGTGTTCAGAAGTAGTAAGAATGCCTTTAATTCAGAGGATTATCTAAGCTCTTTAAAGCTGTTTTTCTCCATTGTCATAGTGCCTTCTCTGAAAAATGAATGTACAGGTATCCTATTTTCTAATGTAATTAGGATTTTTTAAAAGCAATTTTTGATAGTTTTTCTTTTAAAAAGTAAAATTCAGCACTGTGACTTGAACCCCCAAATCTTTCACATACAGGTGAAACATTAAGCCACAAATAAAAATAATGAACAAGAAAGAAGACAAGATCCTAATTCCTGTCATTAGTGACCTAAGTACCCCATATCAGAAACTTTGCAAAACAGATCTAGGGACAGAAGGGCTTTGAAAGACATTTTTCTTTGGGGCAAATTTCGTGTGCCAGAACTACAGTTTAAATGTTTTTATGAGCAAGGGAAGGTAGCATTGATTCCCATAGCTTTCTAATTAGATACATGCTGTCATGGATGTAAGCCTTAAAGGAGTTAATACTAATCTTGTACATACACAAATTTTCCTCAGGTTTTTTTATTTTAAAAAATGATTTGTTAAAAGTACTGTCTGCTAGACCCTTGCCTTTGAGTGGCTTTGAAACTTAATATAGTTTTTAAAAAGTGCAATGGGATGAGATTATGCTATTAGTATATTAAAAGCATGTTTCTGTTTTACTCCAATTTGTAAGATCATTTAATGGAATAAAGATCACAACACCATGTTATCTGTGTTTTCTTTCTCTGTGTTTTTAATATGGGAGGTTCTGTGAAATAGTTTGGCTTGGCAAAGTGAATAAGACTTCTGACGGGATAGTGGCAATGTGGTTTGAGTTAGCTTTCTCTGTCCTACAAAACGACACTGAACAAGTGTCTTACTAGCATAGTCCTGGAGAAGGCTCTATTGTTGGCAGGGTTGCTTAAAAGTGAGCACAAGGGCCAGGTGTCGTGGCTCACTCCTGTAATCAGCACTTTGGGAGGCTGAGGTGGGAGAAATGCTTGAGCCCAGGAATTTGAGACCAGCTTGGGCAACATATGGAGACACTTTCCACCTCTGTCTCTACAAAATAAAAGTGCATAGTGGCACCCACCTGTAGTCCTAGCTACTCGGGAGGCTGAGGCAGGATGATCACTTGAGCCCAAGAGTTTTGAGACCAGCTTGGGCAACATATGGAGACACCTTCCACCCCGTCTCTGGAAAAAACAAAAAACAAACCCAGGCATGACGGTGCGCACCTGTAGTCCTAGCTGCTCTGGAGGCTGAGGCAGGATGATCACTTGAGCCCAGGAGTTGGAGGCAGCAGTGAATTACGGTCCCATCACTGTACTGCAGCCTGGGCAACAGCAAGACCCTGTCTCTCAAAAAAAATTACGCAAATTTCATTTACAGTAACATGGACTTGTGAAGACCTCTGAATTTGTAGCACTTTCATTTAGTTGCCCCATCTGGAGCCAGCTGATTAAACAGTTGCTCTTCAGGGGTGGGGGCAGGGAACGTAAATCTCTACTTAAAGCTTTCTCTTTCACTGATGGACACAGTGAGGAGATTGAATTGAACTTCTCAAATACGACAAATAGCTAGACATACCCCATTTAGCCCTACAGTAAAAAGATTTCTTCCCAAGTTGGAAACACTGGGTGGGATCAGCAGACTTTCTCTATCCAACCATCCATCCCTGGTTGTTACCATGTGTCAGGTGCTTTGCCAGGTGCTGCCCTTGAGTTCATCACAGTTTAGCAGGGAAGGGGCAAACTCAGAGGCTGATGATGTGAAGAGTATGGTGAAAACAAAGATTCAGGACTTGGGTGCCACCATCTACACTGATGTGTAGACGCTCTCAGCATAAACTGGGGAGAAGGAAGGACCAGGGTGACGAATGCGGTCCTGTATAGATGGGGAGCAGTCAAGCAAGCTGGCTTGTCTTTGGCGCATTGACATTCTTGCTTTTGATTATCATATATCACTTTGCAAAAGACAAGTCCAACTCTAATTAGCTTAAAGAAGGAAAAAATTGTTAACTGGGAAAAAGTTTCTTGTAATCGGACATATAGGGGTAAAGCTGACATCAGGCACTGGAGGAACTCAAATGTCAACAGGGCTCTTATTTCAGTGTTCAGTGACCTATTTATCTGCTGTTGCAGATAGGTTTCCTCCATGCCCCAGGGGAGGACAGGCACCAGTGGTTCCAGGTTTATGTCATCCCACTTTAATGTGCCCTGAGGAAACAGGCTTTTTTTTTTTTTGAGCTACCTATGAAAAAACACGTGTGTATATCTCCATTCCAGAGAAGGCTTCTGATTTGTTTGGCTTGAGTCATGCTCCTTCCATGGTCAACACTAGCCTGGCCTCTGAGGCATTATAACCAGCCAGACCTAGGGTGCAGGTGTCTGTAGTCAGAGTGATGACCACGTGCTATGACTGACAGCTCCACCAGAACCACATGGAGTCACCAAATGAAAGACTGCTGGGCAGACCAAAACAAATAATCCATTACAGATAACCAATTCCAGTTAACAATGGCCATTGAACAACAAGAGACACAAAACCTGGACATTTCCCAGGTTAAAGGTTCTGGAATTTTTTTGTTGTTGTTGTTTGTTTCTCTGAGACTGAGTCTTGCTCTGTCGTCAAGGCTGGAGTGCAGTGGTGCAATCTTGGCTCATTGTAACCTCCGCCTCCCGGGTTCAAGCGATTCTCCTGCTTCAGTCTCCTGAGTAGCTGGGATTACAGGCGCCCGCTGCCATGCCCAGTTAATTTTTGTATTTTTGGTAGAGGCGGGATTTCGCCATGTTGGCCAGGCTGGTCTTGAACTCCTGACCTCATGTGATCCACCCACCTTGGCCTCCCAACGTGCTGGGATTACAGGCGTGAGCCACCAGTCCTGGCCTTCTGGAATGTTTTATTTTTATTTTTATCTTATTTTTTTTGAGACAGAGTCTCGCTCTGTGCCTAGGCTGGAGTGCAGTGGCTCAATCTCGGCTCACTGCAACCTATGCCTCCCGGGTTCAAGCGATTCTCTTGCCTCAGCCTCCTGAGTAGCTGGAATTACAGGCACGCACCACCATGCTAATTTTTGTATTTTTAGTAGAGATGGGGTTTCACCGTGTTGGTCAGGCTGGTCTCGAACTCCTGACCTTGTGATCCGCCCGCCTCAGCCTCCCAAAGTGCTGGGATTACAGGCGTGAGCCACCGTGCCCAGCCTCTAGAATGTTTTTTTTAAAGAGAAGGTAGAGATGGTTATGCTGCACATTTAGGCAGTGGAAGCTCTTCAGGGCATTTCAATAGGGATTTGTTCTCTTTCCTCTTCAGTAGGACTTGGGTTTCAAAGGGGATTCAGAAGGAAGTTATACTTCACTTTTGGTTTCTTTCATAAAAGCCTGATTTTTCTGGTCAGAGGAAACTATCAAAATTGGCATAGTCACATGTTTTACACCTGTGAAAACCCTGCATTCAGCTGGCTGGTGGAGCACTTGAGACATACTCCCATTTTGAATGTTGTCATGTTGTGAAATTTGTGGTTTCTGTTCCTTGTTGTGAACTTTGTGGATTCTGTTCCTTGTGTGCAAAGAAGCATTGCAAACAGCTTCCCTTTAAATGCAGTTTCCCTAAAAAAAAAAAAAAAAAAACAAAATGCAGTTTCCCTGTTCACTTTCTCTCGTCACCCTTGCACCCTTTCTTTCTCCTGCCCTGGCCTTCCTGTGTGTCACCCAGCTTGCTCAGATTCCCCATTGGGCCTATTAGGCCTGCAAAGCAAATTAGCCTGTGCAATTTTCTCCCACCTGCTCAGCTATTCCTCCTCAGAGAGTCAGCAAAACAATGGATTCTGGAGGATCCATCTATCCTCCTTAGAAGGCAGAGAATGGAGAGATTACAAATACTTAAAAACTGGCCAGGCATGGTGGCTCATGCCTGTAATCCCAGCACTTTGGGAGGCTGAGGCAGGCAGATCATCTGAGTTCAGGAATTCGAGACCAGCCTGGCCAAAATGATAAAACCCTGTCTGTACTAAAAATACAAAAATTAGGCGTGGTAGCGTGGGCCTGTAATCCCAGCTACTTGGGAGACTGAGGCAGGAGAATCGCTTGAACCTGGGAGGCGCAGGTTGCAGTGAGCTGAGATCATGCCACTGCACTCCAACACTCTAGTCTGGGAGACATAGCAAGACTCCGTCTCAAAAAAAAAAAAAAATTAATAGTTTCCTCCTTATCACAAGAGGAATGGGGCTTCATAGCCATGCTATGCAGAAAAGCCTGGAAGCTTTGGAGGTGGACACTAGTTGGATCCTGGCATCACAGTCCACCTGTCCACCTGCTCTGTGCGGGGGGTAAGGACCGTCTTGTTGGTGATGGTGTGGCATCATGGGGCAGTTTCTCAGTAAGTCCCGGGGCCTTTCTTAGAGAGCTCCTCTTTTGAGAACTGTGTGAGAAGTGAAAATACATAGCCCTCAGTACTGTTCCCCCTTCCCAGTATGATTTTTTTTTGGTTTTGTTTTGCTTTTTTTCTGGCACAGCAACAGGAAAAGATAAGGGAGGTGACATCTGGGTGCTTCTGGAAGCAGAGGGTGAGGAAAGGCAGAAGTCAGCCCGGCTGCCTCAAAACCGAACCTGTCCATCCTGGGTTTGGATGACCTTATAGTCAGTCCCTGGCTCAGGGTGCTCCGTAATTTGTTTGATGAGTGATAAGGCACATAAAGCTATGGTATTTATATTGCCTCTGAGTCTCCTTGTCAGAAAGCTGGTGAAGATCATGTGATGTTGATGGGCACATACCTATTCTCATGTTAATAACAGCCACCGTGTGTTGTGTGAGGATTTACCACGTGCCAGACGTCAGGCTCAGCACTTTATTTTTATTTTATTTTATTTTATTTTATTTTTTGAGACGGAGTCTCCCTCTGTCACCCAGGCTGGAGTGCAGTGGCACGATCTCAGCTCACTGCAAGCTCCGCCTTCCGGGTTCACACCATTCTGCCTCAGCCTCCCAAGTAGCTGGGACTACAGGCGCTGCTACCATTCCAAGCTAATTTTTTGTATTTTTAGTAGAGACGGGGTTTCACCATGTTAGCCAGGATGGTCTCAATCTCCTGACCTCGTGATCTGAGGGCTCAGCACTTTATAAGCATCATTTCATTTGTTGCTCTGTCTTTGGGGAATGTATTTTTTTTTTTACATTTTTTTATTTTGAGACAGAGTCTCACTCTGTTGCCCAGGCTGGAGTGCAGTGGCATATCTCGGCTCACTGCAACCTCCATCTCCCGGGTTCAAGCGATTCTCCTGCCTCAGCCTCTCAAGTAGCTGGGACTACAGGTGTGTGCCACCACACCCGGCTAATTTCCTATTTTTAGTAGAGATGGAGTTTCACCATGTTGGCCAGGATAGTCTCGATCTCTTGACCTCGTGATCCTCCCGCCTCAGCCTCCCAAAGTGCTGGGATTGCAGGCGTGAGCCACTGCGCCCTGCCAGGGAATGTATTCTTAAACATTATACAATATCACTAAGGCCCTATTTTACAGACAAACAGTTCAGAGAAGAAAACATGGCCTGGGCCCTACAACTATTATAGTAAGTGGCAGGGTCAGGATTTGGTCCGGACATCCTGACTGCAAGGCTCAGTACTGGCACTGGAGTGGTAGGAATACAGAGATGAACAAGAGCTGGTTCTACTCGTGTGAAGTCATATCCCAGTGCAGAGAAAGAGCCTGTGTTGGTCATTCATTCTTCATTCATGCTTTCATTCATGGAATGCCTATGGTGTGCTAGGTTTTTTTTTTTGAGATGGAGTCTCGCTGTGTGGCCCAGGCTGGAGTGCAGTGGTGCAATCTCAGCTCACCGCGACCTCTGCCTCCCAGGTTCAAATGATTCTCCTGCCTCAGCTTCCTGAGTAGCGGGGATGGGATTACAGGTGCCCAGCACCATGAGTGGCTAATTTTTATATTTTTAGTAGAGATATGGTTTCACTGTGTTGGCCAGGCTAGTCTCGATTTCCTGCGCTCAAGTGATCTGCCTGCCTCGGCTTCCCAAAGTGCTGGGATTCCAGGTGTGAGCCACCATGCCCAGCCGATGTGCTAGGTTTTGTGCAAGGATTTGGGGATATGTGATGACATTAAGACCCAATAGTTAAAAGCACTTTCTGCTAGATCCTTGCCTTTGAATAGCTTTAAATTTAATACAGTTTTGTGAGCCCCACCTCCATCCTCTTAGGGTCTCAGCTGGGCCTAAGAACTACATTGACATAAGATAGATCAACAGGGCCAGGTGTGGTGGCTCACACCTGGAATCCCAGCATTTTGAGAAGCTGAGGCGGGATGATTACTTGACCCCAGAGTTGCAGACGAGGCTGGGTGACATAGTAAAACACTGCTGCTTAAATAAAAAAAGAAATTAGCCAGTTGTGCAGTGGGCACCTGTCATCCCAGCTACTTGGGAGGCTAAGGTGGGAGAATCACTTGAGTGCAGGAGGTCAAGGCCATAGTGGTGAGCTATGATCTCATCACTGACTTCACCCTGGGTGACAGAGCGAGACACTGTGTTATTGCACTGCTATAAATAAATACCTGAGACTCAGTAATTTATAATGAAAAGAGGTTAAGTCGGTTGCGGTCGTTCACACCTGTAATCCCAGCACTTTGGGAGGCCGAAGTGGGCGGATCACCTGAGGTCAGGAGTTTGAGATCAGCCTAGCCAACATGGCAAAACCCCGTCTTTACTAAAAATAGAAAAATTAGCTGGATATGGTGGCACATGCCTGTAGTCCCAGCTACTCGGGAAGCTGAAGCAGGAGAATTGCTTGAACCCGGGAGGCAGAGGTTGCAATGAGCTGAGATTGCGCCACTGCACTCCAGCCTGGGTGACAGAGGGAAACTCCCTCTCAAAAAAGAAAAAAAAAAGAGGTTTAATTGGTTCATGGTTCCGCAGGCTGTACAGGAAGCCTGGGGGAGGCTTCAGGACATTTCAGTCATGGCAGAAGGAAAAAGGGGAGTGAGCACCTCACATGGCCAGAGCAAGAGAAAGGGAGAAAGGGGAGAGGTGCTACACACTTTTAAACAACCAGATCTCCCAAGCATTAACTCACTATCAGAGAGCAGCACTGAGGGGGAAATTCGCCCCTGTGATCCAGTCACCTCCCACTAGGCCCCACCTCCAACATTGGGGATTACAATTTGACAACAGATTTGGGTGGGGACACAGATCCAAACCATATCACCCTGTCTCAAAAAAATAAAAAAGATTAACAGGAGAAAAGCATACACATTTCTTTAATACAAGTTTTACTGGCATAGGTGAGGCAGAAATTTAAAAATAATAATAAGTACTGCATTCATTCACTCCAAGAAAAGTAAAAGCCAAAGCCCAGAATGTGGCAAGGCAATGGTTAAAAAGAAAAGAAGAGCAAGTTTTCCTCTGCCTAGCAAGCTCACTTCAAGGACAGTTATAAGATAATGCTGTTTGAGAAGTCAAAACCAAAGGAATAGGCTCCAGATGCCCCACCTCCGGAGTAAAGGTGAAAGAAAAAAAAAAAAGGACAAAATATCTGGCTAAAAGAAATTTAGCCAGTTCTTGTTTTTACTTTCAATGCAGCTACAAGGCCACCAGCTATGCAAGGCCACAAGTTATGCCATGTCATCAGTTATGCTATAGATTATGTGACCTGTCATTATATGATTAACTGCCTTTGCTTTGCTGCTTCTGTAAATTTGCTTATAAAAATCCTGCTTGGTCTTTGTTCAAGGCTCAGTTTTTTGGATGTGAACCCACTGAGCTGGTGTGCACCTTAAAATAAATATCCTCCTGTATTCACCTATACTGGTCTCTCCTTTTTTTTTTTTTTTAGACAGAGTCTCGCTGTCGCCCAGGCTGAAGTGCAGTGGCGCGATCTCGGCTCACTGCAGGCTCCGCCCCCCGGGGTTCACGCCATTCTCTTGCCTCAGCCTCCCGAGTAGCTGGGACTACAGGCACCCGCCACCTCGCCCGGCTAATTTTTTGTATTTTTAGTAGAGACGGGGTTTCACTGTGTTAGCCAGGATGGTCTCGATCTCCTGACCTCGTGATCCACCCGCCTCGGCCTCCCAAAGTCCTGGGATTACGGGCGTGAGCCACCGCGCCCGGCCTATACTGGTCTCTCTACTCCTCTGCGTCCTGCAACACAGGAGCCCTCATAAGGAAATGAAGACCCAAAGAAGTAGTTGGTGTCAGTTACTTCTACACCGAATTGGACAAAGAATAGTAAGTTGTAATGAAGCAACTAAGAGCGGGGCCCGGTAGCTCACGCCTGTAATCTCAGCACTTTGGGAGGCCAAGGAGGGAGGATCACTTGAGTCCAGGAGTTTGAGACCTTGTCTCTATTTAAATAAAAATAAAAATTAAAAAGATGCAACTAAATTATGTGGGGAGGCTTACCAGATAACAGTTATTTTCCTGGAGAACATTACGTTCAGTGAAATAAGCCAGGCACAGAAAGACACATACTTTGTGATCTCACTTATATATGGAATCTAAAAAAATGGAACCCACGAGTAGGGAGTAGAATGGCAGTTACGGCGGTTGGGGGGAACAGGGGGGTGTCAGGGAGATGTTGGTCAAAGGGTACAAAATTTCTGTTAGGAGGAATAGAGGAATAAGTTCACCAGATCTATTGCACAACATGGTGATTATAGTAAATAACAATGTACTATGTTCTTGAAAATTACGGAGAGGTTTTGTGTTCTCACCACAAAAGAAGTATGTGAGGTAATGCATATGTTAATTAGCTCGATTTAGTTATTCCACAATGTATACATATTTCAAAACAACATGTTGTACATGACAAATACGTGGCAATTTTTGTCA